>NC_000015.10:42367783-42670813 GCF_000001405.40 Homo sapiens | reverse complement strand
TTCACTAAGAAAATTTATACCCTGTATACCAGAAAATAAGCTACTTTAAATTTTCTGTCTGAGCAGCTCAGTCTCTGACAACTTCCCAAAGGGCTTATCCTAAGAACACCGATGAGCTTTGCTAACATCTCACTTCCATATGCCCTGCAGCACTAAGAAGGAGTCCAATTTCTCCAGGGATAACAGCAGCATTACATACTCCCCAGAAACTCTTTGTTCTTTTTAAACGTCAGCTGGGGATAATTATGAGAATGAAAACTAGATTTTCAGTGAGCACAGGGATTTTGAGCATGGGAAGTACGTTCTGCTGTCAAAAGGAACTGTCCTCCCACAGTAGAACACATTGATGAGAACAAGATAAAAGACTCTATCTACCATAGGTCACTAACTCTCAAAACCACTTCAATCAGAAATGAGGACTGGCCTCCAGGTGACACAGAGCCAGGTGGGCCAGGTGCTGTTTGGAAGCTTTAACTTTAATCTTTTTCTAGATGGATGCCTGTCATCCCCTCTTCCCCCACCATCACACTACTCTAGCTCTTTGGACCCTCCCTATGTTTTAAGCTTCCTTTACCTACTTTCTCTGTCTCCTTTTCCAGGTAAATGTAGTGATGGAGAAGTGGGAAGTGTACTGTTTATTTGGGGTTGAATGAAGTGGGGAAGTGTCAGAAGAAAACTTTCAAATCTTCTGAATTCCCTTTAGTCTCTGAAAGCCACCTTTTTTTAAAAACATTATTTTTATTTATTTTATTTATTTATTTTTGAGACAGAGTCTTACTTTGTCACCCAGGCTGGAGCGCAGTGGCGTGATCTCAGCTCACTGCAACCTCCACCTCCTGGGTTCAAGTGATTCTCCTGCCTCAGCCTCCCAAGTAGCTGGGATTACAGGCTCCCACCACCACGCCCGGCTAACTTTTGTATTTTTAGTAGAGGTGGGGTTTCACCATGTTGGCCAGGATGGTCTTGAACTCCTGACCTCAAGTGATCTGCCCGCCTCAGCCTCCCAAAGTGCTGAGATTACAGGTGTGAGCCACCGCGCCCAACCTGAAAGCCACCTTTGAGCAGTCTGTATTTGTAGAGTTTAGGAGCACTAATGGTTATCTTGAGGTTAGGGTTTCACTCTCCATGACTATACCCCTATGCTTCACTAAGCCAGAAAAGGAATATGATAAGCATCATTCTTACTTTAAAATGAGGAAATTAAGGCAAAGAGAACAAAAGTAAGTTACATAAGAACAACAGTAGCAGCAGTTGAAAAACAATTGTTCTGATTTCCAGTCTTCTGCTCTATACATACGAAGGCAAAACAGATCACAATTTGTCAGGTAGACGTTTCCTGAGAGCAAACCTGAAGGCAGCTCTGTAGCATCTGTCTTGATTTCAATTCACAGTAACATGGCTGCTGCTCCTAGCTTTTCCCTCCTTGACCTCTGGAACCAGTGGCTTAGGAAGAAAAGGATACACTAGCCTCCTCACCTTGAGATGATAGAGCACAACACCTGTGCTGAGCACATCATCCTCCAAGGCCATCAAGTGTGGCAGGCTGGAGTCGATGACCACCCCAGCCCTCCTCCTGTTGATGTCCACACTGTAATGCTCCATGAGGGCCTGCCAATCATTCCACTTCTGGGTCCAGTCTTTAGTCAGCTGGTCTATCTGCAGAGGTATAGGAGGTGATCTGAGACACTCAGCATGGGGAACAGACTAAAGGTCAGAAGTCATTACAATCTATTCCTATTTCCCCAGGGTACTGCTTTCTTATGATCCTCCCAGATACTATTCAAAGCCCCACAGAAGCCCTTGTACCTCCTCCAACTGCAAGCTGTGTTTTCCAAGTTTTCTTCAATAAGCAAGTGTTACTTGTATAAACAGAAGCCCCCTCAATAAATGTTATTTTTAAAGTTTTCTGCAATGAACATGTATTGTTTTTATAATTAGAAAAAAACATGTTATTTTCAAGTTATTCTTTAAAAATTAATTGGGATGTTAGACATCTATGTTTATAATTTCCCTTTCCCCACCCCAGTTTTACATGATCCATACTTGGGAACCCTTTTATGACCTACACACTTCTTTCCCAAAGTACAGTACTTTGAGTTATAATATAAGCTTGCACACGGCTCACAGAACCACAAAGCACTGAGAGGAATCTCCCCAGGTGGAACTAAGACTATATGGAACTTGTCTGGAAGATCATGTAATAAGACAATAAAAACAATAATAACAGTAGAATACTGAGTTCTTACTGTGTACCAGGAACAGAGTTTTTAAAAGTAAATGTACCCAGCCTTAGAGGCCTTAAGCTAAGACCACTTTAGGGACATGCACAGTGATAAATGTAGGGTACTTTTTCTTCTTTTAGTGGAAACCGATGCCTAAGCATTGAGCTTATCCTGGGAATGGAAGAACTGAGGAAGCTCAGAAAAAAAAAAAAAAATTAGATTTAGCTAAGTGCTTCTCTCATAAAGGGAATAGTTAAAAAAAATTATGCCAGGTTTAGGTACAAGTGCTTTATGTACCCTAGAAACATTATTTTAATAATCATTGAGTTGAAGTTTGGAAACCAGGAAACTACAGGGTACCTGTAAAGGGCTGGGTTGGATAGGGACCCCTGGCATTGGTGAGTGGCAGGACACTCTGGCTTACAGTTCAGCCAACCTGGCACAGCTGCCCCTCTGGCCAGCTTTCACCACCTACTCCTACACTGCCTAAGATCATACAGCCAACAAGGGGCAGGTTCAAGTCCAGCTCAGCTGGCCTGCATAATGCAAGAATGCTAATGAGTTTGGAATGATTTTGGCTCCACTACTTCATCTCTTAGTATAGAGGGATGATATTTTCTGAACAAAAAATCAGAATACATGACTGAAGGAGGAATTTTTTAGAGAAACTTCTAGACGTGTGATTTAGTCTTGAGGTTTACTAAGGGTGACAAAATGTTAACATGGCCAGGATACTTTAATAACATATAAGGATGATGCAACAGAATATTGGAAATTGAAACGTTTGGTTGTAGGATTTAAATCTAACCTGTCTGCCGGGTGTGGTGGCTCACGCCTGTAATCCCAGCACTTTGGGAGGCTGAGGTAAGCGGATCACCTGAGATCAGGAGTTTAAGACCAGCCTGGCCAACATGGTGAAACCCCTCTCTACTGAAAATACAAAAAATTAGCCTGGCGTGGCAGTGGGTGCCTGTAATCCCAACTTGGGAGGCTGAGGCTGGAGAATTGCTTGAACCCAGCAGGCAGAGGTTACAGCGAGCCGAGATTACACCATTGCACTCCAGCCTGGATGACAAGAGCGAAACTCTGTCCCAAAATAATAAAAAATAGGCCAAGTGCGGTGGCTCACGCCTGTAATCCCAGCACTTTGAGAGGCCGAGGTGGGTGGATCACGAGGTCAGGAGTTTGAGACCAGCCTGGCCAACACGGTGAAACCCCATCTCTACTAAAGATACAAAAATTAGTCGGGCGTGGTGGCGTGAGCCTGTAATCCCAGCTACTTAGGAGGCTGAGGCAGGAGAATTGCTTGAACCTGGGAGGCAGAGGTTGCAGTGAGCTGAGATCGCACCATTGCACTCCAGCCTGGGTGACAGGGTGAGACTCCGTTTCAAAAAAAATAACATAAAAAAATAAAAATAAATCTAATCCGTCAACAAAAAAAACTGCCCACCATTTCTTCCTTTTAAATATCTCTGGGGGCCAGGTACAGTGGTTCATGCCTGTAATCCCAGCACTTTGGGAGGCCAAGGCGGGTGGATTACCTGAGGCCAGGAGTTTGACACCAGCCTGGCCAATGTGGTGAAACCCCGTCTCTACTAAAAACGCAGAAATTAGGCAGGTGTGGTGGTGCACATCTGTAGTCCCAGCTACTCAGGAGGCTTAGGCAGGAGAATCACTTGAACCTGGAAGGCGGAGGTTGCAGTGAGCTGAGATCACAACGCTGCACTCCAGCCTGGGTGACAGAGTGAGACTCCCTCTCAAAAAAAATAAAATTAATAAAAAAAAATGTCTCTGGGAATCACCATTTATTCTACTTTTCCAAAATGTCTTGTCCTTGCCCTCACGGGGTTACAGCAGTCTCTTTCCTGGTTAGTCCCCTGCTTCCAGTCTTCCCACCTTTCAATTCATCCTGCATACAACTATCATATTAATTTTCCAAAGATACTCCTTTATTATGTCACCAACCTGATTCAAGAAGCTATTAATCCTGTTTACACCAAGTTCAAACCTTCTAAATGTGCCCTAACCTTACCTGCACTACCCTCTACCATGAACACCCATTCTAACCAGCTTAGTCTTCCTCACGGTGTGTGCTTCCACATGGCCTCTCACACCCCTTCCTTCTCCCAGTTTCAAGGCTTTGCTTATGTTATCCCTCCCTCACCCAATGCCTTACCCCTTCTCCCTATGTAACAACCCTAGCAAACCTTCAAGGGCTAGTTCAAGGTCAGTTCTCTGCCTTCCAGCACCAACATATGATATCTGCTCTGAAAATCCCAAACCATAATGATTTCTTCCTTCCCTAGACTCTTTCAGCTAAATCACATGGTTCATGAAACACACCATTCTCTAAATGTGTTTCCAACTAGACTGCAAACCATATGAGGGCAGGGACCTCTCTGTACCTCTTGCAGCATCATGCTGAGCACCTATTTGATCCTCAAACAATGAATACATCTTGGTTGACTGATTTAGACAAGAAAACAGTCTTTTGCCCCCAGGCTACTCTCACTATCCAAAGGACTTACGAATCCCTGAGAGAACAATACAGAAAGTCAGAAAGCCATTAACAGTCCCCCTAGGCAAACACATCCCCCGGTCAAGGCTTAAAGGAAACAAACATTGTATTTAAATGAGACAGCTCTTCTCTGCCCTGCCAAGGGAGCAACCCTACCTAGCTCCGGAATAATGGAGGAGCTCCCAGGTGATGTAAAGAACAACTGAGTCCACCCAACACACCCACCTTCAATTCATTTTGGAGAACCAGCTCCTTCAGGTTTTCATCACTCAATGAACTGAAGTTTCTCTGCACAAAGATAGAGATGTGCTTTGATATTTTCCTGGTCTGAACTTCAGGTAGGTCCCACCCTTACACTTGTGGAGGAGGATAAGATGCAGATAAAGGAAAAACTTTATTATTAAAATAAGAAATCAGGAGCCTAAGTATTTGGGCTCATATTGGTACAAAGATGGAAAATACAAAGAAATTTTCCTGGAGGGCCCCATTCTCCGTACCTGCCCACACAGGGCAAGGACCATCCAGGCACAAGACAAGAGATGATAAAGTGAAAAAATGCCCACACCATCTGAAGCTACACTGAGAAATCAGAGAAATCTCTGTTTTGTCTTTGCTCCTGTCTCTGCCGTAAGAGAGTCAATTGAGAACATAGAATGCAGCAGGGCCCAGACTCTATGGAGAAGAAAAGAGGCTCAGAAGGAGAATTTCACTTAAGTACGGAAAGGTTCTGACTGTCTGCATACCAGTTCAAAGCTCAGCAGCAGGGCTTTCAGTCTTTCAATCTCTTCTCTGAGTTCTCTAATCAGTTTTAAGTTTGCATCCTGAAACACAGAGAACTCCATCACCACTGATTGTTATCAAGTCCCACTCAGCTGTGAAATGCTAGTTGCAATTGGCTGGGAAGAGGTAGATTACTCCTTTGGAGTAGTCTCTACAGCAGTCATTCTCAAGTTGTGGTCCCAGGACCCGCAGCACCCACTTCACCTAAGAACTTGTTAGAAACGCACAGTTTGGCCCACCCCAGACCAAATAAATCAGAAACTCTGAAGGACTGGGGCCCAGCAGCATTCTAACAAACCCTCCAGGTGATTCGGATACACACTAAAGTTTGAGAATCATTTCCCTAGAGGTCAAGCAGGTAACACAAAAGCCAGGGCATGTATAGGTAGTAGGTACTAACCTTCCTGTATTGTGACTAAGCCTATACTGCCTAATTACATTGCCTTTTTAAAACAGTGTACGTATGGGGTGTGTGTGTGTGTGTGTGTGTGTGTGTGTGTGTGTTAAAGGATAAACAAAAACCAATGAATTCATACACTCTCCTTTTAATCTAAACAGAGAAGTCACTGCAATTTGCATAGAGAAAAATAAAACACAGACTACTTGCATAAAAAAACACAGGCATAAGACTGGGCACTTTGGCCCACACCTGTAACCCCAGCACTTTGGGAGGCTGAGGTAGGAGGATCATTTGAGTCCAGGAGTTTGAGACCAGCCTGGGCAATATTGTGGGACCTTGTTTCTACAAAAATTTTTTTGAAAACCAGCCTAACATGGTGGCAGGCACCTGTGGTTCCAGCTACTCAGAAGGCTGAGGTGGGAGAATCACTTAAGCCCTGGAGGTTGAAGCTGCAGTGAGCCACAATAGTGCTGCTGCACTCCAGCCTGGGCAACAGAGCAAGACCCCTTCTCAAAACAGGCAAACAAATACAAAAACACAGGAATAAATCAACATAAATTCAAAATAAAAGCAGTAAACACAAACTTTTTAAATGAACTTTCTTAGAGTGAGCCATTATTGCACCACTGCGCTCCAGCCTGGGTGACAGAGTGAGACCCTGTCTCTAAAAATAAAATAATAAAATAAAAAATAAATGACCTTTCTTAGAGTAGTAATGGTAAACTAAGAAATCTTAAGAGGAATGGCCTTAGAGAAGTATCTGAAATAAGTCATTCATAAAAGGTTACTGAATGAAGGCAGTAGAGATAGGAAAGAAGGAGATGACAGTACAAGAAAGAATTCTACTCCCTCATCATCTGGAGGACAAGTCTGGAAAGTTGAGGTGAGTACAAAGAGAAAGAAATCACGAGAGAAAAAAAAATAAGGAAAGCTTTGTGTAAACTATACCAGACCAGGACTTCTGAAAAGGTCTCACCTCATTTACTCGTGGCTTGTTGATAATGTTTTTGGCACTGGATGCATATCTCAGTGTGCTCATGGTCTCACTGTAGCTAGTGTGTGCAGGAGACACCGCTGAGGTAGAAGGAGAAAGTTTAAAAACATGCCAGCCCATCCATCCCAGCTCTTAATCACTTGCCTTGTTACTACTGCCCATGCTGTATAAGACCCCTGATGAAATGAGAAACCTAGGTGGTCATGGCCCTTTCTCTGAGATAGAGTACCAGTCCCAACACAGATCCAGCTCTGGCATCCCACTCACTGGGGCCATGGCCCTTTCTCTGAGATAGAGTACCAGTCCCAACACAGATCCAGCTCTGGCATCCCACTCACTGGGGCCATGGCCCTTTCTCTGAGATAGAGTACCAGTCCCAACACAGGTCCAGCTCTGGCATCCCACTCACTGGCAACCATGATGGTTTTAGAGTTGCCTCCAAGGCTGTCCTTCAGCAGCCAGGTCAACACAGAGTCTCGGTATGGGATATAAGACTGCCTTCGGGAGGGTGCCCCTCCACTGCTGGTCCCAGAAGGAGAGCTAAGGATCCCACTGTCACCACCATTGCTGACTGAGCTGTTGAGGCTCTGGCAGCTGCTGAAAACTTGGGAGTTCTGGGCTTAAAAGATGAAAAAAGAAAATGGAAGAAAGAAGGAATTATGAAGCAAATATATTAAAACAAAACAATGGTTGGAGAACACAGACTTAAGTATCATATTTCCTAATCCCTTCTGCATACAATAGGATATTTTAGGTATTCCTAAAGACTTTAGACTCACGATATGGAATGTTTGAGTCACATAATTTTTTAGACTCCCCTCTTTGAGAAATGATGGTAGTAGGACAGCATTCTACTCTAAAACCAAGGACAAATATCAACTTTTCATGCCCCAAACCAGAAGGTAACCTTATCAAAAGGAACCCTGTGTCTACCCTATTGCGACAAAATGAAAACATGAGTTATTTTCCGAACTCTCCCTCCCACTCCCATTATCTATCAGAAAATACCTAAGGTGGAGATGACAATTCCTAGAGTCACAAGGGACTTGTTGATATTGGCTCCTTCAGCAATGCGGTCCTTACAGTAACTGGGATCTGCTCTTTCGCTAAAACACAGTCAATGAAAAACAAAAACAAAAGCAAATAAGACACTATCTTTACAATGCTGTTGAAAAATACTATCCGTTATTCTGTATATCATGCTGTAAAGGACTCACATAATAAATTCCTTTTAGAATTCAGTTCCAGAAGAAAATGTTACCATTTTGTAATGAACTGGACTTTTTCTGCTTCTCAGGCAATAAAAATCAAATAACTCATTATGTTTCTGTTTTTATTTTGACTGTCAGAACACTTTATGCTAAATGTAATGCTCATTTACAGTAATGATATTAGCACGGCTTTTTGGTATATTCACTTCTCTATTGTTTTAAATTCCTATATTTATAGTTTTATGGTATTTGTGCCGTTAGCTGACAACAGTTTGAATTTCTTTTTTAAGTAAATGGGAAATATTAAAAATTCACACTTCCAATTGGCTGATAATAGTTCCTTTCAAACAGCACTTAGTTCTTAAGGGAATACTGTACCATATTATGTTTTAAAATAAGAAAATTTGCCTTATTTCATCTTACCCTTTCTTGTGATCACATTATCCCCCTCAAGACTACCTCTTTCTAAATACATATGTAACTATAATTCATGCTCCCTTCTAATACCTACAAGGCAGTATCTTCTCAACCTTTCAAGATTTTTTAAACTTTTTTTCTTTAGAGATAGGGTTGAGCTATGTTGTTATGTTGCCCAGGATGGCTTCAAACTCCTGGGCTCAAGTGATCCTCCCACCTCAGCCTCCTGAATAGCTGGGACTACAGATGTGCACCACAAAGTAAAACTTTTTTTTTAAGTAAAGAACTGCATAAAAATCAATATTAAAGAAAAAATAAAATCAATATTAAATCAAAGAGAAAAGTTGTACTAATTCAGTTACCTTCACTGAGAGCAGTGGTTTTTTAATCCTTCCTATACATTAGAATCACCTGGGCAGCTTTAACAATATCCTGATGCTTGCACTCCCACCAACCTCCTAATAATCTGATTGATCTGAGATGTAGGTATGGGGAGTTTTAAAAGGTCCTCAGGTGGCCAGGTGCAGTGGCTCACGCTTGTAATCCCAGCACTTTGGGAGACTGAGGCAGATGAATCGCCCAAGGCCAGGAGTGCGAGGCCAGCCAGGGCAACATAATGAGATGTTGTCTCCATTAAAAAAAAGAAAGAAAGAAAGAAAGAAAGCCAGATGTGGTGTCACGTGCCTGTAGTCCCAGCTACTCCAGAGGCTGAGGCAGGAGGGTCACTTGAGCCCAGTAGTTCAGGGTTACAATGAGCCATGATCATACTACTGCACTCCAGCCTGGAGCCTGGGCAACAGAGTAAGACTGTCTCAAAAAAAGAAAAGGTCCTCAGGTGATTTAATGTACAACCAAGATTGAGAATCCCTGATGTAGAGGAACTTTTCGGCCCCTAGAAAATAACTTCTTAACCTAGCATTCAAAGAGCTTATTTCTTTTGTAATACTCTCAGGATGACTGAAATGTGAAAAAGATTGGAACAGCTTATTCCCTGTAAAACAGGCAAGAACAAGAGTAATTCCCCTTAGCTTTAAAATCCTAATTACCTGCCTGCTAGGTCCACAAGGTTGATCTTGCTAGCCATTTCAGAAGGGAGGTTGTTCTCCAGGATTGCCTAGAGGAGAAAACATTTAAAGCCTGTCATTTGGAACGATTTGTATTGTTTTCCCCTTAGAACTCTTCTAACCAAGGTGATATTTTGGATTTTTATCCAATTCACTCAACAAATCTGTATTCTAATGTGATGTAAACCAGGTGAGCTCTCAATATCTGACAGATAAAATCAATAGGGCCCTGGATCATCACTTCAAAAAAAAAAAACAAAACAAAAAACACCAGCAGAACTTACAGACTAAGTACATAAACTTCCATGAAGTTTGCTGAGCACAACTTTCAGTGGCATCAGGAAATTTCAGTACAATTTACCACGCAAATGCTCAACTCCCTCCCAGGGGGCTCTGACTCTTATTAGCAGAGAGCCACAGCATGTGGGTGGCCTCTGATGGTCTCTTCCTAACCTCAGTCACAGCACCTTAACTTGCCAGGGTAGAAACTCTGCCCTGTAAGTTCTATTTAGCGCCATCCAGCCCCCAAGAAGAAACTACTCTGCCCCCAACCCCGATTCAATGTCGGTTTTGTTATTTTGTTTTAGAAATTGTTAATTTTTGTTTCTTGTTTTTTTTTTTTTGTTTGTCTGTTTTTTTTTTGAGCCGGAGTTTTGCTCTTGTTACCCAGGCTGGAGTGCAATGGCACGATCTCGGCCCACTGCAACCTCTGGCCTCCCAAGTTCAAGTGATTCTCCTGCCTCGGCCTCCCAAGTAGCTGAGATTACAGGCATGCACCACCAGGCCTGGCTAATTTTGTATTTTTAGCAGAGACAGGGTTTCACCATGTTGGCCAGGCTGGTCTTGAACTCCTGACCTCAGGTGATCTGCCTGCCTCGGCCTCCCAAAGTGATGGGATTACAGGCATGAGCCACTGCACCGACCAGAAATTGTTAATATCATACATCATCAACCGAATGTAGTTTTAGGACATTTCAAATAATCCCCAAATCCCTCAAGTCTTTGCAGTCATTCTGTTCCCATCCCCAGCTTGAAGCAATCACTTAACTTTCTATGTCTGTAAGTCTACCTTTTCAGAATGTTTCATATAAATAGAATCGTACATCTAGCTCTTTTCACTGTACATAATTATTTTGAGATTTATCCATGTTAAGGCATGCATCAAAAGTTCATTCATTTTTACTGCTATTATTCCATTGTGTGGATATACCACAGTTATCCATTTGCCTTTTGATGGATGTGCAGGTTGTTTCTATTTTGGGGTAATTACAAATAACAGTTATGGATATTTGTGCACATCTTTCTGTGGACATTGCTCTTGGATAAACACCTAAGAGTAGAATTGCTGGGTCATATGGTAGGTATACATTTTAAGAAACTGCTAGGCTGGGCATGATGACTCACCCCTGTAATCCCAGCACTTTGGGAGGTGGAGGCAGGTGGATCATGAGGTCAGGAAATTGAGACCTTCCTGGCCAAAATGGTGAAACCTCGTCTCTACTAAAAATACAAAAATTAGCCAAGCGTGGTGGCGGGCACCTGTAGTCCCAGCTACTCAGGAGGCTGAGGAGGAAAATGGCATGAAGCCAGGAGGCAGAGGCTGCAGTGAGCCAAGATCGCGCCACTGCCCCTCCAGCCTGGGCAACAGAGTGAGACTCCATCACAAACAAACAAAACAAAAACAAACAAAGAAAACCCTGATAAACTCTTTTCCAAAGTTGCTATACCATTTACATTCCCACCAGCAGAGCAGTGTATGAAAACTCCTGCTCCTACACAACTTGCTGATATTTAGTATAATTTTAGCCATGTTAAAAGGTGGGTAGTGGTATCTCATTTGGTTCTAATTTGTATTTCCCTAATGAACAAGGATGTTGAGAATTTTTTCAACTCCCTAATTGTCACTAGCATATTTTGTTTAGTGAAATGTCAGTTCAAAATTTTTGCCATTGTTTTGAGTTGTTTTCTTACGGTGTTTAGAGAGTTCTTTATATATTCTGGATATAATTCCTCCATCAGATGTATGTTTAGCAAAAAAGTTCTACCTATCTGTTGCTTTTCCTTCTTTCCTTCTTCTTTTCTCTCTTTCTTTCTTTCGAGGGAGTCTTGCTGTGTCACCTAGGCTGAAGTGCAGTGGCACGATCTTGGCTCACTGCAACCTCTGCCTGCTGGGTTCAAGCAATTCTCCTGCCTCAGCCTCCTGAGCAGCTGGGATTACAGGTGCAAGCCACCAAGCCTGGCTAATTTTTGTATTTTTAGTAGAGACAGGGTTTTCACCATCTTGGCTAGGCTGGTCTCGACCCCCGATCTCAAGTGATCCACCCACCTTGGCCTCCCAAAGTGGTGGGATTACAGGCATGAACCACCACACCTGGCCTGCTTTTCTTTTTATTCTCCTAATAATGTCTTTAAAAGTGCAAAAGGGGCCAGGCACGGTGGCTTATGCCTGTAATCCCAGCACTTTGGGAGGCAGAGGCAAACTGGATTGCTTGAGATCAGGAGTTCAAGACCAGCCTGGCCGACACGGTGAAACCCCGTCTCTACTAAAAATACAAAAATTAGCCAGGCATGGTAATGCGTGCCTGTAATCCCAGCTACTTAGGTGGCTGAGGCAGGAGAATCACTTGAACCCGGGAGGTGGAGGTTGCAATGAGTCAAGATTGTGCCACTGTGCTCCAGCCTGGGTGACAGAGCAAGAATCAGTCTCATTAAAAAAAAAAAAAAGTGCAAAAGGCCAGGCATGGTGGGTCATGCCTGTAATCCCAGCATTTTGGGAGGCTGAGACAGGAGGATCACTTGAGCCTAGGGATTTAAGACCAGCCTGGGCAACATAACGAGACCTTGTCTCTACAAAAAAAATACAAAAGTTATTTTGTACACTGTAAGTGTACACACACACACACACACACACACACACACCTGTAAGTCCCAGCTACTTGGGAGGCTGAGGTGGGAGGATCACTTGAGCCCGGGAGGTTGAGGCTGCAGTGAGCCATGATTGTGCCACTGCACTCTAGCCTGGGTGACAGAGTGTGACCCTGTCTCAAAAAAAAATTATAAAAGTACAAAAGTTTGAAATTGTGATTAACTCGATTTCAATTTGTACTTCTGTTCAATTTGTGTTTTTAGTGCCATATCTATAAAACCTTCGCCTAATCAAGAATCACAAAGGTTCTCCTAAGTTATGTTCTAAAGTTTAATAGTTTCAGGTTTCCCATTTAGAGCTATGATTCAATATGAGTTAACTTTTCGATAAAGTGCAAAATATAGATCAAAGTTCTTTTTTTCATATAGACATCCAATTGTTCTCCCACCATTTGCTGAAAACATATTTTCTCCACTGAATTGCCTTTGCAACTTTATTAAAAATCAGTTGCCTATATATGTGTGAGTCTATTTTGGACTCTATTCTATTCCAGTAATCTATTTATCTTAACACTAACACCACACTATCTTGGTTACTTTAGCTTCAGGAAGCATAGGGTTTATCTCAGAGAATGCTCCGTGTGCACTTGAAAATATGTGTATTCTGTGATGTTGGATGAAGTGTTCTGAAAATGTCAGGTCACATAGTTTGATAATGTTGCTCAAATCTTCTATTTCCTCACTGATTTCTGTTTGGTTATCTACCTACTACTGGAAATTAGGTACTGAAATATCCAACCATTGTTGAACTGTCTATTTTAATCTTTCAATTCCATCAGTGTTTTCATGTATTTTGAGGTTTGGTTGTTCAGGGTGCATACATTTATAAATGTTGTATTTCTTCAATGTACTGACTGACCCTTTATCATTATGAAATATTCCTGTCTCTAGTATTTGTCTTAAAACCTTTTTTTTTTTTTTTGAGACGGAATCTCACTCTTGTTGCCCAGGCTGGAGTGTGATGGTACGATCTCAGCTCACTGCAACCTCTGCCTCCTGGATTCAAGTGATTCTCCTGCCTCAGCCTTCTGAGTAGCTGGGACTACAAGCGCTCACCACCATGCCTGGCTAATTTTTTTTGTATTTTTAGTAGAGACGGGGTTTCACCATGTTGGCCAGGCTGGTCTCAAACTCCTAACGTCAGGCGATCCATCCACCTCGGCTTCCCAAAGTGCTGGGATTACAGGCTTGAGCCACCACGCCCAGCCTTAAAACCTATTTTTTGCCTGACATTAAAATACCACTCCAGCTCTCTTATGCTTACTTTTTTAAAAATTTCAATAGGTTTTGGAGGAACAGATGGTGTCTGGTTACATGAATAAGTTCTTTAGTGGTGATTTCTGAAATATTGGTGCACCCATCACCCAAACAGTGTACCCTGTACCCAATGTGTAGTCTTTTATCCCTCACCCCCCTTTCCCACAAGTCCCCAAAGTTCATTCTTATGCTGTTGCGTCCTTATGCCTATGTGTCCTTATGCCTTTGTATCATTCTTATGCCTTTGTGTCCTCATAGTTTAGCTCCCATTTATGAGTGAGAAGATACGTTTGGTTTTCCATTCCTGAGACACTTAACTTAGAATAATGGTCTCCAATTCCATCCAGGTTGCTGCAAATGCTATTATTTGGTGCCTTTTCACGGCTGAATGTATTCCACAGTATACATACACCACATTTTCTTTAACCACTCATTGACGGACATTTGGGCTGGTTCTGTATTTTTGCAAATGTGAATTGTGCTGCTAAAACATGCATGTGCAAGTATCTTTTTCATATAACGACTTCTTTTCCTCTGGGTAAATCTACCTGTAGTTCTTTAAGGAATCTCCACACTGTTTTCCATAATGGTGATACTAGTTTATATTCCCATCAACAGTGTAAAAGCGTTCCCTTTTCACCATATCCACGGCAACATCTTTTTTTTTTTTTTTTTTTTTTTTTTTTTTTTTTTTTTTTAGGAGATGGCTGGAGTGCAGTGGCATGATCTCGGCTCACTGCAACCTCTGCCTCCCAGGTTCAAGCAATTCTCCAGCTTCAGCCTCGTGAGTAGCTGGGACTACAGGAGCGCAACAGCAAATTTTTTTATTTTTAGTAGATACAGCATTTCGCCATGTGGGCCAGGCTGGTCTTGAACACCTGACCTCAGGTGATCCACCTGCCTCAGACTCCCAAAGTGCTGGGATTACAGGCGTGAGCCACTGACCCAGCCTCTTTTTGGATTTTTTTATTATGGCCATTCTTGCAGGAGTAAGGTGGTATTGCATTGTGATTTTGATTTGCATTTCCCTGATAATCAGTGATGTTGAGCATTTTTTTCCTATGTTTGTTGCCATTTGTATATCTTCTTTTGAGAACTGTTTATTCATGTCCTTAGCCCACTTTTTGATGGGACTGTTTTTTTCTTGCTGATTTGTTTGAGTTCCTTGTAGAGTCTGGATATTAGTCCTTCGTAGGATGCATAGATTGCAAATATTTTCTCCCACTCTGTGGGCTGTTTGCTGATTATTTCTTTTGCTGTGCAGAAGATTTTTGTTTTATTTAAGTCCCATCTATTTCTCTTTGTTTTTGTTGCATTTGCTTTTGGATTCTTGCTCATGAAGTCTTTGCCTAAGCCAATGTCTAGAAGGATTTTTCCAATGTTATCTTCTAGAATTTTTATGGTTTCAGGTCTTATATGTAAGTCTTTCATCTATCTTGAGTTGATTTTTGTATAATGTGGGAGATGAGGATCCAGTGTCATTCTCTTACATGTGGCTTGCCAATTATCCCAGCACCATTTGTTGAATAGGGTGTCCTTTCCCCACTTTACGTTTTTGTTTGCTTTGTCAAAGATCGGTTGACTGCAAGTATTTGGCTTTATTTCTGCATTTTCTATTCTGTTCCATTGGTCTATATGCCTGTTTTTGTCCCAGTACCATGCTGTTTTGGTAACTATTGGCCTTATAGTATAGTTTGAAGTTGGGTAATGTAATGCATCCAGATTTGGTTTTGTTGTTGTTTTTGAGACGAAGTCTCACTCTGTTGCCCAGGCTGGAGTGCAGCGGTGTGATCTCAGCTCACTGCAACCTCTGCCTCCCAGGTTCAAGCAATTCTCCTGCCTCAGCCTCCCGAATAGCTGGGATTACAGGTGCCTGCCATCACGCCCAGCTAATTTTTTCTATTTTTAGTAGAGAGGGGTTTCACCATGTTGGCCAGGCTGGTCTCAAACTCCTGACCTCAAGTGATCCGCCTGCCTCGGCCTCCCAAAGTGCTGGGATTACAGGCATGAGCCACTGCGCCTGGCCCAGATTTGTTCTTTTTGCTTAGTCTTGCTTTGGCTATGTGGGCTCTTTTTTGGTTCCATATGAATTTTAGGACTGTCTTTTCTAGTTCTGTGAAGAATGATGGTGGTATTTTGATGGGGATTGCATTGAATTTGTAGACTGCTTTAGGCAGTATGGCCATTTTCACAATACTGATTCTACCCATCCATGAGCATGAGATATGTTTCCATTTGTTTGTGTCATATATGATTTCTTTCAGCGGTGTTTTGTAGTTCTTCTTGTACAGGTCTTTCACCTCCTTGGTTAAGTGTATGCCTAAGTATTTTTTTTTTTCAGCTATTGTAAAAAATGTTGAGTTCTTGATTTGATTCTCAGCTTGTCTGCTGCTGGTGTATAGCACAGCTACTGATTCATGTACATTAATTTTGTATCTTGAAACTTCGCTGAATTCATTTACCAGTTCCAGGAGCTCTTTGGATAAGTCTTTAGGGTTTTCTAGGTATACAATCATGTTGTCAGCGAACAGCAACAGTTTGACTTCCTCTTTACTGATCTGGATGCCCTTTATTTCTTTCTCTTGTCTCATTACTCTAGCTAGGACTTATGGTTACTATTATTATGGTATATCTTTTTCCATCCTTTTACTTTCAACCTGTGTCTGTGATTCTAAGGTGTGTTTCTTATAGACAGCATGTAGTTGGGTCTTGCTTTTATGCAATCTGAAAATTTGTACCTTAGGCAATTCACACTTAATGTATTTAATAATTATTGATGTGCTCAGAACCATCCATGTCTGATTTTTCTTTTTTCTGTGTCTCATATCTCCTTTGTTCCTCTGTTCTTCCTCCACTGCCTTTAACTGTTAGGTATTTTTATTAATATGTACCATTTTAATTTCTGTTGTTTTTTCTGCCCAGAGGAGGCAGAAGAAATGTTGATTTTTAAAATTGTATTTTTGAGCTATTTTCTTAGTACTTGCTCTACAGATTACAATACATATCTTTATTTATGATCTACTTTAAAATAATACTAACTTAATTCCTGTAAAATATAGTAACTCTACTTAAATATATCTCCTTTCATTTCCCTTGTGCTGTTATTTTCATATATGACAATGTACAAAAATGCATTGTTACAATTGTGGTTTTATGTAATCTTATTCTTTTATTGACATTAGGAGAAGAAACGAGAAAGAATGTAGGTTTTTTTTATATTTACTCACACATTTATCATTCCCAGATATTTCACTGTCTCCTATAGATTTAAGATACTTTCTAATATCACTTTCTTTCAGCCTAGAAGATTTCATTTAGTTTTCTTGTCAGGTAAGTCTGCTGGCAATAAATTCTACTTTTTATTTTTCCAATCTGGGAATGTTCTTATTGCCAGTTTTTTATATTATCTCAGCCCCCTGACTTCTAAGGGTTCAATGCTTCTGATGAGAAGTCAGCCATTCATCACGTAATTGTTCTACTGTATAAGTCACTTTTCTCTAGCTGTTTTTAAGATTTTCTCTTTGTCTTTCAACAGTTTAACTATGATGTGTCTAGGTGTGGATCTCTTTGTGTTTATTTTACTTGGAGTCCTTTGAGCTTCTTAGATCTATAAATGATTTTCAACAAATTTAGGAAGTTTTTAGTCATCATTTTATTTTGGGTGTGGTACTTCTCACTTTGTTACATTCCTTTAATCTATTTTCAGACCACAGAAAGGATTTTGTCCAGCTTTATAGTTGCTTTTTGGGGATATGACTTGACCTCCTCAATCCATCACAATGGAAGTGAATCTTCTAATATTTCATTTTAATGCTTATTTTCTTTTCAACCTTTTGTTTTAAATGTCCATACTGATCACACCGATGTGAAAGCGTTTTAAAATGTTAAAAATAAATATAAGCAGAAGATATTTTGATTAGTCTTTATAAAATGCTTCTACCCATTCTAGGTGTATAGCTTAACGGATTGTGTGTAAATCCGGTTTACAATATTAGGTTCTATCAGAGGACCTATAAATATGAGAGTAGGAGGAAAGGAAAAGAAACAGGGCCGGGAACGATGGCTCCCATCTGTAATGCCAGCACTTAGGCAGGCCGAGCCAGGTGGATCATCTGAGGTCAGGAGTTTGAGACCAGTCTGGCCAACATGGTGAAACCCCGTCTTTACTAAAAATTAAAAAATAATTAGCCGGGCATGGTGGCGTCTCCTGTAATCCCAGCTATTTGGGAGGCTGAGGCAGGAGAATTGTTTGAGCCTGGGAGGCAGAGGTTCAGGTGAGCCGAGATCGCGCCACTGCACTCCAGTCTGGGCAACAGACTGAGACCCTGTCTCAAAAACCAACAAACAAAAAAAGAAATAGGAAGGAAGACAAGAAAGTGGTTTAAAGGTACAAGGAGAGGAAGAAATCTCACCAAACATAAGGAGTTACCAACCTGCGTGTAGTGGATCGTGAAAATGGCGTGGGATCTGCTGCTGGCCTCATGAACATGGGTGGCTGCTGTGATTCTGTGTATACAAGGAAAAACTGTTAGGACGAGGATTGTTTACACATGGTGGATTCTTAAGGATCCATACAGAATACAAGAAATGTTAGTGCTGAGGTTCACCGACAAGAATCATAAAACACACATATTTAGTCCAGTATCGTGAAGAGAATAGTCCAAAGAGGGCAGAAGCAGCACTCTAGGTGCTGATATCTGAGCATAAAACGGAGTGTAGCTTCATACTAAACTACACTGAAACTTTTTTTTTTTAAGCAATAGAAGCAAAAATTCAAGTGAAAAGGGAAATGAAGACTAGAGCGTCATCATCCTGGAAGAACATGCCCAAGATAGACCCATTTTATTTTATTCTTTCACTTTATTTTATTTTATTCTTGGAGTCATTTTAATAAGACAAGTGGATGTAGAAAGCTTGCTAGAGAAGATACCTCAAAGACAGAGAAGGTAAGTTTTGATTAAACACAGAATATTAATTCTACAGTGTCAGAAAGATCTTGGAAATGAGATCTTAAATCACATCAATATCATGCTTAAGCCAGGCGGAATTCACAGTCTCCCTTAGAAATCCATTACAGTGTTAACCCTTAAAGTCAGGAGAGGTTTTCCTTTATCTAAGAGCATCTCACTGAGCTCTGTTCTCAGAGGATCTGGAGAATTGAAGAAAAGGGCCAAAATCTAGAGGCTAGTCTCATGATTCAAGCCTGACACTGAAAAATCATGGAGCTCAGGGTACCCTGAAGACCAGAAGTAAGTGTCTCCAGGAGAGTTCCATGAAGCTCAGGAGAATGTTAAATTTAAATTTCTTCCTTTATGTTCAATTAACTTGGTCCTGCTATTAACAGGATAAATAGAAGGCTCTAAAGACCTTTTTACCCCAGAAAAAAAAAGCCTTTTTTAGGGACATTTACTAGTAATATTCTAGGTATTTCATAGTAACTTACAACATGAAATGTTATTACAATTTACAATAGCTTTTAGGGGAATCTACAGCACCTAGTTATTCATAGCAGATTCAAAACAGTCTTTTGAGGGGCTACCTTATAAGTATGCAAAACTAGAAAAAAATGTTTTTATGAACCTTTTACACTATATTCATCCTTATATCTATCAAACCTGAGGAGAGGACAATGCAGGTAAGAACCCTTTCTTCCAAATTTAGAAGCTCTAAACAAAATATAGAGTAACTTCCTTGGGCTTACTGCCTAATATTATTATGTCCAGAACAGATTCCAGCTTCATTACTAGTGAGAAGAGACTAAATCTTAGTCACCACCCCTTACCCTGTGAACACTATTGTTCTGGGAAGAGCCTCCTGGTTGTGAACATCTCTACACACAGAGACAATTTTAAGTGTCATTATACACTCCCCAAAGGGAAATGGGAACACAGGATAGGAGTGTGAGGATAAAAGAATGACAGAAACAAACAAACCTGTTACCTGTTTGCAATTCCCTCCTCCAAGAGTTGGATTACTTGCTTATAATTGGTAACTACATGTTGAGATAAACCTATCGGATTTGTGAAACGGAAAAAAGAAATTAAATGAGATTTTTGGTAAACTTTAACCTTTTCTTGTAAGTCTTTATCATTCCTATTTCATATTGTTTAATAGACAAAAATGAGGGAATCTGGCCAAATTCATTCAGATAATAAATTAAATCAAGAAATATTTATTGGAAACCTCTTGTCAGGTATATGATAGACTCTAGGAATATAGGTCTCTGTCCTCACAGAGATTATGGTCTATAAGTCATATAGACCATATGCTAACAACAACTATAATTCCTTACAGTTCTGCTATATAGGTTATAAGAACTGTTCTCATTTGGCCCTCACAAAGTCCCTGAGGTAGGCCAGTGTTGTTTTCCCCACAAGGTGGCAGACTCGGTTTGGCATACAAAATACACAGTACACTCATCTCTGTCCTCCCACAGTTTACAATCATGGTAAGTTACACTACACAAGACAATATGGCCAAGTGCCACAGGAGTTGGAAAGATGATACATGATGAGGAGATCAGAGGCGTGGTCAGGACAGGTTCCACAGAAGAAGTGAGACTTAAATTTAGCCACTATAGAATGGGGAGGCTTTAGATAGGTGAAGAGGAGCCTACGGGCATGAAAGTAAATCTTCATGGCTGGTTACTGACCAAGTCCCAAAGGCCTTCCCAACTGTTCCAGAGAATCTCTGTATGAGAGATTCAAAAACAAAGTAACTTCATGGGCTTATTGCTAAATACAATTACACCCAAAATAACAAAGTAACATAAATGAAACCAACAAAAATAATAGTCAATAGAAAGCAATCCAAGAAAGACCCAGATACTGAAGCTACCAGGCCGACTTAAAAGTAACCCTGAAGGCTGGGCACTGTGGTTCATGCCTGTAATCCCAGCACTTTGGGAGGCCGAGGCGGGCGGGCCTGAGGTCAGGAGTTTGAGACTAGCCTGGCGAACATGGAGAAACCCTGTCTCTGCTAAAAATGCAAAATTAGCTGGGTGTGTTGGTGCATGCCTGTAATCCCAGCTACTCGGGAGGCTGAGACAGGAGAATCCCTTGAACCTGGGAGGCGGAGGTTGTGGAGAGTCGAGATCGCGCCATTGCACTCCAGCCTCGGCAACAAGAGCGAAACTCCATCTCAAAAAAAAAAAAAAAAAAAAAGGCCAGGCTCGGTGCCTCATGCCTGTAATCCCAGTACTACTTTGGGAGCCCAAGGCAGGTAGATCATGAGGTCAGGAGTTCCAAGACCAGCCTGGCCAAGATGGTGAAACCCCACCTCGACTAAAAATACAAAAAATTAGCTGGACATGGTAGCGGGAGCCTATAGTCCAAGCTACTCAGGAGGCTGGGGCAGGAGAATCACTTGGACCTAGGAGGCAGAGGTTGCAGTGAGCTAAGATCTCACCATTGCACCCCAGCCTGGGCGATAAGAGCAAAACTTCGTTTCAAAAAAAAAAAAAAGTAACTCTGCTTAATATTTTCAAGGAGTTTAAAGACAAGATTGTAAACTTGGAAACTATAATGAAATAATAAAATGGATATCTGAGAAATAATACTGTAAGTGAAAATAAAAACTCAATATAAAGTTTAATAGCAGGTTAGACATAGCTGAAGAAAGAATGAGTGAGCAGGAAGATAGATCAGAAACATACTCAAAATTTAGCACAGAGAGACAAAAGATTAAAAATATGGAGGGAGCCGGGTGCAGTGGCTCACGCCTGTAATCCCAACACTTTGGGAGGCTGAGGCGGGTGGATCATGAGGTCAGGAGTTCAAGACCAGCCTGACCAACGTGGTAAAACCCCGTCTCTCATGAAAATACAAAAATCAGCCGGCTGTGGTGGTGCGCGACTGTAATCCCAGCTACTCGGGAGGCTAAGGCAAGAGAATCGCTTGAACCCAGGAGGTGGAGGTTGCAGTGAGCTGAGATTGCGCCATTGCACTCCAGCCTGGGCAACACAGCGAGGCTCCATCTCAAAGAAAAAAAAATGGAGGCTAGGTGTGCACACCTGTAATCTCAGCTACTTGGGAGGCTGAGGCAGGAGGATCCCTTGAGCCCAGGAGTCCAAAACCAGTCTGGGCAACATTAGCAAGACTTCATGTCTAATAAATAAATTAATTAATTAAATATAGAAGAAATGGTAAGACTCACAGAGTATACAGGCAATAGGCCTTAACATACCTGTAATTAGAGTCCCAAAAGAAGAGGAAAGAATGGGATAGAAGGATTATTATAAGAGGTAATGGTAGTGGAGGGAAGGGGGGAAAAAAGGGAAAGGTAATGGCTAAGAACTTTCCAAAACTGATAAGAAGATACAAAAGCACAATTCAAGAATCCCAGCATGATTTTTTAAAAACCTAAATCTACCCATAAGTAGACCATAATAAACTGTTCAAAGACAAAAGTAAAAATATTGAAAAAATTAGACTAGGAGATGACTTCTCAGCAAAAACAGTGGAAAGCAGAAGAGAATGGTATAATTTTTAATGACTAAAAGAAAATAACCATCAATTTAAAATTCTGTACTCAGTGAACTTTACCTTCAAGAACAAGAAAAGCAGGCTGGGTATGGGGGCTCATGCCTGTAATCCCAGCACTTTGGGAGGCCGAGGCCAGTGGATTACTTTCGGTCAGGAGTTCAAGATCAGCCTGGCCAACATGGTGAAACCCCATCTCTACTAAGAGTACAAAAATTAGCTGGGCACGGTAGCATGTGCCTGTAATCCCAGCTACTCGGGAAGCTGAGGCAGGAGAATTGCTCAAACCCAGGAGGCGGAGGTTGCAGTGAGCCGAGATCGCGCCACTGCACTCTAACCTGGGTGACAGAGCAAGACTCCATCTCAAACAAACAAACAAAAAGCCAAAAGAGAACTTGTCAATAGCAGATCCACACTAGAGGGAAAACAAGATTATTCTTGAAGTAGAAGGCACTCAGAGATAAAAGGTAGGATATTCTTTAAAAATTAAGAGCCCTAAAAATGGCATTTAAGTCAAGAAGGGACAAACTGAGTTCAAGTCTTATAAGGTCCAAAAGGTTTATTGTCTGGGAAGAAGCAGAACAACCAGTAAATATTAGACTTTGATAAATCAATGGTCTATGTTGTAATCTCTGGAGTAACCACCAAAATAGTAAGACAATGTGTAAATAATAAGCTAGTGGAGAAGGAATATGGAATAATTTTTTAAAGTTATCAAACCAAAAGACAAAGTAACGAAAAAGGAACATAAAACAGGAAAAGTAAAGAGAAAACACAAAATAACAGATTTAAACCCAAATAAAATCAGTGATTACATTAAATACAAGCAGACCACAATACCAAATTAAAAGACCAAAACTGTGATGAAACAAAGGTAAAACAAAGCAAAAGGAAAATTTTTTAAAATAAAAAACACATCTGAAACATACATAGAAAACTGAAAGTAAAAGTAGAAAAGAAGATAAAAATACAAACAATAACACAAAGAAAGCTAGTTTCGTTAATGCCTGACAAAGTAGACTTTAAAGTAAAAGCATTATTAGAGATAAAGAAAAATCCTTCACAATGAAAAAAGTGTTCAATGAACCAGGAAGTTTTAACAATTCTAATTTTGTATGCATGTAATAATAAAGCCTCAAAATATATAAAACAAAAATTGGCAGAATTAAAAGGAGAAAAAGGCATCCATACTCATAGTAGGAAAGTTTAACTTGCATTTCTTAGTATCTGTTAAAACAAGTGGAAAAATAAAATCAATAGGGGTACAGAAGATTTGAACAAGTATCAAACCTGATAAATAGTAATATATAAACACTATGCCCAACAATTGTATAATACATATTCTCTTCAAGCATACATGGAAAATTTACAAAAACTGGCCAATGTGCTAGGCTACAAATCAAACTGTGCTATACATATTTGAAGCTTTTTCATTATTATTATATCTGTTATGATGATCTGTGACCAGTAATCTTTGATGTTACTATTATAATTGTGTTGGTACACCAAGAATCGTATAGAAAAGCGAACTTAATTGATAAATGTATATGTTCTGACTGCTCCACCAGCCAACCTTTCCCCTACCTTTCTCCCTCTACTCAGGCCTCCCTATTCCCTGAGACACAACAATATTGAAATGAGGCCAATAACCCTACAATGGCCTTTAAGTGTCCAAGTGAAAGAGTCTCTCATTTTAAATCAAAAGCTAGAAACGCTGAAGTTTAGCAAGGAAGGCATGTCGAAAGCCAAGAAAGGCTGAAAGCTAGGCCTCTTGCGCCCAACAGTTGGCCAGGCTGTGAATGCAAAGGAAAAGTTCTTGAAGGAAATTAAAAGTGCTACTCCGTGAACACATGAACGATAAGAAAACAAAACAGCCTTCTTGCTGATATGAAGAAAGTTTTTACAGTATGGTTAGAAGATCAAACCATCACAACATTCTCCTAAGCCAGAGACTAATCCAGAGCAAAGCCCTGATTCCCTTCAATGCTATGAAGGCTGAGAGAAGTGAAGAAGCTGCAGAAGAAAAGTTGGAGCTGGCAGAGGGTGGTTCATGAGGTTTAAGGAAAGAAGCTTCTCAGTAACATTTAAGTGCAAGGTGAAGCAAGCAAGTGCTGACGGAGAAGCTGTAATAAGTTATCCAAAAGATATAGCTAAAGCTAAGATAATGAAGGTAGCTACACTAAACAACAGAATTTCAATGTAGACAAATCAGGCTTCCATTGGAAAAAGGTGTCATCTAGGATTTTTATAGCTAGAAAGCAGCAGCCAATGTCTGGTTTCAAAGCTTCAAAGGACAGGCCGATTCTCCTGTTAGGGGCTAATGCAACTGGTGACTTTATTTTATTATTATTATTATCATTATTATTATTGTTGTTGTTGTTGTTGAGACGGAGTTTCACTCTTGTTCACCAGGCCAGAGTGCAGTGGCACAATCTCGGCTCACTGCAACCTCTGCCTTCTGGGTTCAAGTGATTCTCCTGCCTTAGCCTCCCGAGTAGCTGGAATTACAGGCACCAGCCACCACGTCTGGCTAATTTTTGTATTTTTAGTAGATATGGGGGTTTCACCACGTTGGCCAGGCTGGTCTCGAACTCCTGACCTCAGGTGATCCACCCACCTCAACCTCCCAAAGTGCTGGGATTACAGGCATGAGCCACCATGACTTTAAATTGAAGCCATTATCACTCTGAAAATCCTAAGGCCAGGCTGGGCGCGGTGACTCACAGCTGTAATCCCAGAACTTTGGGAGGCCAAGGCAGGTGGATCTCTTGAGCCCACAAGTTCAAGACCAGCCTGGGCAACATGGTGAAACCCTGTCTCCACAAAATACACAAAAAATTAGCCAGGTATGGTAGCGCATGGGTGGGAAAATGAATCACATGAGCCTGGGAAGTTGAGGCTGCAGTGAGCTGTGATCACGCCACTGCACTCCAGACTGGGTGACAGAGCAAGACCCTCCCTCTCTCAAAAAAAAAAAAAAAATCCTAGGGCCCTTAAGAATCATGCTAAATCTACTCTGCCTGTGCCCTATAAATGGAACCATAAAGCCTGGATGACAGCGTATCTGCTTACAGTAAGCCCACTGTTGAGAACTACTGCTCAGAAAAAAAGATTATTTTCAAAATATTACTGCTCATTGACAGTGTGCCTGGTCACCCAAGGGCTCTGATGGAGACGTACAAGAAGCTAATGTTCTTTTCATGCTTGCTAACATAACATCTGTTCTATGGCCAATGGACCAAGGAATCATTTCAACTTTGAAGTCTGATAATTTAAGAAATACATTTCATAAAGCTATAGTTGTCACAGTGATTCCTCTGATGGATCTGGGCAAAGTCTATTGAAAACTTTCCAGAAAGAATTCACCGTTTTAGATGGCATTAAGGACATTCATGACTCATGAGAGGAGCTCAAAATATCAACATTGAGGGGTTTGGAATAAGTTGGTTCCAACCCTCATGAATGACTTTAAGGGGTTCAAGACTTTGGTAGAGGAAGTAATTCCAGAGTGGTGGAACTATCAAGAGAAGTAGAATGAGAAGTGGAGCCTGAAGATGTGACTGAATTGCCACAATCTCAGGATCAAATTTGAATGGATGATGAGTTGCTTCTTATGGATGAGCAGAGAAAGTGGTTTCTTGAGATGGAACCTACTCCTGGTGAAGATGCTGTGTGAAATGACAAAAAAATGAAACAGAATATTATATAAACTTAGTTGATAAAAGAGTGTCAGGATTTAAGAGGACTGACTCCAGCTCTGAAATAAGTTCTATTGTGAGTAAAATGCTATCAAACAGCATTTCACACTACAGAAAAATTTTTCATGAAAGGAAGAGTCAATTGATGTAACAAACTCCATAAGTTGTTTTAAGAAATTGCCACAGCCATCCCAACCTTCAGCAATCACTATCCTGATCAGTCAGCCGCCATCATCACTAAGAAAAAATCCTGCACCAGCAAAGAGATTATGACTCACTGAAGGCTCAGGTAACCACTAGCATTTTTTAGCAATAAAGTATTTTTAAATTAATGTATGTACATTTTTTTTTTTTTTAGACGGAGTCTCACTCTGTCACCCAGGCTGGAGTGCAGTGGCGTGATCCTGGCTCACTGCAATCTCTGCCTCCCGGGTTCATGCCATTCTCCTGCCTCAGCCTCCCGAATAGCTGGGACTACAGGTGCCCGCCACCACACCCGGCTAATTTTTTGTATTTTCAGTAGAGACGGGGTTTCACCATGTTAGCCAGGATGGTCTCTATCTCCTGACCTTGTGATCTGCCTGCCTCAGCCTCCCAAAGTGCTGGGATTACAGGCGTGAGCCGCCATGCCCGGCCAAGTATGTACATTTTTAATACATAATGCTACTTCGTACTTAATAAAATATAGCATAAATATAACTTTTATATGCACTGGGAAACCAAAACATTTGTGTTTTTATTTTGATTTTTGCTTTATTGTGATACTTTATTGTGGTGGTCTGGAATCAAACCAAATATATCCAAAGCATGTCTGTATACATGTTGTTTTAGGTGAAATTATGTGGAGCATGTTCTCTGAACTCAATACTATTAAACTAGATACCTATAACAAAAATACAACTAGAAAATCCCTGAGTGTTAAAAAATAAAGAAACACACTTCTAAATCCATGAGTCAAAAGAAATCATATTGGAAATTATATATACTTTAAACTGATTGATGATGAAAATACTACACATTAAAACTGGTGCAATACAGCTAAAGTCATGCTTACAAGGAAATTTATAGCTATAAATAAATATACTACAAAAGAGGTGGCCAAGGCAGGCAGATCACAAGGTCAGGAGTTTGACATCTTGGCCAACATGGTGAAACCCCACCTCTACTAAAATACAAAAATTAGCTGGGCGTGGTGGTGCACATCTGTAGTCCCAGCTAGTCAGGACTAGCTGCCTCAGCCGAGGCAGGAGAATCGCTTGAACCCGGGAGGCAGAGGTTGCAGTGACCCAAGATCGTGCCACTCCAGCCTGGGCGACAGAGCGAGACTCTGTTTTTTTTTAAAAAGAACGAGGGGCCGGGCACAGTGGCTCACGCCTGTAATCCCAACACTTTGGGAGGCCAAGGCAGGTGGATCACCTGAGGTCAGGAGTTCGAGACCAGCCTGACCAATATGGTGAAACCCCGTCTCTACTAAAAATCCAAAATTAGCCAGGCATGGTGGTGTGTGCCTGTAATCCCAGCTACTCAGGAGGCTGAGGCAGCAGAATTACTCAAACTTGGAAGGCAGAGGTTGCAGTGAGCTGAGATCCTACCACTGCGCTCCAGCCTGGGTGACAAAGCAAGACTCCGTCTCAAAAAAACAAAACCAAAAACAATAAAAGGGTAACTTTGATAAAGTAATTTTATATCTGTTGAATCTAGTAAAGAAGATTTGGGGCTTGTAATTAAGATATTCCTTTAATTTTTTCTAGTAATTCATCCTTATTTTATTTTATAAATGTATTAGTATACCAAAGATTGGAATTAAAAAAAAAAAAAACTGGTTCTTCTAACCTGGGCAACATAGCTAGACTCCATCTCTAAAAGAAAAAATAAAAAACAATTAGCTGGGCATGATGGCACATGTCTGTAGTATCAGCTACTTGGGAGGCTGAGGTAGGAGGACTGCCTGAGTCCAGGAGTTTGAGGCTGCAGTGAGTCACGATCGTGCCACTGCACTCCGGCCTGGATGACAGTGTGAGACTCTGATCCAAAAACAAAAACACCACCACAAAAAAAACTGGTCCTTCACTACAGTTTGAGAAGCATATAGAATATCTATTAAAAACAATCACTATTGCAAATATATTACTTAATGGTAAAATGGTGAAGCTTTCCTCTGAGAACAAGACTGTCACCACTTTTATTTACTATTGTACTAGAGGTCCTAGTTTATGCAGAAAGGCAAGAAAAAAAAGGCACAAGAACTAAATGGTTGGGGTTGGGGGGAAACTCCTGTGACTTATAGATTGAGTACACAGGAAATACAGAATTTTTCTCAAGTTCCAACTACCTGCTTCTTGGTTTGCACCTGTACCTTTATATTAAAATAAAGGCCACAGTAAAAATACAATATTGTCTTTGTCTCACTTAGATATCAGTTTAGATCCTATAACCACTGGCCTCTTATGTGTGCTTTGGGCAGGCCCTTGTGCATTTCAGATTTCAACTTAATCTCTCGACTAATAAATAAACTTTTTAATGGAAAGGCTACTCTTTTCCTTTCTTTGGATTTAGGTAGCTATCAAGGTCCATCTCACAATTCTGAACTGGAACTGCAAGTTCTTTAAGGGCTTATATTTTCATATTTCCCATGGCACCTGGAATAGTATAGGCATCTTGTAGGTACTCAATAAATTTCTGTAGAATTGGTTTCATGCCAGAAACCACTTTCCACTTTAAAGTCATATTCACAGAATGGATAAGCCTTAAGACAGATGGACAGGCAGATAGATAAGATATATGTATCAATAAAGAAAGAAAACATTTTTTTAAAAAAGTTTACTAAGATCTCATCAGAGGGTGATGATGAGAATAACATAGTTCAGTGTGACTACTCAGGGTCCTAGCTTCCAAGGCTGGTTCTATACTATTTCAGCTCATGGCTCCTTCATTAAGAAATGTCAGCCGGGCGCGGTGGCTCATGCCTGTAATCTCAGCACTTTGGGAGGCCGAGGCAGGTGGATCACCTAGGTCAGGAGTTCAACACCAGCCTGACCAACATGGAAGAAACCCCATCTCTACTAAAAATAAAAAATTAGCCAGGCGTGGTGGCTCATGCCTGTAATCCCAGCTACTCGAGAGGCTGAGGCAGGAGAATCGCTTGAACCTGGGAGGTGGAGGCTGTGGTGAGCCGAGATCGCGCCATTGCACTCCAGTCTGGGCAATAAGTGCAAAACTCTGTCTCAAAAAAAAAAAAGAAAAGAAAAAAGAAATGTCCACCTGTGAATTGAACAATGAGAACACTTGGACACAGGAAGGGGAACATCACACACAGGGGCCTGTTGTGGGGTGGGGGGAGGGAAAGCATTAGGAGATATACCCGATGTAAATGAAGAGTTAATGGGTGCAGCACACCAACATGGCACATGCATACATATGTAACAACCCTGCACATTGTGCACATGTACCCTAGTACTTAAAGTATAATTTAAAAAAAAACAAAACAACGAAATGTCCACCTGTATTTGTAATGGTTTAAGAAAGTCCAGAATGGCTTCAAGAAACTTGTAACACAGAATCTAAGAGATTTTTTATTGGTTTAGAATGTAGTATTTCCTACCTCCCTCCCTTCAAGGATTCACTCCATAAAGGTATCCAAAAGTGTCCTGAACTTTGCACCATGAACCCTGAGATTTGAATCCTGATCCTGTCATTGACATTGGACACATGACCCAAGCTATATGACCTTCCAAGAGTCATATTTTCTGAGTTGCAGGTACTATACCAATCAAATCATCTAGGAACCTAGGTCTCCTTCCAGGTTCTTGATATACAGGATTCTGTTCCATTCTTCTCTTCCAATGCAATGCAAGTTTCCCAGTTTCAATTCTGTCCCAACTCTAACTGTGTGACTTTGGGAACAACCCTTAACTTTCTCCAGATTTCATTGTTTTCTGTATAATGCGGATATCTGAACTATGTCTGAGGTCTCCTATGGTTACTCCTCCCACACATACACACACAGACTTTTTTTTTTTTTTTTTTTTTGAGACGGAGTCTTGCTCTGTTGCCAGGCTGGAGTGCAGTGGCGCGATCTTGGCTCACTGCAACCTCCACCTCCAGGTTCAAGCGATTCTCCCGCCTCAGCCTCACGAGTAGCTGGGACTATAGGTGTGTGCCACACGCCCGGCTAATTTTTTTGAATTTTTAGTAGAGACAGGGTTTCACTATGTTGGCCAGGATGGTCTCAATCTCCTGACCTCATGTTCTGCCCGCCTCAGCCTCCCAAAGAGCTGGGATCACAGGCGTGAGCCACTGCACCCGGCCCACACACAGACTTTTAAGATGAGAAGTTTGATACTGCTGCATCAACTCATGGTCTGCCTTGAAAGTATTGCTTTACACAGATATGTATACCCACAGAGTTTTACAGAGCAAACTTAAACTGGTTCCTAGCAAAGGAAATGGTGTTTTTGTTGTTGTTTCTAGGCTGCTATTTATGATTAAACATTTGGGAAAAGACATAGGTAGCAGAATCAGTCACTAGCATACCTATTGCGTCATCCATTTGCCATGCCCTGACCAGAGAAAAGACCGGCTCTTGATGTTCATGTCCCGCTCCTTATCAGGATTTAAATTAGCATACTACAGCCAAGCACGCTGGCTCACATCTATAATCCTAGTACTTTAGGAAGCTGAGGTGGGAAGATCACTTGAGGCCAGGAGTTCAAGACCAGCCTGGGCAACATAGTGAGATCCCATCTCTACAGCAAATTTAAAAATCCGCTGCCTAGATGCACACCTGTAGCCCTAGCTACCTGGGAGACTGGGGCGGAAGGATCACTTGAGCCCAGGAGTTCAGGTTGCAGTGAGCTATGTTTGCATCACTGCATTCCAGCTTGGGTGACAGAATAAGACCTTGTGGCTAAAAAAATAAAAATAAAAAATAAACTAGCATACTGCTACAGGAACATAAAATATACATTACTTTTTTTTTTTTTTTGAGATGGCGTCTTGCTCTGTCGCACAGGCTGGAGTGCAGTTGCGCAATCTCGACTCATTGCAACCTCTGCCTCCCAGGTTTAAGTGATTATCCTGCCTCAGCCTCCCGAGTAGCTGGGATTACAGGTATGTGCCATCACACCCAGCTAATCTTTTGTATTTTTAGTAGAGATAAGGTTTCACCATGTTGGCCAGGCTGCTCTCGAACTCCTGACCTCCAGCAAATTCACCAATCTCAGCCTCCCAAAGCATTGGGATTACAGGCGTAAGCCACTGCACCTGGGCCATATATTACTTCTTATAAGTGGCCTGGAAGGGTAAAAACTTCGCCTATAAAAGAACCCATCTGTTGCTACTTAATAGCAGGACCTACCTTAATGATATAAGACAGATGGTACCAAGCACCAAACACCAGTATTTGGTTAGGAAACACATCAAATCCTACCCCATGTCTGATGTCTGACTACCACCACCAATGGCAGAGAAAGGGGACTGGTTTACCAGGGAACCAGTAGAGGCCATGCCATATTGGGCGCCTGCAGACCCCACCACATTCCCTACAGTTTTCCCTCTCATTCACCATGCTTTAGCCACACTGGCCCCTTGAAAACATCAAGCCTTCTCCCAGGGCTCTAGTCCATTCCACTCCCTCTTCCTGAAACACTTCTCACCACGTTACGTCATTCTTCACACGACTATACTCCTTTCAGGTCTCAGCTTAAACGTTTCCTCCTCAGAGAAGCTCTTCCTGATCACCTCATACAGGTGGGCCACCAACACTTTCCAACGTTCTTTGCCATTGACATCCATTTATTTATTAACCTTTATCACTACTTGTAATTGTTTGTTTCCTGACTCACACCCACTAGATTGTAAGCTTGCCTGAGGGCAGGACCACGTCTTCTCTATTTATCAATACATATTCAGTGTCTAGTACAGTAGCTGGCACACGATAAGTGTTCATTACACCTATGTTCAATGAATTAGGGAACATTAGGAGAGCTTCCCAGGCTTCAGTTTGGTTTCAGATCTCCAGGACCACAGTAGCTCACCTTGTACATAGGGCCCCATCTCTGGATGCTCCCTGACCCGCAGGGTATAGGACTTTTTTTGACCAGATTGCTTCAACAGATCCCGCACCCGTTCATTATAGATTTCTAGAAAACTAGAGTTAAGTAGAAAAAGGCAACATAATTATATTTTGAAAAAAAGTAGAAACAACATTGAGCTAAAAATCAGGAGGTCTTAGTTCTTGTTCCAGCTCCACTTCTGACACTCTAAGGCAATGATCAAGCCAAGGTTCCCCCTTGATTCTCTTTCCATACATATACAATAGAGTTTTTTGTATTTTTTATTTTTGAGACAGAGTCTCGCTCTGTCTCACAGGTTGGAGTGCAGTGGCACAATCTTGGCTCACTGCAACCTCCGCCTCCCAGATTCACCGCACCCAGCCACAGAGGTTGTTTCTTGAGTGAATTTCAAACATGACCGTTGAGCTCTATTGTTCTGTGAAGGCATCTCAAGGGCTACTAGACAGCCAGGGTAAGTTGGGCCACAGAAGGAAAGACCTGCTTGTTAAGTCTATGGGTAGGAAATTAAGTTTCCTACAACCAAGGGCCTAAGTATCTTTCTCAGCTCTTGTACTGCAAGATATTTCTTCTGTGGCTTTTCTCCATCCCTGTGGTGACTCTGGAAGCAAAGAGAGGACAGCTGAACATGGTAGAATTTGGAGTAGAAGAAGAACTACTGTAGGTCCCAGAGCTTGGGAGGTTCTTACCTTACTTTTATCCTACAGGAGGAAGGCAGTGAGGCACAGTCTTTCTCCCTGACGAAGAGACCCTGCACAAACCAGAGGGTTGGGGTTTCATTGTAGGAATTGTAGAGAGACCTACTTTGAGAGGATCCAGCCAAAAGATAGTCTATACCTCACATATCCGTGGTGTCAACCCAACAGAGGCCTGGTGAACAGAAGAAAGGAAAGCATTATTGTTTACTTAAGATGATGCTCTCCCCCACAGAATACCCAGGAACCATCCTCAGCATGGGGGATGAGTGCATGGACTCCTTGTGCTAGCCTCTTCACTCCAGGCAGTTTCACTGGGGAATATAGAAGACTTTTATGTGCCAGTGCTCTGAGAGACACTCATGGGAGAAATGTACCAAATGAGAGGAATATGTATCACCATAAGAAGGAAAAGAGGAGAAGCCGGCAAACCCAGATACCTGCTTTTATGCAATGAAGATTACATTATTCTTGGATAAAAACACTTTACCAATGTTCCCCCAGCCCCCTATACCTCCAGTCCTTACAGGCGGACAAGAGTATATGAGTATTCAAAATACACATTTAGACCAGGTGTGGTGGCTCACCCCTGTAATCCCAGCACTTTGGGAGGCCGAGGTGGGTGGATCACTTGAGCTCAGGAGTTAGAGACAAGCCTGGGCAACCTGCGGAGACCCTGTCTCTACTAAAAATACAAAAAAATTAGCCAGGCATGGTGGCGTGTGCCTATGGTCTCAGCTAATCGGGAGGCTAAGGTGGGAGGATCACTTGAACCCAGGAGGCAGAGGCTGCAATGAGCTGAGATCGTGCCACTGCACTCCAGCTTGGGTAACAGAGTGAGACCCCATCTCAAAAACAAAACAAAACAACAAAAACAACAACAGCAAAAAAACACATTTAGAAAGAGGTAGTTTCTTTTCCCATCTTGTATCCAGTGCTAACTTGTACTCGGTTAAGGGCTTTATACTTTTCGTTTAGTGGCCAATTTCTTTTTTTTTTTTTAATTATTATTTTTTTGAAATGGAGTTTCACTCTTGTTGCCCAGGCTGGAGTGCAATGGCATGATCTCGGCTCACTGCAACCTCCATCTCCCGAGTTCAAGGAATTCTCCTGCCTCAGCTTCCCAAGTAGATGGGAGTACAGGCACCCACCACCACACCTGGCTAATTTGTATTTTTAGTAGAGATGGGGTTTCACCACGTTGGCCAGGCTGGTCTTGAACTCCTGAGCTCAGGTGATCCGCCTGCCTTAGCCTCCCAAAGTACTGGGATTATAGGTGTGAGCCAACATGCCCAGCCCCAATTCTTCTTTTAATGTCAAATACTATGAAATCACACTAAACACAGGACAAAGCGAGCAATGAGCTAGGCCCAAGGCATCAGGGATAATCATCTAAGAGGAATCATGTCCTATAGAATGTCCCTGTGTAGTGTTTATTTGTTACCCACCTAACAGGACATATATACTTTTAGAGACAGGGTCTCTTTTTATTTATTTTTTTGAGACAAAGTCTCGTCCCATTTCCCAGGCTGGAGTGCAATGGCACAATCTCAGCTCACCGCAACCTCTCCCTCCTGGGTTCAAGCGATTCTCATGCCTCAGCCTCCCAAGTAGCTGGGATTACAGGCGCACGCCACCATGTCTGGCTAATTTTTGTATTTTTAGTAAAGACTTGGTTTCACCATATTGGCCAGGCTGGCCTCGAACTCCTGACCTTGTGATCTGCCCGCCTCAGCCTCCCAAAGTGCTGGTATTACAGGAATGAGCCACCCCACCCAGCTGAGACAGGGTCTCTTACTCTGTTGCCCAGGGTGGAGTACAGTGGCAAGATCATGGCTAATCACTGCAGCCTCAACCTCCCAGGCTGAAGCCATCCTCCCACCTCAGCCTCCTAAGTAGCTGGGACCACAGGATGTGCCCCCACACCCAGCTAACTTTTGTATTTTTTGTAGAGATGGAGTCTCCCTATGTTGCCTAGACTGTTCTCAAATTCCTGGGCTTAAGAGATCTTTCTGCCTCAGCCACCCCAAAGTGTTGAGATTATAGGTGTGAGCTACTACACCTGGCACCCTGACCAGGATATTTCTAAACCCAAAACAAAAAGGTATTCTTAAGCAACTCTGCCCTCCTGATTTTCTGTGATAAAGGAAGCCTCTCATTAAATCCTGCATACTTTTGAAAGCCCCTGACTCAGGAGCTAGTTCTCCTGCTTTCTTCCAACACACAGATCTAACACATGTAGGCTTGGAGCTTGGCCACAATAATCAAATCTCTGCACAGCTCTAGCATGCACTTAAGATTTAGTCCAGGTCTTGTCCACAACAAAGGTGCAAAACAGATCCAAATAATGAACCTGGAGATAAGTAGAAATTCAGCAGGACTGACAAGAACTGCTTTGTCAAAGGGAGCTGTAAAATTCTAAGGCTCTTCAGGGTTTAATAAAGAGGGGTTAAGGCCGGGCATGGTGGCTCATGCCTGTAATCCCAGCACTTTGGGAGGCCGAGGCGGGCAGATCACGAGATGAGGAGATTGAGACCATCCTGGCTAACACGGTGAAACCCCGTCTCTACTAAAAATACAAAAACTTAGCCAAGCGTGGTGGCGGGTGCCTGTAGTCCCAGCTACTCTGGAGGCTGAGGCAGGAGAATAGCGTGAACCCGGGAGGCGGAGCTTGCAGTGAACTGAAATTGCGCCACTGCACTCCAGCCTCGGCGACAGAGCAAGACTGCGTCTCAAAAATATATAAATAAATAAATAAGGGTTAATTATTCAAAGGTTACCTTCCAATTAAATGCTGAAAAACTCATTTTTTTTTTTTTTTGAGATGGAGTTTTGCTCTTGTTGCCCAGGCTGGAGTGCAATGGCACGATCTCAGTTCACAGCAAGCTCCGCCTCCCGGGTTCCCACCTTGTCCTCCCAAAGTGCTGGGATTACAGGCGTGAGCCACTGCGCCCAGCCGAAAAACTCATTCTTAAAACAGAAGAAGGCTCATTCAATCTTCTTTAAAGTTGACTGCCTACAGAAATCATATTCTGTCTCACAGTAGTAAGGACAATGCAAGGTTCAGGCTTGCTGTGGCATTAGGAATATATATCATTGTAATACTCACTGGGGTCCCCAGCATGGTATATGTCTTCCCAGAGCCTGTCTGTCCATAAGCAAAAAGGCATATGTTATAGCCTTTGGCAACTCCAGACAGTACTTCCATCCCTAAATCCTGGAAAACCTGTAACAACAAAAGCAGAGGAAATATCACTGTGGTCCTTCTTCTCATAGCAGATTTAGAATTATTTTCTAATCTAAAAAAATATAAAATATTTCAAACATACATGACTATTAATTCACTACCATTTCATAAGAATCAATTTAGCTTCATAAAAAGATAGCTAAGGAAAATTCATTCATTCAGCCGGTCAAATTTTTTAAGTGCCTAGTGTATCTAGACACAATACTAGACTCTGAAGATAAGATACAAAAGTAATATGGTCTCTAAACTTAAGGCAAAGAGAGTGTAGAAGAGCAAAGATATGCAAGCAAAATAATTCTGTATCTCTCGTAAGAAAACATTTAATATGGTTAATCAGGTAAAGCTGCAGTGAAATATTGCCCAATAACATACAAATTCAGGGTCTTAGGATACCATACTGAAGATCAGTAAGACCAGAAGTTAGGGAGGTGTTTTCCACATGCATTTATTTTCTACACACTCCCTCCTCAGATTGACCCTAAGAGCTGGCTGGTTCTGCTGGTCATTTACCCCTGCTTTAGTGAATCAGAAATAGGCAGAGGTCCTCATGTGAAAACTCCTGTACTTGGTATACTGCTTGGAAGTCCTACTGAGCTCTGTTAGGCAGACTCTGGTCTCAGGAAAAAATAGCCAGCTTTATGGGGAAGGCACAGCTTCCTAGTTCAGCCAGTCTTCAGCAGAATGCTACGTGGGCATCTGCATACCCACAGCTGGTACAGCGGATATTTACCCTTTGTATTGTTGCCCAGCATCAAAATACTCTTCCTTTGAATCTTTGGTTGTGTCAGTCTTGGTGGGAAGCACAGCTCAATGCTCTACTATAGAAGCCAAACAGGCCAGATATTCCTCTCCATCTAGGACAACACTAGCACATGAAATGAGGCCAGACAGGGCCAGGCGCGGTGGCTCAGGCCTGTAATTCCAACACTTTGGGAGGATGAGGTGGGTGGATCACCTGAGGTCAGGAGTTCGAGACAGGCCTGGCCAACATGGCGAAACCCTGTCTCTACTAAAAATACAAAAAATTACCCAGGCATGGTGGCGGGCACCTATAATCCCAGCTACTTGGGAAGCGGAGGCAGGAGAATCGCTTGAACCCAGGAAGCGGAAGTGCAATGAGCTGAGATCGTGCCACTGCCCTCCAGCCTAGGCGACAGAGTGAGACTCCATCTCAAAAAAAAAAAAAAAGAAAGAAAGAAACGGGGCCGGACAACTAGATGTCACTTGACAACTAGATTATCATTTGAATTTTGAAAGAAAGACATAAAAATAAAGAATAGTTAATAAATTGTCCATGCTGGCATCAAGGATCCAATAGCACTGCTGCTGGGCATACAGTGGTAGAAGTGCCAAGTGTGTGCTCAAATCAGATGATTCTGTGATATGGTTCTGCCTGGGGTCCCTGCTGCTTAGCATCCCATGCCTTCTTGCCCATTTTTCAACTTTCCCTTCAATTCTGTGACAACTCTGATACGATTCCAAGGTGTAGTGTATTCTTATACTTCAAAGCTGTGTGATCTTGGGCAAGTTACTTAAACTTTGTAAACTTCAGTTTCTTTAGGTATAAAATGTTTATTTTTGTATCTGTAATACAGGTTTGTTGTGAAGATTAAACAAAGTAATACACGTAATTAGGGACAAAGGAGCTGCTAACTCAAGACTACACTCCCTGTTCTTTTTTTTTTTTTTAATTGAGACAGGGTCTTGCTCTGTCCCCCAGGCTGGAGTGCAGTGGCACAATCTTGGCTTACCACAGCCTTGACCTCCTGGGCTCAAACGATCTCCCTACCTTGGCCCCCCAGCAGCTGGAACTACAGGTGTGCATCACCATGCCCAGCTAATTTTTTTGTATTTTTGTAGAGACAGGTCTCCCCATGTTGCCCAGACTGGTACTGAACTCCTGGACTCAAGTGATCCACGTACTTCAGCCTCCCAAAGTGCTGGGATTACAGGTGTGCGCCACTGTGTCTGGCTCTTTATTTATTTTTTTCTTGAGACATGGTCTTATCCTGTCAGCTAGGCTGAAGTGCAGTGGCACAGTCATAGCTTACTGCAGCTTCAAACTCCTGGGCTCAAGGGATCATCTCGCCTCGGCCTCTTGAGTAGCTAGGATTACAGACATTTTTATTAGTTTTCTCTTTGTTAGTTTATTTGTTTTAATAATCAGTGTTAAGTTGTCATCAGTTTAAACGAATGGGTTATTTGCAAGCCTTATGGTAACCTCAAATCAAAAAACCTACAAAAGATACACAAAAAATAAAAAGAAATTAAAACATGTCACCAGAGAAAATCACCTTCACAAAACAGGAAGACAGGAAGAAAAGAAAGAGGGAAGAAAAGACCACAAAACAACCAGAAAACAAATAACAAAATGGCAGAAGTCCTTACTCATCAATAATAACTTTGAATGTAAAGGGACTAAACTCTCCAATCAAAAGACAGAGTTAAATGGATTTAAAAAACAAGACCCAACAATCTGCTGCCTACAGGAAACACATTTCACCTATAAAGACACATATACACTGAAAACAAAGGGAGAGAAAAAGATAACCCATGCAAATGGAAACCAAAAAAGAGAAGTAGCTACATGTGTATCAGAAAAAATAGATTTCAAGACAAAAACTTAAAAGAGACAAAGGTCATTATATAATCAGAAAGGGGTCAATTCAGCAAAAGGATGTAACAATTATAAATATATATGTACCCAACACTGGATCACCCAGATATATATAAAGCAAATATTATTAGAGCTAAAGAGAGAGAGACCTCAATACCGTAATAGCTGGAGACTTCAACACCCCACTTTCAGCATTGGAAAGATCATTCAGACAGAAAATCAACAAAGAAATGTTGGACTTAATCTGCACTGTAAACCAAATGGAACTAATAGATATTTACAGAACATTTCATCCAATGGCTGCAGAATACACATTCTTCTCCTCAGCACATGGATCATTCTCAAGAATAGACCATATGTTCGGCCACAAAACACATCTTAAATAATTTAAAAAAAAAATCTTCCTGAAAGGTGGGTTAAGGAAAAAATAAATAAAAATAAATAATAAAACAATTCCAAAAAGCTGAAATCATATCAACTATCTTCTATTACCACAATGGAATAAAATTAGAAATCAATAACAAGAGGAATTTTGGAAACCATACACACACATGGAAATTAAACAACATGCTCCTGAATGACCACTAGGCCACTGAACAAAATAAGAAGAAAATTTTAAAATTTCTTTTTTTTTTTTGGAGACGGAATCTCGCTCTGTCACCCAGACTAGAGTACAATGGCGTCATCTCAGCTCACTGCAACTTCTCCCTCCCGAGTTCAAGCAATTCTCATGCCCTGGTATCCCAAGTAGCTGAGACTACCGGCGCACACCACCACGCCTGGTTTTTTTTGTATTTTAGTAGAGACAGGGTTTCACCATGTTTCCCAGGCTGGTCTTGAACTCCTGAGCTCAGGCAGTCTGCCCAACTTGGCGTCACAAAGTACTAGGACTACAGGTGTAAGCCCCATGCCTGGCCTAAATTTCTTGAAACAAATGGATACGGAAACAGAAGAAACAAATGGGATACAGTGTAAGTACTACTAAGAGAAAAGTTTACAGCAATAAGCATCTATATCAAAAAAGTAGAAAAACTTCAAATAACCTAATAATGCATCTTAAAAACTAGAAAAGTGGCCAGGCATGGTGGTCCATGTCTGTAATCCCAGCACTTTGGGAGGCCAAGGCAAGAAGATCACTTGAGCCCAGGAGTTCAAGACTAGCCTGGGCTCAAGCTCTATAAACTCTTGCAATATAGTAAGACTCCATTTCTATTTTTTTAATTAAAAAAAAAAAAGAGCTAGAAAAGTAAGAGCGAATCAAACACAAAATGAGCAGAAGAAAAAAACTTAGAGCAGAAATAAATGAAATTGAAATGAAAAAAGCAATACAAAAGATCAATAAAAATGAAAAGTTGGTATTTTGAAAAGATAAAATCGATAAGCCTTTAGACAGATGAAGAAAAAAAGAGAAGACTCACATAAATAAAATCAGAAATGAAAAAGGAAGCATTACAACTGACACTGCAGAAATCCAAAGTCCCATTAGAGACTACTATGACTATATACCAATAAATTGGAAAACCTAGAAAGAAATGGATAAATTCCTAGACACATGCAATCTACCAAAATTGAACCATGACGAAATCCAAAACCTGAATAGAACAGTAACAAGTAATGAAGCTGTAATAAAAATCTCCCAGCAAAGAAAACCCCAGAACCTGACAGCTTCACTGCTGAATTTTACCAAACATTTAAAGAACTAATACCAATCCTACTAAAACTACTCCAAAAAAATGAAAAAGGGAATACTTGCAAACTCATCTTTTAAGGCCAGTATTACCCTGATACCAAAACCACATAAAGATACATCAAAAAAAGAAAATTACAGGCTAATATCCCTGATGAACATTGATGCAAAAATCTTCAACAAAATACCAGCAAACCAAATTCAACAACATGTGAAAAAGATCATTCAGGCTGGGCGTGGTGGTTCATACCTGTAATCTCAGCACTTTGGGAGCCCGAGGCAGGGAGATCACAAGGTCAGGAGATCGAGACTATCCTGGCTAACGTGGTGAAACCTGGTCTCTACTAAAAATACAAAAAATTAGCTGAGTGTAGTGGCACGCACCTGTAGTCCCAGCTACTTGGGAGGCTGAGGCAGGAGAATCACTTGAACCCAGAAGATGGAGGTTGCGGTAAGCCAAGATTGCACCACTGCACTCCAGCCTGGGCGACAGAGTGAGACTCAGTCTCACAAAAAAAAAAAAAAAAAAAGAAAAAAAAGATCATTTATCGTGACCAAGTGGAATTTATCCTAGGGATGCAAGGATGACTCAACATATGCAAATCAATGAATGTGATACATCATGTCAACAGAATGAAGGACAAAAACCATATGATCATTTAAACTATTGTTGAAAAAGCATTTGATAAAATTCAACATCCTTTTTATGAGAAAAAAAAACCCTTGAGAAACTGGGTACACAAGGAACATACCTCAACACAATAAAAGCCATATACAAGAAGGGATCCACAGCTAGTATCAGACTGAACAGGAAAAAACTGAAAGCCTTTCCCTCTAGGATCTGGAATAAGACAACAATGCCCATTTTCACCACGGTTATTCAATGTAGAAGTCCTAGCTAGAGCAATCGGACAAGAGAAAGAAAGAAAAAGCATTCAAATTGGAAAGGAAGAAGTCAAATTATCCCTGTTTGCAGATGATATATTTGGGAAAACCTAAAGACTCCACCAAAAACCTGTTAGAACTCATAAACAAATTCAGTAAACTTGCAAGATACAAAATCAACATACAAAAATCAGTAGCATTTCTATATGTTAACAGAGAACAATCTGAAAAAGAAATCAAGAATGCAATCCCATTTACAATAGCTACAAATAAGATACCTAGGAATAGTCTTAACCAAAATGAAAGACCTCTACAATGAAAACTATAGGCCAGGCACAGTGGTTGAGGCCTGTAATCCCAGCACTTTAGGAGGCTGAGGAAGAAGATCCCTTGAGTGCAAGAGTTGAATATCAGCCTGGCAACATGGTGAGACCTTGTCTCTACAAAAAATAAACAAAATTAGCAGGGTGTAGTGGTGTATACCTATAGTCCTGGCTACTTGGGAGGCTGAGGTGGGAGGATTGCTTGCACCCAGGAGGTCATGGCTACAGTGAGCAATGATCACGTCCCTGCACTCCAGCCTGGAAAACAGAGCAAGAGACTGTCTTGGGGAAAAAAAAGAAATTTAACTGGGGTAGTATGAGAAATACTTGCAATCTCTACCAAAATACCAATGACATTCTTCACAGAAATAGAAAAAACAATCCTAAAATTTTTATTGAACCACAGAAGACCCAGAATAGCCAAAGCCATCCTGAGCAAAAAGAACAAAACTGAAGGAATCATATTACCGTACTTCAAATTATACTACAGAGCTACAGTAGCCAAAACAGCACGGTACTGGCATAAAAACAGACACGCAGACCAATAGAACAAAACAGTGAACCCAGAAAGACATCCACACACCACAGTGAACTCATTTTTGACAAAGGTGCCAAAACATACACAGGGGAGAAGACAGTCTCTTCAACAAATGGTGCTGGGAAAACTGGATATCCACATGCAGAAGAATGAAACTTGACCCCTATCTCTCACCTTATATAAAAATCAAATCAAAATGGATTAAGGACTTAAATCTAAGACCTCAAACTATGAAACTACTAAACATTAACACTGAGAATACTCTCCAGGACATAGGTCTGGGCATAGATTTCTTGAATAATACACCAGAAACACAGGCAACTAAAGCAAAAATGGATGAATGGGATCACATCAAGTTAAAAAGCTTCTGCATAGCAAAGGAAACAATCAACCAAGTGAAGTGACAACCCACAGAACAGGCGAATATATCTGCAAACTATCCATCTGACAAAGGATTAATAACCAGAATACATAAGGAATGCAAAAAAATCAATAAAAAATCTAAAAATTCAATTTTAAAATAGGCAAAAGATCTGAATAAACACTTCTCAAAAGAAGACATACAAATGACAGACATATAAAAAGATATATTAACATCACTGATCATCAGAGAAATCCAAATTGAAACTACAATGAGTTATCATCTCACCCCAGGAGAAATGGCTTTTATCCAAAAGACAGGCAATAATGAATGCTGGTGAGGATGTGGAGAAAAGGGAACCCTTATACACTATTGGTGGGAATGTAAATTAGTACAGCCACTATGGAGAAGAGTATGGAGGTTCCTCAGAAAAAAAACACTAAAGATAAAATTACCATATGATCCAGCAATCCCACTACTGGGTATTTATCCAAAGAAAATGAAATCAGTATGTCAAAAAGGTATCTGCACTCCCATGTTTATTGCAGTACTATTCACAATAGTGAGGATTTGGAAGCAACCTAAATGTCCATCAAGAGACAAACATAAACAAAATGTGGTACATATACAAAATGGAGTACTACTCAGCCATAGAAACAGTGAAACCCTGTCATTTACAAAAACATGGATAGAACTGGAACACATTACATTAAGTGAAATAAACCAGGCACAGAAAGACAAACTTGTGGGAGCTAAAAATTAAAACACTTGAACTCATGAAAACAGAGAGTAGAATGATGGTTACCAGAGGCTGGGAAGGGCAGTGGCGGTAGAGGGAAAGGGGGATGGTTAATGGGTACAAAAAAAGTTAGACAAAATGAGTAAGATCCAGTATTTGATAGCATAACGTGATTACTACAGCCAACAAAAATTTATTGTACATTTCAAAATAACTTTAAGAGCATAACGGGAATGTTTGTAACATAAAGAAAGGATAAATGCTTGAGGTGATGGATATCCCATTTACCCTGATGTGAGTACTACGCATTGTATGCCTGTATCAAAATATCTCATGTACCTCATAAATATATATACCTACTATGTACCCATAATTTTTTTTCTTTTTCTGAAACAAGGTTTCCCTCTGCTGCCCAGGCTAGAGTACAGTGGCACAATCACAGCTTACTGCAGCCTCAACTTCCCAGGCTCAAGCAATCCTCCCACCTTAGCCTCCCAAGTAGCTGGGACTACAGGCACATGTCCCCATGCCCAGCTAATTTTTGTATTTTTTGTAGAGATGGAGTTTTGCCATGTTACCCAGGCTGGTGTCAAACTCCTGGACTCAAAGCGATCCACCCACCTTGGCCTCCCAGAAAACAATTGGCCAAGCACGGTGGTACACACTTGTAATACCAGCACTTTGGGAGGCTGAGAGGCCTCAGCTACTTGGGAGGCTGAAGTTGAAGGATCGCTTTAGCCGCGGAGGTAGAAGTTGCAGTGAGCCGACATCACACCACTGCACTCCATCTACCTGGGGTGACAGAGAGAGACGCTGTCTTGAAAAAAAAAAACTGATATCAAAAACCCTCACATAAACCATTAAATTAAAGATGGCCAGGCGCGGTGGCTCACACCTGTAATCTCAGCACTTTGGGAGGCCGAGGTGGGTGGATCACCTGGGGTCAGGAGTTCGAGACCAGCCTGACCAACACGGTGAAACCCCGTCTCTACTAAAAAAAAAAAAAAAAATACAAAATTAGCTGAGCGTGGTGGCGCATGCCTGTAATCCCAGCTACTCAGGAGGCTGAGACAAGAGAATCATTAGAACCCGGGAGGCGGAGGCTGCAGTGAGCCGAAATCGCGCCACTGCGCTCCAGCCTGGGCAACAAGAATGAAACTCTTTCCCCTGCCACAAAAAAAAAAAAAGAAGAGGAAGAGGAAGAGGATGAAGAGGAGGAAGAGGAGAAGGAAGAGGAGGAGGAGAAGGAAGAAGAAGAAGAGGAGGAGGAGGAGGAAGAAGAGGAGGAGGAAGAGGAAGAGGAGGAAGAGGAGGAAGAAGAGGAAGAGGAAGAAGAGGAAGAGGAAGAAGAGGAAGAGGAGGAAGAAGAGGAAGAGGAAGAAGGGGAGGAAGAGGAAGAGGAGGAAGAGGAGGAGGAAGAGGAAGAGGAAGAGGAAGAAGAAGAAGAAGAATTAAAACTCTTGCCAGGTGTGGTGGCTCATGCCTGTAATCCCAGCACTTTGGGAGGCCGAGGCAGGCAGATCACCTGAGGTCAGGAGTTCTGAGACCAGCCTGGCCAACATGGTGAAACCCTGTCTCTACTAAAAAATACAACAATTAGCCAGGCGTGGTGGCAGGTGCCTGTAATGCCAGTTACTTGGGAAGCTGAGGCAGGAGAATAACTCGAACTTAGGAGGCAGAGGCTGCAGTGAGCCGATATCGCACCACTGTGCTCCAGCCTGGGCGACAGAACTAGACTCTGTCTCAAAAAGATAAATAAATAAAATAATAATAATAATAACTCTTTCTTCATGTCTTGAAGGTTTTGTTAGGGCTTAGGGGTCATTCTTTTTCTTTTATAAATACGAAAATCATTCCACTGAGAGAGAGGTTAGTTATTCAACAAAATACATGTAGTACTCAGCCCTTAATACCTTCCCACAGAAAAGTTTCATGCATGTCTATTACAAACTGAAATTGCTATTAAAAACTAAAATTTTCACACAGAAAAGAAGTTCTTCATTAGTTTTTCTTAATCTACCTAAAAAAAAAAAAAAATAGGAAGAAGAAAATAGCAGCCAGGCATGGTGGCTCATGCCTGTAAACCCAGCACTTTGGGAGGCCAAGGTGGGTGGATCACCTGAGGTCAGGAGTTCGAGACCAGCCTGGCCAACATGGTGAAACCCCATCTCTACTAAAATATAAAAATTAGCCGGGAGTGGTGGCGTGTGTCTGTAATCCCAGCTACTTGGAAGGCTGAGACAAGAGAACTGCTTGAGCCCGGGAGGCAGAGGTTGCAGTGAGCCGAGATCGCGCCACTGCACTCTAGTCTGGGCGACAGAGTCAGACTCTGTCTCCAAAAACAGAAAATAGCTTTAAGGCTGGGGGTGGTGGCTCATGCCTGTAATCCCAGCACTTTGGGGGGCTGAGGTGGGTGGACCACTTGAGATCAGAAATATGAGACTAGCCTGGCCAACATGGTGAAACCCCATCTCTACTAAAAATACAAAAATTAGCCGGGTGTGGTGGTACACATCTGTAATCCCAGCTACTTGGGAGGCTGAGGCAGGAGAATCGTTTGAACCTGGGAGGCAGAGGTTGCAGTGGGCCAAGACTGTGCCACCATACTCCAGCCTGGGTGACAGAATGAGACTGTATCAAAAAGAAAATAGCTTTAAATGTCTATGATGTATTCTGTTTAAATGAATTTTAAATATTACTTATCTCTATGGGTCTGTAACTCCATTGTTAAAATAAAAGAATTATATTAGAAAACTTTATTCCTTTTTAGAAAAATTGCTACTAAATGCAGTAACAGATAACATCTTTATTGACAAGTCAGTATTTGTGTATTCACTATGAAAATTATTCTCTCATGCCTGTAAACCCAGAACTTAGGGAGGCCAGGGCAGGTGAATCACCTGAGGTCAGGAGTTCGAGACCAGTCTGGCCAACATGGCGAAACCCTGTCTATATGAAAAATACAAAAATTAGCTGGGCGTGGTGGCGCATGCCTGTAGTCCCAGCTACTTGGGAGGCTTGGGCAGAAGAATCACTTGAACCTGGGAGGCGGAGGTTGCAGCGAGCCAAGATTGCGTCACTGCACTCCAGCCTGGATGACAGAGGGAGACTCTGTCTCAAAAAAAAAAAAAGACAACAGAAAATGGTGATAAACAAAAATGATCCCACTATTCAGAGATAATACATTCTTAACATTTTGGTGGTGAAATTACTCTTTCAGACTTTTGTTTTATTTCTAGATAATATATCTAATGTTCCTTCAAGATCTTAAATTCTGATGTAAATACAGTAATTAAGAATACCTAAATATAATGAGGATACTAAGCTGAACCTTGTTTTGTTATATTATAGACATAAATAGTGTTTTTCTGTTTATGCTTAGACAACTTAATATTTTTCATTTTAATTAGTAATTAAAATTTTCTATTTAATTTCCCAATGTATATAGCATGGGAAAGCATACTATAGCTCCACTCACAAGGCATCCAAGCCTTACATAAGCCACTGTCCACTTGGCAGTAGCTTACCCAAAGTGTGAACAGTCTAACAAGGGAAAGTGTCATCTGTGCCAGCTTTGCAAACATAAACCCACAGTTTCAGGAAATACTGTCCACACTTCATAAATGTCAGGTAAATTCTGGGCTGTTCCTTCAATCCCACTACAGGCCATTCATCTTTGGGTCTCTACCCAATATAAATGTTTATAGATGCATCTATTCCCATTGTAAGCCTAGCTAGAAGTTAACTGACATAATTTGGGCCCTGGCCCAAGTGTGGACCAGATACTATCCCTGATAAATTGCAGATTTTTCCAGGCAACAGCCTATATGTAACTTTGACAAATGAGTCTAGATTTCCTATTTGCCTTCTCCATTTTATGCTGTGAAATACAGAGATTTATTTCCCATGTTCGTCCACATTTTACATTTATCCATGCAATGCATACCATGGAAATTGGTATTTAAACAGTTCCCAAAGAACAAGAGAAGGGAGAGACTACAACAGAAATTTTGAAATGAAGGTAAACACGAACAAAGCCAAATGAAATCTATGCCATACCCAACGGAAAGAAAGAAGAGTCATTATTTTGAAAGAAATGAGTCTTGAACCATCCAAGTCCCAGAACTAGAATTCTCTTAATCTTGGAAGAAAGTATTTATTGAGTTCCTAACAGGAACCCAGCACCACACAGGACACTGAGAGAGGTTTGAAAAACCTTTCAAACACTGTCTTCAGTCCACAACAAACTTATCATATAGTTGGAGAGATAGACCATAGAGTCAGTAAACAGTTCAATACCAGTACATAGTAGAATATGAATAAAGAGGAGACATAAATATTATATTTGGAGAAAGGAAAATGACTGTGGCCTGAGGTAGTGAGGGAAATATTCATAGCAGTGTTGGCATTTGATCGGCATCTTTTTTTTTTTGAGACAGAGTTTCGCTCTTGTTGCCCAGGCTGGAGTGCAATGGCACAATCTCAGCTCACTGCAACCTCCGCCTCCCAGGTTCAAGCAATTCTCCTGCCTCAGCCTCCCAGGTAGCTGGGATTACAGGCATGCACCACCACACCCAGCTAATTTTTGTATTTTTAGTAGAGGTGGGGATTCTCCATGTTGGTCTGGCTGGTTTCAAACTCCCGACCTCAGGTGATCTGCCTGCTTCCGCCTCCCAAAGTGCTGGGATTACAGGCGTGAGCTACCACGCCTGGCCCTGATCTGCATCTTAAGCTATACTTACTTATTTCAAAGCACACTTTGAGAGAGGTCCCTACCTTGAAGCCCCACATAATGTCCCCAGATAAAGGCCTCTCTTCAGTGAGGTTGACCCCAGGACTGTATCACCATAAAATATAAAATGTATCCTTTTCATTTCAATCCTTCAGAACATCAGAGCTCTGGACAAAACAGGAGAACAACCATGTCACATGACTCCCTCTGAAAAATCTTTGTACTTCCATTTGTCATCTCTTAATACCTCACTGTCAACCTTGGAAAGTTCATAGTTACAACTAAAGATCTCCCACCTCAGGAACAACAGATACCCAGGCAAGTAACCACAGAGACAGTCAAACAAATCTCTCTGCCCCACCCCTTCCTTCAAGTTAGTTTTATTTGAACAAGGAAGTATGGATCCAAAACGGAGAGACATCCGCTGGGCAGTGGCTCATGCCTGAAGTCCCAGCTAATCAAGAGTCGGAGGTGGGAGGATCACTTGAGCCCAGGAGTTCAAGGTTGCAATCAGCTATGATCATGCAGCTGCGCTCCAGGGTAAGCAACAAAGTGAGACCCTGTCTCTAAAAAAAGAGAGAGACAGAGAGAGAGAGAGAGAGGGAGAGAGAGAGCGAGCTACAGGTGATAATGAGAAACTTGGCTTTCATTTTTCATTATTCTTTTTCTTTGTTTTTTGTTTTTAAGGGTCTCACTCTGTCTCCCAGGCTGGAGTGCAGTGGTACAATCACAGCCCACTACAGCTTTGAATTCCTGGGCTCAAGGAGTTGCCGTGGCCTCCAAGTAGCTAGGACTACAGTTGCACACCACCACAGCCAGCCTCATCATCAGATAAAGGAGTTATAAATTAGGAGAGGAAGAAAGCAAGAATGAATTATTTTCCTTTAATGTAGAGTCAAGGAAACAAAAAAGAATGAATTGTATGGTATTAGATCAGAATCAGTGAGAATTCATAGGCTTCAATATAGATTGAAAAAGAAATAGATAAATGTATGTGTATATATATGAAAATGTATATGCAAATATATATTCCCTAGCTTTGTCTAACTTTACCAAGAGGACCTGAAAACAGTGATACCCCAACAGAAATGATCACATCTAGCACCCAGAACTTGGTTTCTAAATATCATTTTCCACTAACAGGAACAAAATGAGCATCACAATTGTTAAGTTTAGCCTAAAGCTGTCTCCTTGCAGATTTTAAGTTTGTCCTAAGGGTTTCTCCATACATAGTGATTATAACCTAACTAAATGTATAAACAGACTGTAACCTACTTTTGTAACAAGTAGCCAAGTTTCAACCAATCACAGACAGCCAACTGTTCAAACTGTGTTCAAATGAAGAAAATGAGCTGTAACCAATCCAGCTGTTTCTGTACCTCATCCCTCTGTTTTCTGTATGTCACTTTCCTTTTTCTGTCCAAAAGTGTTATCCAACCATGTGGCAGCCTCAGGCTGTATCTGAACCTATCGTAGTTCTAGGGGCTGCCTTATTTGTAAATTCTTCTTTGCTCAATTAAGCTCTGTTAAATTTGTCTAAAATTTTTCTTTTAACACAATAAGCAATGATAGTAACAGGTTGTAATCCACTGTATAAAATGAGAAACCATGAATCAAAGATATAATATATAATATAACCATGGATCACAGATATAAATAATTTGAAAGTCTGATGAGGGCCGGAATACATAGTTTCAAAGTACTTCCTACAAAATATTTATTAAATACAAAATATTTATTAATTACAAAGAAGAGAAAGAGTAACTTTACAGTGAAAAAAATCTGGCAGACACCACCTTAATCAAGCAATCAAAGTAAATTCAGTGATACTGGTATCAAGGATACATAATCTGAATGTAATCATGAGGAGACACTGGACAATCCAAATTAAGGGACATGTATACCAGGTGGTGGCTCACCCCTATAATCCCAGCACTTTGGGAGGCTGAGGCGGGTGGATCACTTGAGGTCAGGAGTTCGAGACCAGACTGGCCAACATGGTGAAACCCCATCTCTACTAAAAATACAAAATTAACCAGGCATGGTGGCAGGCACCTATAATCCCAGCTACACAGGAAGCTGAGGCAGGAGAACTGCTGGAACCTTGGAGGTGGAGGTTGCAGTGAGCCAAGATTGTGCCACTGCACTCCAGCCTGGGCGACACAGGGAAACTCTGTCTCCAAAATAAAATAAAATAAAATAAAATAAAATAAAATAAAATAAAAGGGACATTCTACAAAATAATTGGCCTGTAATCTTCGTAAGTGTTAAGATCATGAACATCAGGGAAAAACTGAGGACCTATTCCAGACTGAATTAGACTAGAGTTAAGATAACTAAATGCAACAAGTGATGCTGAACTTAATCTTTTTGCTGTAAGGATCTTACTAGGACAATCAGTGAATCCTGAATGAAGTCTAAGGATTAGATGGCAGCAATTAACACTTTAATTTCCTGAAAATTTTTTTTTTTTGAGACAGGTCTCACTCTGTTACCCAGACTGGAATGAAGTGGTGTGATCACAGCTCACTGCAGCCTTGACCTCCCAGGCTCAAACAACCCTCCTGCCTCAGCCTCTGGAGTAGCTGGGAATACAGGTGCGAGCCACCATGCCCAGCTAATTTTTTAATTTTCTGTAGAGACATAGTCTCGGAAAAAAAAAAAAATCTACTTATAACTGCTGCTAATTGGAGTGTATATTCAGGGCAACTTGAACCTCTGCTCCCAGGTTGCAATGCTCAAGTTGGCCCAAACAAACTTTCTGCTTATTTTGCCTCAGCTTCTTCCTTTTAGGTCAACTGTGAGAAGCAGGAAACCACAAAGAGTAGTCCAGTAACCTAGAACCAACAAAAATGGAAATTCACCACTGCTGGGCCCAAAGAGCCAAGGGAAAGAGATGGTCACCTGGAAGGAGAATCATGAAGAGAAACCAGCTTAAGGGAAGCTTTAAAGTTAAAAGATGCCAGAACAAAACAATCCTACTGGAGGAAACCCCTCCTGCTGATCTGAATAAAGGCCTCTCGTTTATTCAACCCCAACCTCAAGCCTTAGGGCAAGTTAGCCATTGATTAGCTCAACAGTATATTCATCTTAAGGAATGAGTGGGAACAAAAGCAAAATAAACCAAAAGAAATTGGGTAAAGCTTGAGTCAGGGCTCCCCAACCAGGAACCAGGCCACACAGCAGGAGGTGAGTGGTGGGCAGGCAGGCGAGGAGCAAGTAAAGCTTCATCTGTATTTACAGCTACTCTCCCATTGCTCACTTCATTGCCTGAGCTCTGCCTCCTGTCAGATCAGCAGAGGCATTACATTTTCACAAGAGTGTGAACCCTATTAAACTGCACAGGTGCCTGCGAGGGTTCTAGGCTGCATGTTCCTTACGAGAATTTTTTTTTTTTTTTTGAGACAGTCTTGCGCTGTCACCCAGGCTGGAGTGCAGTGGCACGATCTTGGCTCACTGCAACCTAAAACCCCTCCCCTTCCACCTCAGCTACTCAAGTAGCTGGGACTACAGATGTGTGCCACCATGCCCGGCTAATTTTTTTTTAATTTTTTGTAGAGATGTCTCACTTTGTTGCCCAGGCTGAAAATCCCGTCTTAAAAGGTTACATACTACATTAAGTCTATGTATGAGATTCTGGAAAAAGCAAAACTAAAGGAACAAAAAGCATATCAGTGGTTGCCAGGGGTTAGGGTGGCAGGATAGTGTGAATACAAAGGGGCAGCACTTGGGAATTCCTGGAGTTGTTCAAATCATTCTGTGTCCTGTCTGTGGTGATTACAAGAATCTATGCATGTGTAAATATTCATGGAAATGTACACCAAAAAAGTAAACTTTACCATATGTAAATTTAAATTTTTAAAAATTCAACAAAATTAGGAAGAGTGAAAAACTGAAATAAAAGAGTAAAAACTGAAATTAACAGACTAGAAAACAAAATGTGTTATAAAGAATAAATATTTACAAAAGCAATTTCTTTGGAAAAACAATGAAATAGATAATGCCAGATTAAGATAGGAAAAGATTAAAAAAAATATCTGGGGACAAGAAAAAAGAACCATATATAAAAGACAAAACTGTTGGCCAGGCGCGATGGCTCACACTTCTAATCCCAGCACTTTGAAAGGCCGAGGCAGGTGGATCACAAGGTCAAGATGGTGAAACCCCATCTCTAATAAAAATACAAAAATTAGCCAGGCGTGCTGGTGCACTCCTGTAGTCCCAGCTACTCGGGAGGCTGCGGCAGGAGAATCGCTTGAACCCAGGAGGCAGAGGTTGCGGTGAGCCGAGATCACACCACTGCACTCCAGCCTGGTGACAGAGCAAGATTCAAAAAAATAAATAAATAAAAAATAAAAATAAAAAAAGACAACTTTTTTTTCAAGTATTTTTTAAATTAGAAGAGGACATTCATGCATAGTGATATACTCTAGCACCATATATTTGGAAACCTAGATGAAATGGATGATTATCTAGCCCAATATAAATTAACAAAATCAACACAAATAAAAGTGTATAGTGGCAGGGTGTGGCGGCTCATGCCTGTAATCCTAGCACTTTGGGAGACTGAAGCAGGAGGATCACTTGAGCACAGGAGTTCACGACCAACCTGGGCAACATAGGGAGACCCCATCTCTACAAAAAATACAAAAATTAGCCAGGTGTGGTGGCGCACACCTGTACTCCCAGCTACTCAGGAGGCTGAGGCAAGAGGATCAATTGAGCTCAGGAGGTCAAGAATGCAGTGAGCTATGATCACACCACTGCACTCCAGCCTGGGAGACAGCAAGGCCCTGTAAATCATAAATAAATAGTAAATAAAAGTGTATACTAAAGAAATACATAATAAAAGTATACTACTAAATACATAAAGTGTGTACTAAATGAAGGAATGGGCTAGGCACGGTGGCTCATGCCTATAATCCCAGCACCTTGAGAGGCCAGGCAGGAGGATCACTTGAGCCCAGGAGTTTCAGACTAACCTCAATAAGATAGTGGGACCCCGTATGTACAAAAAATAAAAAAATTAGCAGAGTGTCATAGTGCATGCTGGCATTCCCAGCTACTCTGGAGGCTGAGGCTGGGGTGGAAGTATCGCTTGAGCCTGGGACGTTGAGGCTGCAGTGGGCTATAATCGTGCCACTGCACTCCAGCCTGAACAAAAGAGCAAGACCCTGTCTCTAGAAAAGAAAAGAACAAAATAAAAATTTAAACAAAAACGAAGGAATGAAAACAACAGTGAAAGAGAATTTAAAAATCAAATGGTAGTACAATAAACAAAATTGTTTAGATTCCTTTTCTATATAAAGTTGTGATAATGTGTAATGACTGTTGAAAGCACAAGTTAGCATACTCACATTCCCCCCATTGAAAGCTGTGTATATTTATGTACACAGGAGTCGCTTTCATTCTTGAATCCAATTCCAACTAGGGTGATAACTATTATCACCTAGTCCCAGCTACTCGGGAGACTGAGGCAGGAGAATCCCTTGAACCTGGGAGGAGTAGGTTGCAGTGAGCCAACATCGTGCCACTGTACTCCAGCCTGGACAAGAAGAGCAAAACTCTGTCTCCAAAGAAAAAAAAATTATTATAGGTAATAGTTATCACCCTATAAATGTTCTTTTCCTCCTAATTTTCTGAAGTCAAACATTAATTTGACTGGCATTAATTTCTGAAATCCTATATTAATCAAAATATGTGAAATAATGTTGAACTAATCAGACACTCTAATAAAATTATGTGAAAGGAATGAAAATTATTTATTCCACCAGTATTTGTAAAGCATGTACTAAAGCAAAACACTGTGCTGGGCACGGCTCTTACTGTGTAAGGTGAATTGTTAGGATTCTTTTACACAATGAATACTTCATTAGAAGTGTTCTATTCAAAACCAGCATTTTAGATCCATATAGCTAATAACACTTAACTCAGGAATTATTTTTGTATTAGATTACTTCTTAGCACCTTAAAGATTAACTCATTTAATCCTTACAATACATTTATGAAGTAGTTACTGTTATTCTCTAACTTTCTTTTTGTATTTTTTTTTTTTTTTTTTTGAGAGGAAGTCTCGCTCTGTCACCCAGGCTGGAGTGCAGTGACGCGATCTCAGCTCACTGCAACCTCTGCCTCCTGGGTTCGTGCCATTCTCCTGCCTCAGCCTCCCGAGTAGCTGGGACCACAGGTGCCCGCCACTACACCCAGCTAATTTTTTGTATTTTTAGTAGAGATGGGGTTTCACCGTGTTAGCCAGGATGGTCTCGATCTCCTGACCTGGTGATCCGCCCACCTCAGCCCCCCAAAGTGCTGGGATTACAGGTATGGGCCACTGCACCCGGCCATTCTCTAACTTTCCTATGAGAAAAATGAAGGCACACAGCTAGTAGTAGGTACTTCTAAACAAAGCTCTTGCTCTGAACCACTGTGATATTCTGCCGCTAACAAAATAACTCTGTTGGCAGAGTTATCAGGAAAGGCAAATCTTATCTGTTGAACACTAAGCTATTACTCTACAATTTAAAATTGTTCCTCAAGGTTCCTTACTTTCCGTTGTTTCACTTTACAGTGGAAGAAACTTTACCATGTCTCCCCTTCAGTATTTCTGAATAACAGTCTTACTAATATTTTGAAATGGCCTTTGGCCAAAAGTAATAAAATCTGATCCCACTCCCATTTGTTGATCGTTTTTGGAGTCTTTTGCCCATTATTAACCTTTCATTTGCACATAAATCATTTCTGGAGTCTTTTTGCCTATTATTAACCTTTTCATTGCACATATTAACCTTTTCATTTGCACAAGTTTCACCCACATGGCCATTATTAAATGAGTAGAACACAATTACATTTTTTCTTTGCTGTTTTTCAAATTACAAACAATGCTCACTTCTTATACCAAGCGAAAAAAAAAATACAATGTTTGAGAAAAAGCTCACCCCAATCCTACTCATTGAAGTACTCAAATAGTGGCCTGATGTGTTTCCTTCCATACCTTTCTCCACATATACAAGGATTTTTGTGGTCTTTGTTTTATTTTTACTGAAATAGATACATACAATATACATCAACCTGCTTTTTATCACATATCATGGACATAAAGACTGTATCTATTAGCTATGCATATAACTCTTCTTTTTCATGTGTACACATACAGCCACAGTTACACAAAATACTATTTAAAATAATTGAGACAGCATTCATGCTGAGGTGGGAACGCTTTATCTCCTTTTTTTTTTTTAATCTCCTTTTCATCTCCCTTCTCTCTTTCCTCCTATGTTAATTCTCACTCCCAGATAACATGTTAACATCAGGCATCCTTTCTTGTTCCTCCCATAGTCATAATCATAAACACACACATTTTTATATATATATAATATGGGTTTTATATATAACCCATATATATATATGGGATGTTTTTTAATATTTTTTAAAAATGGGATGTTATTAAATAATTTTTTAACTAAAAAATGGGATGCTGTCATATTCTTTTTCAGTCAATACCATTTCATGGAAATTCTTCCAAGGAAGATGCAATGTATTTCATCCTATGAATATACCAAAACTGATTCAACTATTACGAGCAATCACTTTGTTTCTACTATCTTATCCTTACTAACAATGTTTCCAGTAAACATCCTTGACCATGGCTGGGTGTGGTGGCTCATGCCTGTAATCCCAGCACTTTGGGAGGCGGAGGCATCGGATCACTTGAGGTCAGGAGTTTGAGACCAGACTGGCCAACATAGTGAAACGCTCTCTCTACTAAAAATACAAAAAAATTAGCCAGCATGATGGTGGGCTCCTATACTCCTAGCTACTCCAGAGGTTGAGGCAGGAGAATCACTTGAACCCAGGAGACAGAGATGGCAGTGAGCCAAGATGGTGTCACTGCACTCCAGCCTGGACGACAGAGCAAGACTCCTGGAAAAAAAAAAAAAAATCCTTGACTATATATCTTTATGAACTGCTGTTTTCTGTTTTTGTTTTTTGAGACGGAGTCTCGCTCTGTCACCTAGGCTGGAGTGCAGTGACACGATCTCAGCTCACTGCAACCTCCGCCTCCCGGGTTCAAGGGATTCTCCCGCCTCAGCCTCCCGAGTAGCTGGGATTACAGGTGCCCACCACCATGCCTGGCTAATTTTTGTATTTTTAGTAGAGACGGGGTTTCACCACGCTGGCCAGGCTGGTCTTGAAGTCCTGACGGCATGATCTGCCCACCTCGGCCTCCCAAAGTGGTGGGATTACAGGCGTGAGCCACCGTGCCCAGCCTGGTGTTTTTATTTTTATAGAGTAAGTTTCAGGTGTGGGACCCCTAGGTCAAAGGGTAAAATATTTATTTTAATACATATTGCCAGATGGCTTTCCCAAAAGCTGTAACAATTTTACATTTCCATCGAAAATGTATGGGCCCTCTTCTGCACATTCTCACCAGCAATCAGCATCACTGTTCTTTTTCACTGTTCCTAGTTTAAAGGAAACAAACTGGTATCTTGTTACTAGAGTAACAATGAGTTTGAGCTCATCATTCATTTTTTGGGCCATTCGGTTTTGCTCTCCTATGAAGTGCCTACTTCGACTGTTTTTCTACTGAACTGCTTTTTCTTTTTCTTGTCCACTTAAAAGCCTTCTTATAATTTTTTTTTTTTTTGACAGTCTCGCTCTGTCACCAGGCTGGAGTGCAATGGCACGATCTTGGCTCACTGCAACCTCCACCTCCCAGGTTCAAGTGATTCTCCTCCCTCAGCCTCCCAAGTAATTGGGAGTACAGGCGCCCACCACCACGTCTGGCTAATTTTTGTATTTTTAGTAGAGACGGGGTTTCACCATGTTGGTCAGGGCAGTCTTGAACTCCTGACCTTGTGATCTGCCCGCCTCAGCCTTCCAAAGTGCTGGAATTACAGGCATGAGACACCGTGCCCAGCCTGATACACTGTTATTATGGAAGCCATTATTTTATTCAGATGTCCTCATTCTTTTTTTTTTCTTTCCGAGATGCAGTCTTGCTCTGTCACCCAGGTTGGAGTGCAGTGGCAGGATCTCGGCTCACCGCAGCCTCTGTCTCCTGGGTTCAAGTGATCCTCCTCCCTCAACCTCCCGAGTAGCTGGGATTACTGACGCAAGCCACCACACCCGGCTAACTTCTGTATTTTTAGTAGAGATGGGGTTTTGTCATGTTGGCCAGGCTGGTCTCAAACTCCTGACCTCAGATGATCCACCCGCCTCAACCTCCCAAAGTGCTGGGATTACAGGTGTGAGCCATCTCGCCCAGCCGATAAATTCTTGATATGGTATCAGAGAAGTCAATAATGACAACAGACAGCACTTATTATCTGCTAAGCACTATTATAAGTGCTTTACATTTATTTACTAATATAGTCCTCACAACTCCTCTCAGGTATTATTATTATCCTCATTTTATAGATAACTGAGGCACAGAAATATAAATGGACTTGCTCAGGATTATGGCCAGTAAATTATGAATCTGGGAAATAAACCATACTTTTTAATCACTATGCTTGACCATCTTTCACCTAGAAGGGGTTGGGGTACCAAAGATGAAAGTTTAGGGTCTCTCTGGTATCAGATCCTAAAATATCCCCTCTTTGCTAAATGCTACTCTTTTATTACCTTTATTGGAAGGTAAAAATGCAAAAATGGAAATCTCTCTGTCCCTAGGCCAGTCCCCTAAGTCCCTGTCTAGTGCTTCATTTTCTGAAAAGTTAAAAAACAAAAAAAGGAAAGAAAAAGAAAATAACAAATAGGAGGAGTTTATATAGAGATAACAGATACATACACTCATTATACAGATGACAGATATACATAAATGCATACAGAAACATAAATCCATATTCCCAGCATAAGACCCTAGTTCCTGAGGGAACCAGAAAAAGTTAGCTTTGAGATAATCAAAAATATTTTCTTTTCTTTATACAGATGTTGCTCTTTTTTTTTTTTTTTTTTTTCCCCTCTGAGACATAGTCTCGCTCTGTTGCCCAGGCTGGAATGCAGTGGCAGGATCTTGGCTGACTGCAACCTCCACCTCCCAGGTTCAAGCAATTCTCCTGCCTCAGCCTCCTGAGTAGCTAGGATTACAGGCATGTGCAACCACACCCTGCCAATTTTTGTACTTTTAGCAGAGACGGGGTTTCACCACGTTGGCCAGGCTGGTCTCAAACTTCTGACCTCAGGTGATCCGCCCACCTCGGCCTCCCAATTGATAGGATTATGGGCATGCGCCACTGCAACCTGCTGGATTTTGCTATTTCTGTCAGTGCTTCTTTTTGCTAAAGAATGTTCCCATGGACAACTGTCCGAGTAGCATGTGAGATCTGATAAATTCCTTATGAGGCTATCCTAACAGACAGATGGACATCTAGCTCTAACACTTCCCTCCTCCCTACAAAAAGATGGATTCATTAGAATCCTGTGAGAAATGATAAAAGATAGCTTTATTGGAATAGACTCTAAGTTCTTGCCGTTCCCACAGCCTCTTCTAAAAAGACAACCACAAATGATTCCTTTATCATAATTTACCATGTTTTATGTCACTTCTTTCCAGAGCCTCACTGACTCGATTTCCAAGCAAAGGTAAGCATTTTTAGCATGAGCCTAAGACTCATGTTCTTAGGTGCTCACTGTCAGCTCACAGATGACCCAAATAAGAATGCTAATAAGGGGCCAGGCGAGGTGGCTCCGGCCTGTAATGCCACCATTTTGGGAGCCCAAGGTTGGAGGATCACTTGAGGCCAGGAGTTTGAAACCAGCTTGGGCAATATAGAGAGACCCTGTCTCTACAAAAAATATAAAGATTAGCCAGGTGTGGTGGAACATGCTTGTAGTTCTAGCTACTTCAGGAGGCTAAGGCCCTGAGACAGGATGATCACTTGAGCCCAGGAGATTGAGGCTGCAGTGAGCCATGATTGTGCCACTGCACTCCAGCCTGGACGACAGAGTGAGACCCTGTCTCTAATAATAATCATAATAATGTTAATAAGGGTATGCCAAAGATTAACTGATCAACTCTTTTGGGGAGTTCTTGACAGGAGAGAGGTACCATTAGTCTCTTATAGTTACTGTTGAATTCTGAGCAGTAATAAATAATATTCCAGTGTCATGTGGCTTGGCTGTGTGACTGCTGACAGTTTCCAGTTTATTTCCCCACATAGCCTTAATGACCCACAATGTGAGATAACCTAATCACCCCTCGTCCTTGTATCCTGAAAAAGCCCTAATACAATGGCAAGTTTAACAGCCAACAGCAACAAGCATAAAGTAGACACACTGAAGAGCAGTTGTATGAGAAGTGGACATGTTAGCAGTCTGCCCAGCAGCTGGCCTGGACAAGGACAATGAGGGTGGCAGTATAAAAGATGGCATGATTATCAAGGTTGAGGGAGTCTTTATCTAGTCATAGGCAAAACCCAAGAAGGGTAAGCTGTGTCTCTGTCTAAAGGATAGTATATTTAAAAGGTGATGCTGGACTAAAGATCCAAAAGAAGGCTTTCCTTCCATCAGGTGGAATTTCCAAGAACGAGAATGTCTCCAACAATTGAGGCAAATCCTCTGGGAACATTTCCATTCCTAATAATTAAGGATCCTACAAGGCAGACACTGGCAAACTTTTTCTATCAAGAGCCAGATAGCAAGTATTTTCAGCTTTGTGGATCATAATGTTTCTGTCACAACTACTCAACTCCATCTTTGTAGTATACAAAATCATCCACAAATATTACATAAACTAATGGACATGGCTGTATTTCAAAAAATCTTTACTTTCTAAAACAGGTGGTGGCAAGATTTGGCCCACAGATCATAGTTTGCCAAGCCCTGCTGTAGGGCAAAAGTCCTTTTTAGAGCCAACTTCAAAAAATAGAATAGATTTGTGGGTTTCCATAGAAAAAGGGGGAAAAAAGCAAGACTAAGAGAGTCCTGGGTACTTTCAATCCTTGGAAATTCATTAAAATAATTTATCATTGAAAATAAAATGAAAGTACATATACAGATCACCTCGACCCATTTTCTTACTGTGACTGATACTATATCAAAGTTAAAGCCATTCAACAAACTCAACAGTGAGTAATCTATCAGTTAAGAAAGAATCAGTTTGGGCCAGGCACGGTAGCTCACGCCTGTAATCCCAGCACTTTGGGAGGCTGAGATAAGCGGATCACCTGAGGTCAGGAGTTCAAGACCAGCCTGGCCAACATGGCGAAACCCCGTCTCTACTAAAAGTACAAAAATAAGTCGGGCGTGGTGGCGGGTGCCTGTAATCCCAGCTACTCAGGAGGCTGAGGCAGGAGAAGCTTGAACCCGGGCGGCGGAGGTTGCAGTGAGCCAAGATTGCGCCACTGCACTCCAGCCTGGGCGACAAGAGTGAGACTCTGTCTTAAAAAAAGAAAAGAAGAAGAAAAAGAAAGTATAAGTTTGGCTATTGCAGCAAACCCCAAAAGAATAGTGGTTTAAACAATGAAGTTTATTTCTGGCTTATGCTACACAGGAGTCAGTAGGGGACACTGATTGTTACAGCTTCTCTAGGGCCCAACTGAGAGAACAACCCATCTCCAATGTTGCTGATCATGCTGCCGAAAGGAAAGAGGGCTTTAGAGGGTCATATCCCAGCAATCAAAGGCTCAGACATTATTTCTGCTAATAACCCACTGGCTAGAACCAATCACATGGCCCCACCTAACCAAGTGGGGCTGGGAAGTGAAATCCTAGCAGCAGAAGATGAAGGGCAATGAATATTCAGCGAGCAGCAAAAATGACTATCATAAAGCAATGGTTATGCTGCTTTTACGTAAATGATCACAAAATGAGACTCTTATTCAAACACATTTCTTTATTTTTTATTTTATTTCTTGGAGATAGTGTCTCGTTCTGTCGCCCAGGCTGGAGTTCAGTGCCGTGATCTAAGCTTACTGCAACCTCCACCTCCTGCGTTCAAGTGATTCTCCTGCCTCAGCCTCGCGAGTAGCTGGGATTACAGGAGCCCACCACCATGCTCAGCTAATTTTTGAATTTTTAGTAGAGATAGGGTTTTGCCATATGGGCCAGGCTGGTCTGGAACTCCTGACCTCAAGTGATCCATCCGCCTCAGCCTCCCAAAGTGCTGGAATTGCAGGCATGAGCCACCACACCCAGCCATTATTCAAATACATTTCTGATTAACTAGTTAGCCAGAAACCACTGTCACCTTCACTTAAATTAAAATTTCAGGGCTGGGCACGGTGGCTCACACCTGTAATCCCAGCACTTTGGGAGGCCAAGGCAGGCAGATCACGAGGTCAGGAGTTCAAGACTAGCCTGGCCAACATGGTGAAACCCGATCTCTATTAAAAACACAAAAATTAGCTGGGCGTGGTGGCGCGTGCCTGTAGTCCCAGCTACTCAGGAGGCTGCAGCAGGAGAATTGCTTGAACCTGGGAGGCAGTGGTTGCAGTGAGTCAAGATTGTGCCACTGTACCCCAGCCTGGTGACAGAGCAAGACTCCATCTCAAAAAAAAAAAAAAAGTTTTAAAAATAGTTGTTTCCTCACAAGCAAAGAAATGACACAGATCTACTAAAGAATCTTTTGACCATACCGTCTCTTCTGCAGAAGTGTGTTCATGACACACTGACTGAGCCACATTAGGGTTATGAATAGAAGCCAGGGTTAGAGAGAGGACTTGGGTCACGTTCTGAGGGCTTAGAAGCCTTCTTCAACACTCGACTTATTTGGGCAGAATGACATCACAGAAGAAAAAAAGCATTTCCTTTCTAGCTTTTAGTTTTCTCTTTGTCCCCTTTCTCTTCTTCCAATATATTCCCCTTCCCGCCCCCCACTATCCTCAGCAGCAAAATCATTCAAAAGAGCAGCAGTCCCAGGAGTTTGGTCTCTAGATCTAGGGATGCCCGGAACTGTCATAAGAAAACCCTAGCAAGCCCCTGAGGTACCAAAGAGGAAAGAGGATCTCACACATCTAAGGCTGAAGCTGGGACATGGCACCCAGCAACAACGCACAGTGCATGCTCGGTTAACACTGACTGAATACATGAATACATAATCTATGGACTGAATCCAGAATAGTCACAATAAATGAGTGTTGACTAAAATTAAATTATAGCTGTTCTTTAGGTTTCCCCCAATCCTTTCTGCATTAATTTCCACATATTTGATCTTCAGGCAAGATAAACATTACCAGGTCAGTATCTTCCACAAAGCACCGTTTTCATATTTTTGATTGTGTTCACAAGAGCTCTTTATCACCTTTTGGTATTGGGTCCTGTCAGCACTCTGAGAGGTAGTCCAATATGTCAAAGATGCTTCAAGTTTTTTTGGTTGCTAATAATTTTATATAAGAAAACAAGCCTGGAGGATGGAGTTTTTGTTCTTAACATTCATTCCTGCCTATGTGGAAAAAACTTTTCCTGCAATCAGGCTGCTAGGAGCAAATTTCCTGTTTTTAATACTGTTTAGTCTAAATGGGTCTCTAGAGACCAATCTTAATGTAAGAGAAGCAAGGGAGCTGAGCCTCTGAGACAATTCCGGTTTCATTGTTGGGTTCAGCCAGCCCAGGTGAAGCCCATATCATTCTTGGCAATCCAGGGTCTGGTTGAAGAGATTAGTTATGTGTTCATCTGAACAGCATCCACCTCACGCATCCGGCTGGCAGGGTCCTGTCTTCCCTCAAGCCACACTACCCACAAACCACACTACCCTCCTCCAATCCTAAAGACTAGCTTGCAGAAGGGCAGTGCTGCATGCCAGAGTCACAAGATCTCTAACCACACTCGTCTGTGGCACTTCTTACACCTCAGCCCTTCATAGCAAGTCACTTCAACCAAGCAAACAAAGCCTGACTCCAGCCTTAGCCCATATCCCTGGACAAAGGTGTTTCTCAAGGTTGTCTCAGCAACTTACCAAAGTGTATGCAAAAAAACAAAAAATAAGATAATGGAAAAGAGACCTGCGGGGGGTGGGGGTGAGCACTCAGCTCCACAATTACTTGTTAGTGACAACTAAGAAATATACTGACACAAACCTGGACAGTCAATCAGGAACTTGAGGCTGGTTTTCAATAAAACATAGTAAACCTCTAAAAATCCTAACGGAGCTGACAAATGCCTAAGAGATTCATCCTCCCTACTGTGTAAGTACTTCTATGTGGAAGATACTGATCAGAGGGGGGTAAATAAATACTTGCTAGAAAATAAATACTTGGAAGCAGGTGGGATTTAGGAAAAACCTGTAAAACAATATAGGATTTAATTATATTCAAATATATATTTGTGTGTGTGTGTGTGTGTGTGTGTGTGTGTGTGTATAAGTGTGTGTGTGTATAATATATTAAGATTCTCCTAGATTCAGTCTGGAGGTCCTGTATTTATTCTTTCCCTCTCTAATATGAAACTGGAATTCCTAGGGTACTCCACAGATGAGAAAGAATCTATTCAGAAAAAGAGGCATCAGGAGGGTGGGCACAGTGGCTCACACCTGTCATCCCAGCACTTTGGGAGGGTGAGGTGGGCAGATCACTTGAGGTCAGGAGTTTGAGACCAGCCTGGCCAACATGGTGAAACCCCATCTCTACTAAAAATATAAAAATTAGCCGCGCATGGTGGTGCATGCCTGTAGTCCCAGCTACTCAGGAGAATGAGGCAGGAGAATTGCTTGAACCCAGGAGGCGAAGGTTGTAGTGAACTGAGATCGCACCACTGTACTCCAGCCTGGGTGACAGAGAGAGACTCCATCTTAAAAAAAAAAAAAAAAAAAAAAAAAAGCACCAGAAAAATGCAGGGTTGTGCTGGGAAGGAAAAAGAGCACAATGGTTACAGGGTTGTGCACAGACTTTAGACTCCTCCATGTGGAGGACGTGGCACATGCCTGTAGTCCCAGCTACTCAGGAAGCTAAGGTGGTAGGATCACTTGAGCCCGGGAGATAGAGGCTGCAGTGAGCTATGATCACGCCACTGCACTCCAGCCTGGGAGACAGAGTGAGACCTTGTCAATCAATCAATCAATGAAGTACACTTCAAAACCCAGCCTCTGGGTCAGAATGAGTGAAATGAAGCATCCATTTGCTATAATGGGTGAGCTATTTTTTGTGCCTTAGAGAGTAGCTGGGTCAGTTAGGTCTACTCAGGGGATTCAGAAGAAAGCACCCTGACTGTACATGTATACAAGCACTTACTCTGGATACAAAACTAAAAATAGGCTGGGCGCAGTGGCTTACACCTGTAATCCCAGCACTTTGGGAGGCTGAGGTGGGAGGACCACCTGAGCCCAGGAGTTTGAGACCAGCCTAGGCAACTTGGAAAAACTCCATCTTAAAAAAAAAAAAAAATACAAAAATTAGCTGGGTGTGGTGGTGCGCACCTGTGTTCCCAGGTACTTGGGAGGCTGAGGTGGGAAGGTGGCTTGAGCCCAGGAGGTGAAGGTTGCAGTGACCTGAGATCACACCACTGCACTCCAGCCTGGGCAACAGAGTCCGACCCTGTTTCAAAAAACAAAACTAAAAATAGGTGGTGTTCTGCACATCTCAGAGAGAGGGGCCAATAGAGAGGCTTGAAAACACATGTTCTATATTCATGACTCTTGGTCTTTTCCTATAGTAAATGCAAGATTTAACAGTCCAATATTTTCCAATTGTCAGCTAATTCATGTCATACTCCAAGTATTAGAGGTTAGCACAGAGAAGGAGTGCAAAGGTAGCAGGATGTGGTGAGACAGTAGAATGGACTAAAACTGGGCTTCATCTCTGAACCTCAGTAAGCACATCTGTAAAACAGAGTACTAACCCACTTTACAGGGTTGTTGTGAAGGTGATAAGTACTCAATACAGTACCTGGAAGACTGTAGGTTCTCAAAAAGTGCTATTTTCTTTTCTCCCTTCCCATTGAAGCAAGCTGGTTTGAACATTTTCCAAAATTAAGTACAACTTTTCCAAACCCTGAAATTGAATCTAAACTCCATGGGAATGTTTCCAGATGTTTATGGAAAGAGGAAGTTGTTTGTATTTTCTTAAAATCTCTGATGCGGGAGAAAAGGAAAAGCAATACCAGCCAGAGACCACGACATGTTTGTGCTTTAAACATCGCCACAACACCACCACAAACAAGATGAAATTAGTTTAACAGGGGAGGAACAGTAAAGAAAGAAAAGTAATTATGGGTTTCCATCCCTGTCAGATGTCTTCTCATCTCAGCAGAACCATGATCTCCACCAACTGCATGGAAGCTGCATTAATCTTCCTCGGACACCAATTCAGCGCATATCCCCAGAACGCAGCTGTATCTTTTCTAACTGCCTAACTAGAGAGACAAGAATTGGGAAATAAAGTTATTGACAAAGGGATTATCCCCCACTTCTAGGAAGAGAAGCAAGAAAAGTGAGTTTGAACACACTGTTGTTTACCTCTTCCACTCCTGAGGACCAGCTGTTTAAGGGGCTATTTGTATACAGATGGTGATCTTATGGGCTTAAGTGCACTGCTTCTGCCCTGAAACCAATTCCCCAGGGGCTCTGTCTTTTATAATTTTGACACCTAGACTTGGGGGATGCCTGGGCACATCTGGTCACCATTTGATTTCAGGCTTCTATTGTGTTCAGTCTGTTGCGGAAGTGAGTCTATAAATAGCTCATGTTCCTTTGCCTCATACTTGAAAAATAAGAAACTGTCAACTCTGCCTTTCCTGCAGAAAGGTTTTCGCTGTAGTTCAAACATCTGAATCCAGCCCCTCTATAATGACCATACATCAAGTTAATATGCTAAGTAGCAGCCTCAACCAAATGATTCATATATCTATTTTATTATAAGATTAAATGGCATCCAGAATAAAACTCAGGAGAGAGCTCCATGTTAGGACTAGTGAATAATTCATATGATGCTTTGAGAAGTCTTTGATCTTTTTGGAAACTCACCAAGCTGTGAGGTTAAATTTATGTACATGAAACAGCACCCTCAAGATTTAAGAAGAAATGTCCTTCTCATCTTTGGAACAGAATATATGGATTTAAATTCCATTCGATCCAGGTCAGGCGCGATGGCTCACACCTGTAATCCCAGCACTTTGGGAGGCTGAGGTGGATGGATCACTTGAGCCCAGGAGTTAGAGACCAGCCTGAGCAACATAGTGAGACCTTGTTTCTACAAAAAATAAAAAATTAGCCAGGTGTGGTGGCACATGTTTGTAGTCTTAGTTACTCAGGAGGCTAAGTTGGGAGGATTGCTTGAGCCCAGGAGATCAAGGCTGCAGTGAACTAAGATCACACCACTGCATTCCACTCCAGCCTGGGGGACAGAGAGAGACCCTGTCTCAAAAAAAAAAAAAAAAAAAAAAAAAAAAAATCAATTTGATCCTGAATAAAGCAATCATACTATGAACTAGATTTCCTCCCCTGACAAAAACAATCTTCCTCCCTCTTCACGTTTTTTCAAATCCTTGGTTAAAATATGATAACATTTACCACACTGTGGAGTAATTCTCTCTTTAGTATCTGTCTCTGTCAAGAACTATTAGTTTTTAAAGGACAAATACAATGTTGGTTCTTATTGGTTATTTCCAGTGCCTAGCACAATTCTTGGCATATTTTTATGTAAATGCATGCTGAATGAATGAACGAGGTAGAATAATCACATATTATATGACCTTATGAGCTTCCACAAATAAAAAAATCAAATTTGATGTTGATTTAAGAGACAGGTAAGAGAAGCGTGGATCAAACAAGTAGAAGCAGACAGACTGAAACTGCCTTTGCAAAAATCATGACAGTGAAAAATCTGACATAGGAAGTTATGGCAGTGAAAGAAATCTGACCTAAGCAACTCCATCTTACTTCTAACCTCCAGGCTACCTTGTTCACTCCTGGGCACAGGTCAAGCTAACTAAGGAAGGAATTTATAGTTTAACTTTGAAACAGGTAACAGCCCCTTCCCCAAACAAACCCCCTCCTTGCATGGGGACCAGACCACCTTTGTAAAACTAACACATTAGCCACAAGACTAGAAATTACGGTGCAGGAGTCATGCAGTCAGGGATCACAAGATTCTTAACCTCCTCAATTGCTCCTATAGATAGGAACTGAAGTATTTTTCCTTTGGTTCTTTGAACCAAAGATAGGAATTGAAGTATTTTTCAGACCCTGTATTCTGATGACCAGCTGGTGCCACCCAGACCTTACAAAACTGGCTCATCTGGTCCTGTGGCCCTCCCACCCAATAACTGACTCAGCACAAGAAGACAAGCTTTGACCCCCTATGATTTCATCCCAGACCCAACCAATCAATATTCCCCATTCCCTAGCCCCCTGCCTGCAAAACTATCCTTTAAAAACCCTCGTCTCCACATATTTGGGGAGACTGATTTGAGTAATAAACTCTGGGCTTTTGCTTAGCTGGCTCTGTGTTTATTCAACTCTTTATTGTGATTCCACTGTCTCGGTAAATTGGCTCTATGGGGCAGCAGGCAAGAACCTTGTAATCTGGTGATTACAAGAACAAAGACACAAATTGTTTCCTCTTCACCTCCACACCTGCTCACAATTCTAAAATGTCTATTTTTGGCTGGCATGGTGGCTCATGCCTGTAATCCCAGCACTTTGGGAGGCTGAGAGGATCACAGGGTCAGGAGTTCGAGTCCAGCTGGGCTTGCATGGGGAAACCCAATATTTACTAAAAATACAAAAATTAGTCAGGTGTGGTAGCACGTGCCTGTAGTCCCAGCTACTCAGGAGGCTGAGGCAGGCTGCACTCCAGCCTAGGCAACAGAGCAAGACTCTGTCTCGAAAATAAATAAATAAATAAATAAAAAGTCTATTTTTACTGGAAAGTGGGCTTGTGTAAATATATGTAAATCACAGAATAATTGGAGCCAACATATTGTAACAACCACCTCAAACTTTATCCTGGAAAAGAATATATGAGGCCAAACTCCAGTCCCAAAAAATGCAGTTCAGAAAGAGCAGCAAGTAGCAGCAAGGATCCATACTGGATATGAGGCAGGAGAATAGGGTCTAGAGGCAGGGAACCTAAGGCTCTCACGCCAACTTCCCAGAACTAAACTGAAAGGAAAACCCTAGACTTTCCACGCCTAAGTAACAAAAGTAACAAAAGGGGTGGGATGAAGGAGTTGGGGGTCTTGGCTTCATTTGCAACTTTGTAACTTCACTCCACAGCTCTGAATGGTTGCTGTCTACAACCAATCAGGCTGATTGCTGGCCGAGTCTTCTTCGTTTACCATAGAGGTATGACTTTGTAACTTCACCCTAACCTCTGTTTGCACAGCAGTGTGACTTTTGCAACTTCACTTCAGGCTCTGGTTGACTGCCTTCTGCAACCAATCAGACAGATTGCAAGCTACCACTTCATTTACATGAGGTGAGCATGCAGTGGCCAATGGGAAAACTTCTAGAGGGTATTTGCACCCAAGGAGATTCTGTATCTGATCCCTTGAGTCAGTGCTCAGCCTGCTCCCATACTGTGGAGTGTACTTTCATTTTTAATAAATCCCTGCTTTCATTCTCTCGTTTCATTCTTTCTTTGCTTTACTGGGCATTTTGTCCAATTCCTTCTTCAAAACACCAAGAACCTGGACAACTTGCAGTCACGACCCCTCTACCTTGAACATACCATACCTTAGCCAGGTATATCAAAACCTGCAACTGGAAATGCCCCAAAATATTTCATAGTAAATTATCAATTTCTGGCTTTGGCTTTAAGAGATAAAGTCACCCAGCCATGTTCTAGAAGCCAGAGCATACTATTGCCATGTCTGACAAAGACTCTGCCTGCCTTTGGTGTAGGAAACAAACACTAAATTAAAATTTGCTCTAGGCTGGGTGCAGCAGCTAATGCCTGTAATCACTTTGGGAGGCTGAGGTGGGTGGATCACTTGACGTTAGGAGTTCAAGACCTAAGCCTGGCCAACATGGTGAAACACTGTCTCTACTAAAAATATAAAAACGAGCCGGGCGTGGTGACACGCACCTGTAGTCCCAGCTACTCAGAAGGCTGAGGCAGGAGAATCACCTGAACCCGGAGGCAGAGGTTGCAGTGAACTGAGATCGCACCACTGCACTCCAGCCCAGGTGACAGAGCAAGACTGCCTCAAAATAAATAAATAAATAAAATAAAGTAAAATAGGCTCTAGAGTCCATAGAGCAAAATGTAAATTTTTTGCAGATCATCTGCTGACGCTAGACTTAATGCTATAGGGTTTGTGGAATATAAATCAAACACACTGTCCATCTTTGCACTGATAGGTGAAATAAAGAATATATTAACAGACCGACAATGGAGAGTTTTGCTCAGAAAACCCTCCTGTAGAAAAACAGATATATCCGGGAAGTGGGGGGCAGCCCCCACCCGGCCAGCCGCCCCGTCCGGGAGGTGGGGGGGCAGCCCCCGCCCAGCCAGCCGCCCCGTCCGGGAGGTGGGGGGCAGCCCCCGCCCGGCCAGCCGCCCCATCCGGGAGGTGGGGGGCAGCCCCCGCCCGGCCGCCGCCCCGTCTGGGAGGTTGGGGGGCGCCTCTGCCCGGCCGCCCCGTCTGGGAAGTGAGGAGCCCCTCTGCCCGGCCGCCACCCCGTCGGGAGGTGTACCCAATAGCTCACTGAGAATGGGCCATGATGACGATGGCGGTTTTGTCGAATAGAAAAGGGGGAAATGTGGGGAAAAGAGAGAGAGATCAGACTGTTACTGTGTCTGCGTAGAAAGAAGTAGACATAGGAGACTCCATTTTGTTCTGTACTAAGAAAAATTCTTCTGCCTTGGGATGCTGTTAATCTATAACCTTACCCCCAACCCGTGCTCTCTGAAACATGTGCTGTGTCCACTAAGGGTTAAATGGATTAAGGGCAGTGCAAGATGTGCTTTGTTAAACAGATGCTTGAAGGCAGCATACTCGTTAAGAGTCATCACCACTCCCTAATCTCAAGTACCCAGGGACACAAACACTGCTGAAGGCGGCAGGGCTCTCTGCCTAGTAAAACCAGAGACCTCTGTTCACATGTTTATCTGCTGACCTTCCCTCCACTATTGTCCTATGACCCTGCCAAATCCCCCTCTCCGAGAAACACCCAAGAATGATCAATAAATACTAAAAAAAAAAAAAAAAAGAAAGAAAAACAGATATATCAAGTGAGATAAACGAAGCAGGCTGGCACTGTGGCTCATGTCTGTAATCCCAACACTTTGGGAGGCCAAGATGGGCAGATCACCTGAGGTCAGGAGTTCGAGACCAGCCTGATCAACATGGAGAGACCCCATCTTTACTAAAAATACAAAATTAGCTGGGCATGGTGGTGCATGCCTATAATCCCAGCTACTCGGGAGGCTGAGGCAGGAGAACCGCTTGAACCCGGGAGGCAGAGGTTGCAGTGAGCCAAGATCGTGCCGTTGCACTCCAGCCTGGGCAACAAGAGCGAAACTTGGTCTCAAAAAAAAAAAAAAAAGAAAGAAAGAAACGAAGCAAAACCCTCTCTCTCTCACACACACATGCACAAGCACCCCCCATTTGTTTACCCAGCACCTAGCCCATCCCTGGCATATAATAGATAAATGTTTGTTGAGTGAAGAATGCTTTTTCTGTAACCTATAACCTTGTATCCAGTATACACTGCTTCCTCTCCTCAGGTTAAAAGTCCTCATAGCTCCTCCAAATTATCTAAAGGGAAAGCACCCATCCTCCCTTTCTTGCTTCCTGGAATGGGAGTGATGACATGTCCTATATAGGCTGGACTCAACTAAGTATCCAGTACGCTTCTGAAACCACTTTGTCATTGTACCAGAGAAACCGTTTGGTCTTCATCTCCTCTAGGAGTCTGGACCAGCTTAGAGGTGAAATATAGGAGTCTGGCCTCCTGAAACACTTGGAAAGATGGGCACTGTGACTATATCCTCTTAGTTTCACCCAGACTAGCACCACCTGATCCCCTCAAACACATGGTGTACATTCCTGCCTTAGAGTCTTTAAGCTGTCCCCTCCAACCAAAATGACCCTCCCTGAACTCATTCAAAACAAACTTTGGATATGTTATTCTTCTGGATTCCTTAAGTACTTACTCTAAGTACGATTATAACACTTAAATGCTTGTTATTCTTGATGATCTTTACATACCTAAAGCCTGGTAATCCCAATAAGACTGTAAGCTTTTTGAGGGCAGGAATCACATCTACTACTCTGTATTCCTCGCAGCACTAAACCCCATGTGTTGCTTCCTAAATGCTTACTGAATGAATGAATAAATGAATGGTCACTGTGCTAGGAAACGTGGCATGTTCAAAGATAGATGAGACCTAGTCTGCCTTCAAGGATCACTCAGACTAATAAAATAGATAAGCCTTGTATCCAAAGAGCATTAACTTTAGTTAGTAAACAGAATGTATCACAAGGGAGTAACAAGATACTATGAGAATCCAAGAGATGGTGACTTCAAGGAAGAAGCATCATTTTAACTGAACCTTAAAGAACAAGCAGTATTTTGTACGATAGAAACTGGAGAGGTGAGATGTATTAATATACACTAGGAAGAGGAGCCAATATAAGCAAAAGCAGAGAAAGATATGGCATTTTGGGGAAGGGCAATAACCAAAATAACTAGGACAGTCTGAGAAAGAACGAGCCCTCACCAATATTAAAAAGTAGTGAAACAAGATGGTGTTTTCATGTATATTTGAAACTTTCTGAAACAGTATGGTTCAGGCACAAAAATACAGTTGAGGAAACAAAACAGAGTTTTAAAAGAGATCCCCAAGTATACGCCGGGCATGGTGGCTCACATAATCCCAGCACTTTGGGAAGCCAAGGCAGGTGGAGCACCTGAGGTCAGGAGTTTGAGGCCAGCCTGGCCAACATGGTGAAACCCTGATTCTACTAAAAATACAAAAATTAGCCAGGCATGGTGGTGGGGGCCTGTAATCCCAGCTACTTGGGAGGCTGAGGCAGGAGAATCATTTGAACCTGGGAGGCGGAGGTTGCAGTGAGCTGAGATTGTGCCACTGCACTCCAGCCTGGATGACACAGTGAGACTCGGTTGCCAAAAAAAACAAAACAACAACAACAAAAAAAACAGAGACCCCAAATATATATAGCAATGTATTAACTGATAAAAGTAGCCTTTCACTTCAGTGGAGAAAGAATGAGTGTTCAATAAACGGTACTGTGTTAGAAGAAGTAAGCTCTAGTATACAATAATACAGTAAGAAAATTACAACTAATGATAATTTATTGTATATTTCAATATAGCTTGAAGAGAAGAATTATAACACTCCCAACACAAAGATAAATGTTTGAGGCGATGGCTATCCTAACTACCCTGATTTGATCATGACAGATTGTATCAAAATATCACATGTACCCCCAAAATATGTATATCAATAAAAAATAGATGAACTAATAGTATTCAGACAACTGGATAGTTATCTGGGGAAAAAATATAAAGCTGAAGCCCTACCTCATTTTTTATGCCAAAGAATTTCAAATAGATTAAATATGTAAATATTTTAAAAATTCATTACCATGCCAGGAAAAAAAAAAAACATGATGAATACATTTATAATCTCAGAGTGAGAAAGCCTTTCGAAGCCTAACACACCATGAAACCACAGAGAAAGGATGATAAATTTGACTACATTAAAAATATAGGCTGGGCCGGGCACGGTGGCTCACACCTGTAATCCCAGCACTTTGGGAGGCTGAGGCAGGCAGATCACGAGGTCAGGAGATCAAGACCATCCTGGCTAACATGGTGAAACCCCGTCTCTACTAAAAATACAAAAAATTAGCCAGGCGTGGTGGCAGGCGCCTGTAGTCCCAGCTACCCAGGAGGCTGAGGCAGGAGAATGGCGTGAACTCGGAAGGTGGAGCTTGCAGTGAGCCGAGATCGCACCACTGCACTCCAGCCTCAGCGACAGAGCAAGACTCCATCTCAAACACATACACACACACACACACACACACACACACACACACACACACATATATATATACAAACACACACACACACACAGGCTGGGAGCAGTGGCTCACACCTGTAATCCCAGCACTTTGGGAGGCTGAGGCAGGCAGATCACCTGAGGTCAGGATTCGAGACTAGCCTGGCCAACATGGTGAAATCACATCTTTATTAAAAATACAAAAATTGGCCGGGCACTGTGGCTCACGCCTGAAATCCCAGCATTTTGGGAGGCTAAGTCGGGCAGATCACCTGAGGTCAGGAGTTCGAGACCAGCCTGGCCAACATGGTGAAACTCTGTCTCTACTAAAAAATACAAAAATTAGCTGGGCATGGTGGCAGGTGCCTGTAGTCCCAGCTAGTTGGGAGGCTGAGGCGGAGAATTGCTTGAACTCAGGAGGTGGAGGCTGCAGTGAGCCGAGATCGTGCCACTGTGCTCCAGTCTGGGCAACAGAGCGAGACTCTATTTAAAAAAACAAACAAACAAAAATTAGCCAGGCATGGTGGCAGGCACCTGTAATCCCAGCTACCTGGGAGGCTGGGGCACGAGAATCGCTTGAACACAGGAGGCAGAGGTTGCAGTGAGCTGAGACCGCACCACTGCACTCCAGCCTGGGTGACACAGCGAGAATCCATCTCAAAAAAAAAATAAATATACATATATATGCATGCACCAGGTGCGGTGGCTTATGCCTATAATCCCAATACTTTGGGAGGCCAAGGTGGAGCCCAGGAGTTCAAGACCAGCTTGGCATTACAAAATTATCCAAGAGTAGTAGTACACACTTAAGGTCCCAGCTACATGGGAGACTGAGGTAAGAGGACTGCTTAGGCTGGGGAAGTTGAGGCTAAAGTGAGCCATGATCACGACACTACACTCCAGGCTGAGAAACAGAACGAGACCTTGTCTCAAACAAACAAAATATATATACACACACACACAATCGTAAACAGAATCAAAACAAAAGTATAAACAGGGAAAATGTTTGTAGTATCTATGACAGATGAATCAATTTCCTTAATATGCTAACTCCTTTGAAAAATAAGAAATAGATGCTATCTAGAAGGATACCAAAAGAATTGTAAACAATGGTTACGTTTAGAGAATAAGATGAGTGGGAGGTATAGAAAGGGAAGGCTTTTCTAGTTTTACCATTATAGTCTTCTGTACTGTTCGAATATTTTGCAATTATCTTACATTGCCTTTAAGCAAAATATTTTAATAAGCTAATCAATTAGCTGACATTTTCATTTATGCCGTTATCTGCTTTCTGCTGAGCACAGAAATAGAAACCATTTTTTCCCAAAACTTTCTCTGAACCCTTTTCTGAATGTTGTATTTAGAAGGAGCCTTTTGTTGGTCAGCTACACTGGCTCCCCCAAACAGAGGACTACAGAAATGGGGTTAAGAGGGTACTTGGACACAGGCTTACTGTGCAAGTATGTGGGAAGAAAATTTAGCACCTGTTAGCAGTCTGCCTGTGCATGCCTGTCTACTGTGGTGGACATACAGATCTTTTGCTCAAAGGGCTGCTGTTCATTTTATATCCTCTCGTTTAGAAGATTTTGCAAATCATTTTGTCCAAAGACTCTCAAAGTAATCATCACCATCATCATACTTCTCTTCCTCAAGCAATTAATTGACAATCGCTTTAAACCCAGGACAAACCCAAGTTTAAGGTGCAAAGGGTGAGTATAAGGAATTTTCAGCATTGCAGATCCAAGCAAGAGAAAAATGGGGTAACATCAAGGACAACTGTCTTAGGAACTCTCCATTTATGCTTAGGCTGCCCTTGGTCATCTGCAAATGACTATCAAGCTTTGGGCATGTCTCCCCTACAGATAACCTCTCTCTCCAGCCTGGATCTCAAGGGCTCTAGCTACCACAAGGAATTTCCATTACCCTTGTCTTACAGGGGGAAAAATCCACATAAGCTTTGGCATTTTAAAAGATTTCTCTAGTTTCCACTGTTCATTTTTGCATAGTCATGTGCCACGAGCAGCAAACATTGTCAAGAATCTCTGTCTTTCAGATGTTTCTACGAGTCTGAAAATTACTCTTTAAAGATTCACAGTCAAGTTTCTAAAGACGGAAAAAACAAGTTAGATTAAAATCCAGCTCACAGACATGCTTATGGAACCAAACAGCTGTGCTGCTGGCAGAGGGACATACTGAAACACTCATGGTAACCCCTCCCATCTTCCACTCAGCTCTGCAGAGCCCCATCTGATTACTGCACAAAAAGGCTTTTTCTTATAAACTTCTCTCCCTTCGACTTCTGTCTCCATCTTGGTTGGAAAAAAACCAGCACTAGTGATGGAATGTACAAAGCTCTGCAAATATTCATGAGAAAATGCTGCTTTGAATCCACATACTCCCCAGCTCCCCTAGCACATACATGCATCAGAAAAAGGGGATGCACAAAGAAACTGATTGGCATCTGTGGTTCTTTAACTTAGGCAAATTATGAGGCCTTCCCAAAACAGGCAGCAAAATTCAAGAAGGCAGAGTCCTATCTTGTCAGTCATACATTGAACCTTTAATTGAATAATTAATCTAATAGCCATTGATTGATAATGGAAGATGTGCAGCACTGGAAATACAGGAATAGAGTTGTATGTGGTATAGTGTGCGAGAGCTTGGACCATGGAGTCACATAGTCAAGGTTTGATTGCTGCGTCCATCACTTGGTTGTATGACCTTAAGCAATAATGCAACAAATCTGAGCCTGTTCCTATCCCTAAAATGGAGATACCTGCTGTAAAAAAGTGACACAATCCTAACAGTGCCCACCCCTCTGTGAGCTCTCAAATTCCTCCTCACCTTAGTTTGTTCCTCATGTTTCCCTCTCCTCTAGCCCCTCAAAGGTCCCTCCTCAGTTTCAGTCATTCTTCCACCTTCCCCAAAACCTTCATTCACACTCCAAGTTCAGCAGATACAAGAAAAGTAAGGCATAAAAGAAGGGAAGGTCACACTCCATCTCTCCAGCTCATCCTGCGTACTTTCTGAGGCAGCAGATAACAGATCACTTGTTATCATTTTGTAATGGGTTGGGGTTTCCCAAACAGAAATGCTGCTTTTATGGCAGCAGTATCTAATCACACCTGGTCACATTAGAGAACGCATAACAACAGGTATGGAATACTTCCCCATACTACTAGATGGCAATAGGGCAATTTCCTCATCCCAGTTGACTACAGAGCCAGGGACAGGTTAGATCTAAAGAACAAGATCTTTCCTTGAGATTCTGCTAGTGGCACATTACCTGTTATGCTAGGACCATTGTGTTGCAGTCCATGGCCCCTACCATTAGAATAAACAACAGGATTTCCCAGCCACATCAAGAACAATTCTGGACTGGCCAAAAAGAAAACAAACAAACAAAAAAAACTTCTAACTGTTATTTTGTCTCTCTAGACCTTCAATCTGAAAAAGTAAGTATCTTGAATGGTCTCTTAACATTTCTTCCAGTATTAATATTCTGGAATTCTAAAGTCAAGCTATTTAGCTACTATGTATCAGGATTCAAAAATTCTGTACAAGTTACTCTTCGTGTCCTAATTACGTACAATTTTCTGCAATTTAACTGAAATCTCTTTTATCCTAATGAAAACAAAGACCAGCTGGTTCTCATGTTCCAGAAAAAAACTCCTCATGTTCAGTACTTATGGAGCATTATCATCTCTGCCTTCCCATCGCAGGATCAACATTCCTTTACTGAATAATCGCATGTGGAATGCCCATGAGGTATACTACACTAATAGTGGCTCCTCTTGGTTCCTGCAGTCCAGCTCTGTAATCATTTGGGGGAGTATGTGTGGTTTCCCTCTGAAGCCTCTCCAGGTTCCTGACATCCTCACACTGAAGTCCAGAATTGGAAAAGATATTCACCAAAGAATCTATAGCACACTCTCTTTTCTCCGTCTGTCTGTCTCTCTCACTCTCACTTGCTCACTCTCTCTCAGGGCTCCTTGACATAAGTAATGATGTATTCTGTGTGTTGTTTGATGTTCAGTATATTGTGGAGACCAAATAAATATTAAAACAACAAGAAGCACAACCACGCGGTGGCTCACGCCTGTAATCCCAGAACTTTGGGAGGCCGAGGCGGGCGGATCATGAGGTCAGGAGATCAAGACCATTCTGGCTAACACGGAGAAACCCCGTCTCTACTAAAAATACAAAAAAAAAAGTTAGCCGGGCGTGGTGGCGGGCGCCTGTAGTCCCAGCTACTCAGGAGGCTGAGACAGGAGAATGGCGTGGACCTGGGAGGCAGAGCTTGCAGTGAGCCGAGATTGTACCACTGCACTCCAGCCTGGGCAACAGAGTGAGACTCTGTCTCAAAAAAAAAAAAAAAAAAAAAAAAAAAGAAGCACAACCATATTACTACTAAAATACTTTCAATTTTGGAGACAGTGGTTGTTTTGAATTCAGACAAAAATCTCCTGCTCACTCAACATGATTTTTTTTTTGGTCTGGAAATGCTACAAGTGTTTTAGCTAAATAACAGACCATTTTAAAATAAAGATTTCCAGAAGAATAGGAGCAATTCTTTCCATGAAGAGCGGTTAGCTTTTTGTTCATAGACATGATTTTTGTTGACTCAGTCTGCATTTGTTTTAAACAGCCACTTTCAGGCCCTGGTGGGTAAAGCTGAGCTAATACTCCTCATGGAAAGTTTTACAAACACACAGTCACCCAAACACAATACGCCGGAGCAGAGGATTCCTGCGCCAACAGATGTTCCTCACCAGGAGGAAGGGAGGGAAGTTAGTTTTCCAAATGGAGCAGGATGGTCCCAGAAGGGATCATAACCAGATTCAGAAAAGAGGTTTCCAAATCTAGTTCAACTCAGAAAAATATCATGAGCCTTGCTTCTCTTGTACTACGTATGATAATGGTAATCACGGCAGGGACCCAAGGCACAGCACTCATAAACTCATTTGACGCCGAGGTGCCAAGTACTGGGCTGGGCACTTTAATTATTTCATTTCCTCCTCACAATAACTCTTTGAGGCATATATGATCTCTATTTTAGAGCTGAAGAAACTAGAAAGCAAAGAGGATAAGCAACTTGCCCAAAGTAAGCTAGCCAATAACTGACTGCCTGAATTCAAGTCCAGGTTTAATTTCAGAGAAGCAAATTGACTTTAATACAGATTCAAGCCAGAAAAAATACAGGCCAATTTTGAAGAAAAGCTTCTGCTGCAAGTCCAAATATTAACAAATACTGAAAACAGCATTTAGACCAATAATGACTTGCCTTAAGAATGGAAAGCTGGCTGGGTGTGGTGGCTCACGCCTGTAATCCCAGCACTTTGGGAGGCTGAGGTGGGCAGATCACTTGAGATCCGGAGTTCGAGACGAGCCTGGCCAACATGGAGAAACCCGTCTCTACTACAAATACAAAAATTAGCCGGGTGTGGTGGCACACACCTGTAATCCCAGCTACTCGGGAGGCGGAGGCAGGAGAATTGCTAGAAACCGGAAGGCGGAGATTGCAGTGAGCTAAGATCGCACCACTGCACTCCAGCCTGGGTGACAGAGTGAGACTCTGTCTCAAAAAATAAAAAAAAGAAAAAAGAAAAAGAAAAAAAACAGGAAGCTGACACCAGGGTCAAGGAGTAATGGACAAGACAGGTACTATAGAGATCTCCAACCACATCCCATTCACTATAGTCTTTTCTCTCCCCTTCTCCAGTTTTCCATCGCTTCCTTTTCCCATATCCTTCATTTTCCTTTTGTACTGCAGCATAGTGTTGAATATGAACTTTGCAGTCAGATGATCCTGTGTTCAAATCTAGAACTCACATCTTACTGTGTAACTTTGGCAGATCATATAACTTCTCTAAGCCTAAATTTCCTCCACTATAAAAGGGGGATAAAATCCTCTACCTTTTAGGGTATTTAAGAAATTATATCAAATATACATAAAGAGATGATCAGATCACTAGTAGGCTAAATGGTATTTCTTTTTGAGAGTCAGTGAGGTTTAGTGGAAATGACATAAAATTTAGAGTTAAACAGTCTTGAATTTGAATTCTTGCTCCACCACTTACTGGCAAGTCCTATAAACGTTCTATGCCTCAGTTTCCTTATCTACAAAATGGAGTAAATAATATAGATCTAATAGAACGTGAATGAAGTGATAAACATTTACAATTGTATCTGGCTATCAATAGGCATTTAACAAATAAAGCTGCTTCTCAGTAGAACTTGCAGTAGCTGACTTGTCCTCTAGTAGTCCCTAGTTGGTGACAACTGATCTATTTACTCAGGCATTTCACCACTAAGGACCAGGAAGAGTGCCAAAGCACTAAGGAATTTTAACTTTGAACCTATCTTTTGAGGCTGTAAATATAAAAAGACAGAGAATGATACAATGCAATAAAAAGACCACCATAAGGAAGCCTGGGTCTGTTCCAGCTTGAGCACTAACCACCTGTATAATGCCATAAATTACATGGCCAGATCTGTAACATATGAGGGTTGGCCTAGATTAGTGGCTAATGTCCAGACATTTTTTTTTTTTTTTTAAGATGGACTCTTGCTCTGTTGCCCTGGCTGGAGTGCAGTGGTGCGATCTCGGCTTACTGCAACCACCGCTTCCCGGGTTAAAGCAATTCTCCTGCTTCAGCCTCCCGAGTAGCTCGGATTACAGGCATGCACCACCATGCCTGGCTATTTTCTGTATCTTTAGTAGAGACAGGGTTTCGCCACGTTGGCCAGGCTGGTCTTGAACTCCTGACCTCAGGTGATCCACCCGCCTTGGCCTCCCAAAGTGCTAGGATTACAGGCGTGAGCCACTGTGCTCAGCCTGGACATGTTTTTTATTGTCACAGTTGGGGGATTGCTACTGGCATCAAGTGGGTAGAGGCCAGGAATGCTGCTAAACATTCTACAATGCACAGTACAGACCCCCACAACAAAGAATTATATGGTCAAAATGTCAACAGCGCTGAGGTCAACAAACTCTGGCCTAGATGACTAACAAGTTCTCTTCAAACTCTAACATACTAAGAGGCTATGACAAGGCAGCACTGACACAGTTTGTGCATCTGTCCCCTCCAAATCTCATGTTGAAATGTGACCCCCAATGTTGGAGCTGGGGCCTGCTGAGAAGTGTTTGGGTCATGGGGACAGATCCCTCATGAATGGCCTGGTCCCCTCCCCACAGTAATGAGTGCGTTCTTGCTCTATTAGTTCACACTGGAGCTGACTGTTTAAGAGAGTGGCCTCCCTCCCATCTCTCGCTCTCTCTCTCTCGCTGTGACAAGACTGTCTCCTTCCCCTTCTGTTACAACTGGATGCTCTCTGAACCCTCAGCAACAGCAGATACTGGCACAATACTTTCTATAAAGCCTGCAGAATTGTGAGCCAAATAAACCTCTTTTCTTTATAAATTACTAAGCCTCAGGTATTCCTTTATAACACAAAATAGACTAACACAAGCACCAACACTGATCAGGTGACATTCTTGTCAACATCTACCTCTGAATGGCTTCTTAAGATGCTGCTCTAAATCCCCCTAAAGTCAGATATTTAGATACTCCCTCCATATCCACTAAGGGAAATTTAGATAGTTCCCTCAGATATTTTGATATCTGAAATCAATGCCATATTTCTGAGCAGTCCTTCCTTTGTAATAAGAAGAAACCTAGGGATGAAAGACACACTGTATCCTTTATAGTTAGAATCCATGCTTCCAAAGTCATGAGATTCCTTCTGGGAGAGCAGATAATTTAAATAAATATGAATCAAGGTCAGGTGTGGTGGCTCACACCTGTAATCCCAGCACTTTGAGAGGCCAAGGCAGGCAGATCGTTTGAGCCCAGGAGTTTGAGACCAGCCTGAGCAACACAGTGAGACCACATTTCTACAAAAACTACAAAACTTAGCCGAGCATGGTGGCACACGTATCTGTAGTCCCAGCTACTCAGGAGGCTGAGGTGGGAGGATCACTTAAGTTCAGGAGGTTGAGGCTGCAGTGAGCTGTGACTGCGCCACCCTACTCCAGCCTGAGTGACAGAGCGAGACCCGGTCTCAACAAAAAAAAAAAAAAAAAAAAAAAGAATCAAGGTTAGAAGATGTGACACACACAACAGTAAAGATGAATCTTGGCCAGGTGTGGTGGCTCACGCCTGTAATCCCAGCACTTTGGGAGGCCAAGGCAGGTGGATCACAAGGTCAGGAGTTTGAGACCAGGCTGGCCAACATAGTGAAACCCCGTCTCTACTAAAAATAAAAAAATTAGCTGGGCATGGTGGCAGGCGCCTGTAATCCCAGCTACTCAGGAGGCTGAGGCCAGAGAATCACTTGAAACCAGAAGGTGGAGGTTGCAGTGAGCCATGATCGCACCACTGCGCTCCAGCCTAGGCAACAAGAGCGAAACTCCATTTAAAAAAAAAAAAAAAAAGATGAATCTCAAATACATCACGCAAAGTGAAAGAAGCCAGATTCAAACAACTACATACTGTTTGATTCCATTTTTATGACGTTCTGGAACTGATAAAACTGTAGGGACAGAAAACAGATCAGTAATTGTGAGGGCCTGGGGAAATAGACTATAAAAGAGCATGAAGCAATTTTTGGGATGATAGACTATTTTGTATATTGATTGTAGTGTCAGTTACACACCTGAATGTGTTACTGTACATTAAAAAGGTGAATTTGGCCAAGCGTGGTGACTCATGCCTATAATCCCAACACTTTGGGAAGCCAAGGCGGGAGGATCACTTGAGCCCAGGAGCTCAAGACCAGCCTAGACAATACAGCAAGACCCTATCTCTATTAAAAATAATAATAAATAATTGTTAAAAAAGAAAAAAAGGTAAATCTTTCACTATATCTAAATTATACTTCAATAGACTGACCCCTCCTCTCAAAATTTGATCACTAATGCTGTGGAGAGCTGGATGTGGTGGCTCACACCTGTAATCCCAGCACTTTGGGAGGCCAAGGCAGGTGGATTACTTGAGGTCAGGAGTTCGAGACCAGCCTAGCCAACATGGCGAAACCCTGTCTCTACTAAAAATACAAAAATCAGTTGAGCATGGTGGCACACGCTTGTAGTCCCAGCTACTCAGGAGGCTGAGGCACAAGAATCGCTGGAACCCAGGAGGCGGAGGTTGCAGCGAGCCAAGATTGAGCCACTGTACTCCAGCCTGGGTGACTAAGACTCTGTCCACACACCCCCACCCCCCACTCCAAAAAAAAAAAAAAAAAAAAAAAAAAAAAAAAAAAAAAACGCTGTGAAGAGGATAAACTGGGTTACATCCAAATTCTTTTCCACCCCAAGTCCTAAGATTGTATAGATTCCACCTTTCTTACCCGTCCGTGGTGGCCTCAGAGCCATAGTGATTAGGGTTAAACCTGAGCTCCAATTTCTGTGTTAAAGCAATGAGGGCCTCTGATTGTATCATGTAGATATGAGTCCTGCCACCACTCTGGGACCTCTGGCTCCACTCCAGCTTGTGACAGAGGTTCCCTTCCTTCTCTTTCCTATCCTAACTCCTCCTGGGACCAATGAGGGACTCAGACAATTAATAAACAAGCCAGAAGAAACCTCAGGAGACACTGGTTTATCTCTCTGCACAGGCTTCCTGTCTGGATCTCATTTGATCTTTCCATCAAATTTCAAATCAGGCAAAAGAAGAATCATATTTATGAATTTCCCTCCTCTATGGCCTTTTGGGCTTTCACTAGATTTTTATACAGTTAAGACACATAAATGTAAAATACGGGACTCACAACCAAACTCATACTCAAGCTTAATGATACTAATACACACACACAGACACACACACACACACACATAAAATTTTAACACATTCACACACCCCCTCTAAGATGACTGATTTATCAAATGTTATACAAAATAGTTAATTCCTCTTATGTACAGAACAGCCACACGTATGCCATGGCCAGGCAGGTCTCAAACAGCTATCAGAATGCTCATACTTTCCGCTAACAGAAAGGCCACTGTCTTCTACGCCACAAATACAGTCACAACTGTGGACTGTTATAGGAGTCCCATCTTTCTTACTCAAAGTTAGTTACTTTGCTGGTTCTTCTTGGAGGAGCTCAAGGGAATGGTTACAAACACTAGTAACCAGATGCCTCATACACACTTGAGTGCTGGGATAAAAAATCAAGGGCCACCCTGGCATGGTGACTCATGCCTGTAATCCCAGCACTTTAGGAGGCTGAGGTGAGCGGATCACCTGAGGTCGGGAGTTCGAGATCAGCCTGACCAACACGGAGAAACCTCGTCTCTATTAAAAATACAAAATTAGCCAGGCGTGGTGGCACATGCCTGTAATCCCAGCTACTCAGAAGGCTGAGGCAGGAGAATCGCTTGAACCCAGGAGGAGAAGTTGTGGTGAGCCGAGATGGTGCCATTGCACTCCAGGCTGGGCAACAAGAGCGAAACTCCATCCCCCCAAAAAATAAAATAAATAAATACATAAATCAAGGGCCACAAGACAAGCCTAGACCTGCCCCTGTCCTCGTATTCAAAAGGACAGAGAAGACTCAGTGGAGGGCAGGTAATGTCCACACTGCTCTTTTGTACTGAGCATTAACAGCAAACACATTAGGACTACAAAGGTGAGATGCTTATATAACAGAAGAGGCCCACTGTGACAGCAAATCCCACAGTGGTCTACGGTCTTATTTCTGTGTGTTCCTTTCAGAAGGGAAGAATGGGGTAATTTAGAAATATTTAAATTTAGAAATATCTAAATCTGTGATTTAGAAATATTCAATCATCTTCAGAAGTCTACAATAGCAGAAAATCAGTACTGTCTCCTCTGAGTCACTCAGACTTGATAATGTTGTTCCTTTGACATAATTATTAAAAGCTTTATAGCTGGGTGCAGTTACTCATGCCTATAATTCCAGCACTTTGGTAGGCCAAGGTAGGATAATTGCTTGAGCTGAGGAGTTCAAGACCAGCCTGGGCAACATGATGAAAACCTGTCTCTACAAAAAATACAAAAATTAGCTGGGCATGGGGGCACACACCTGTAGTCCCAGCTACTCAGGAGGCTGTGGTGGGAAGATCACTTTCAGCCCAGAAGAAAGAGGCTGAAGTGAGCTGAGATCATGCCACTGCATTCCAGCCTGGGCAACAGAACAAGATCATCTCCGCCCCCCGGCCCCCCACCAAAAAAAAAAAAAAAGTTTTATGAAAGACTGAAATATTTGTCAGAAAACATAGTTTGACTTTTTATTCAAAGTTATATAGAATCCTAGGCAATGACTGTCCAGGTTTCCCCAAAAATATTTCTATTTCCAGTAGTATTTCCCAAGGATATATTCCCATAGTCTTTTCTTTCATATGTGATATGATGATAATGAACCATGAAAGGCCAAGTAAATGGCTTTTCCAATTTTAGGTTTGGACTTTTGCAAAGTACCCTGATAGCTGCTGGGGCAAGGGCTACTGTCTGTGGCCATAGAAGTGAATGAGGCAAGGCTTGCTGGCCATGATGGGGTCTGAGTACATGGCCTTTAACAGTGCTCAAACCAAGACAACACTGCTGCTTCAGAGAAACAGAGAAGTCCTGTAGACCCACTGGCCAGACCTCCTGCTGCCTTGGAAACTTGACCGAGAGCTAAGCAGAACCACAAGACACATGACGGGTGACCAACAGGCTCAGCTGGCAAAGCCTTGGCTGCTCAAACAGCAGATTGATAAGATTCACCTGCCTCCTACCTACCTTGCAGGCTGGCTGACTAGCTGTCTAGCCCTTTTCCACTCTACCTAGGAGGACAAGTACAAGCCTAAGGTTCAAAGAAGATACTAACCTCTATAATTCCCTTGTGCACATGGCTGTTCACCTATCATAGGAGCAGAACACTACCTGAGCTAACTTATACCCACCTGAATCATGAGGAGGCTCAAGCCTAAATGGACACTAGCCAACTTTGATGTCTTGTTCAAGCAGTCTTTTCCCACCTTCTTTGTTCTTTCTGGAAGTGATACCTCTCACTACCATTTCTCAGACCAAAACATCATTAGTTTCAGACAAAAGTATCATAAGAAATAGCCAGGACTCAGATTTCATGTTAATTTCCCAATGATTATCCAGTTATGAAGAAATGAGGAAATACACGATATTACCGCATTTGAAATAAGCTTCTTTTGTTACCTACCATGAAAATGGTTACTTGAAAAGGCCAATGGTTTCTTGATGTATTGAAGTTTCTTCTTTTTGAAAATCTGTTAGTTATTTCAAAGTTTTCTTAAAGTACCAATTAGAGTACTTCCAATCTGTACAACTGTGCTATACTAACCTTGCAAAGTATCTTTATAATAAACATCTTAAATATTATACATAAAAAAAGAACTGAGGTGAAAGAAAAATGATAAATGATATTACCACATCTTGAGATGCATACTGGGGATCCTCTGGGTTGACTGACCAGTAGCAGTAATCAAAGCCAAATGCCATAACCTTCTCCCGGGAGTCCCCAAAGCCATCTGGTCGATTGTCCACCTAAAATCAAACATAGGATCCAGTGTCTTTTCTATCATAATATTAGAATCTGGCCAGTGGCACTTGATCACCCTCTACCATAGCTAGAGAGACTTGGACTGGTCATGAGACTGTTTATATTATCTTCCTGAAAAAGAAAAGGTAATCTTTCTCTCCATCTTATTAGATACAAATAAAGCACAGATAACTAAATTTGTCTGTCATTCTATCATATATCTGCCTACATATGAACCAACTATATGAGATGTGGTAAAGCTTGGGAGAGAAAGCCTCTCCCGCTCTGGGCATCTTCTTATCACTACAGGTTGAATGTCCCTTCTTTGAAATGCTTGGGACCAGAACTGTTTCGGAATTTTTTGGATTTCAGATTTTTTTGGATTTTGGAATATTTGCATATACATAATATCTTGGGGGTGAATCCAAGTCTAAACATGAAATCCTTTTATGTTTCATATACACTTTATAAACATAGCTTGAAGGTAATTTTATACAATATTTTTAATAATTTTGTTCATGAAATAGTTTTGGCTGCAACCCATCACATGAAGCCAGCTGTGAAACTTTCCACTCATGGCGTCATGTCAGCATTCAAAAAGCTTCAGATTTTGAAGGATTTCAGATTTCAAATTTTCAAATTAAGACGTTCAACCTATATTATTTCTTTTCTAAGTATTTCTGCAGAGGATACTGGGAGTACGTGAGTAGTTTGGCCATGGTGCCTGACAGGCTTCATCAACCTGGGGCTTTCACTGAGGTTCCTGGAATATTCAACCCCCATTTAGACACCACATTGGACAGAAGAGTCAGAAGCAATGTAGCTGCTCAAGGTAGATGAGAGTAGAACCAGAGCTTGGCCTTGCACTGACCTCCAGGTACTGAGGAGAACAGCATTATTCACAGAAATGCCTTATCTTATACACTCCGGACAGGGAAAGACAACCCTGCCACTAGCCATCATAAACTACAGAAGAATTAGGCTGCCAGAATGATTAAGAGATTCTTCCTGGATAACTGACCACAGGGAAGTCAGCAGCCAGGGAGGTGTGCAGAAGGCAGATTAAAGTTTGATCTTGGCTGAGACTTATTCTTAAGAACCAAAAACATGAGAATCTTACAACAAAGCAGCTGAAGTGATTAGGCGACAGCAATATAAATAAGAGACAGCAGAGAATAAAAGGTCCTTTGTCCCTGGGGAGCCCCGTTGAAAGTCTGGTAGGTCCCCATTGTTTTTTAGCAGAGAACTAATGACAAGAGGAAACACATCACATCACAGGAGTAACAAGAGAGCAGGCATGACTGTGAAGACTGGGGTCCAAATAACTCTGTTTTGCCAGTTTCCTCAGCTCTCAGGAATGCTGAGTACCACCTGCAAGCTGACTATAGCAAAAGTCACATGGTCAGCTTCCCCAGTCTCTCTCCACTCCCCAAGGCCCAGAAAGAAAGAAACCCCTCCGTCTTCTGTTTGCCTGGTAAATGGAGTAACAGGATGGAGAAAAATTAGCCCTAAGGGAGACTGAGGGGTACGGAAGGAAGTTCCAAATGTCTGTCCAATTATGACTCTAAGTTCAGTAAGATCTGTGAAAGAGAATCTGTAACAAAACCCAGGCTAGTGACTGACTCCCTTCTGGGATCTGAAAGATGTTACTTGGATCTCAGTATAGCTAAAAGAAACCCTGCATTACCAGGTGCATACTACAATGCCTAATAATGTCTCTAGATAAAGTGGTATCAACTGAAAAGATAAGGACAAAGTTTAACTGGTGGTCAGGTGAGTTAAATAGAATATGGATTGCCTGCAGCACGATTTAAGTTAACTATTGCCCCCAAAACATCCCAAGTTTACTTTCAAAACATCTACCAACTAATTTCCAAAACAGATGCACCCTATCTGATAAAACTTAGGCTGCAGCAGCCAAATGCCCTGCACTTCTTTCTTGATTTCTTGATTTGCTTTATGATTGGCATAAGCTCCTCCCCCTATTCCTCTTATATACCCCTTCCTCCCCAACTCTAAACACATTCACATATACACCTTCAGCCTGGAAGCCCCTGTAACAATATTAGCTCCTCAGTGGAAAGAAAATGAAAAACAATTTCAGGCTTACCTTTAAATTCCTGATTTTTGCCACTTTGCCATCAACTTCCACAATAATTCTTCCCCCTTCTTTGGTCTCCCTAGAAACAAGACCCAAGCTCAGAAGAAATGTTGTTTTTAAAATCAAGAAAAAAGAGCCTAAAACCAGTGCTAGTGGGACAAAATATTTCCCTACTGCTGTACCCTTAAGAGAAGCGTCTGTCTCCATAAATGGCTATAAGCGTCGCATCAAGCAGTCCCCTAGCTGGCATGCTTCCCTGGATCTTTACAATTTGGCTCTGCAACAGCTCACATTCACATTTAGTACCCTCTATGTGTAAGGCACTTTATTAGGGGCACTACATATTGTTCTTCATCTTACGCTATCCTCCTACGTATCCTCCTGACATAGCTTGCTAACATATCATTTTTACAGGCAGAGGACTAAAGCTGAGAGAAATTATGTAACTTGTCCAAGGTCACACAGCTATCAGTGGCAGAGCTAGGATTTAAACTCATATTTGTCTGACCAGGAAGCCTAGGCTCTGAATTATACCTTAGAAGTCAGGCTTAGAAACCCTAGAGAGTGCGGGGAGCAGTGGCTCACACATACAATCCCAACTACTTGCAAGACTGAGAGGCAGGAGGACTGCTTGAGCCCAGGAGTTCAAGGCTGCAGCAAGCTATGATCACGATGCTGCACCCCAGCCTGAGTGACAGAGCAAGATCTCATCTCTCAAAAGAAAAGAAACTCTAGAGAGCATCCTTGGCCCAGCATATAACACGGCATCATCTCTCATTTTCTCCAGCATTTTGGGCATGGATATTGACAAAAAAAAAGTATTGGAATCCTCTCTGCTGAGACCCTGAGAATATATTTCTCAAATCCTTTCTTTATATCTTCTTAAATCAGAAGCAGGGCCAAGCTCCTCAAGAATCTTCCTATGTTGCAGTTATGTGGTAATACTGCTAACAACTAAACAATCTCTACACTCACTTTAATGGGCTTAATCCAGATGACCCACATACCTGATACCTATCCTTTTTCATAATATGAAAAGCCACAGCTAAAGTACTCATGACCAAAATGTTAACAGATGAGAATTAATTAGAACATCCTCCACTACAAACAATAAAAGTTATCAATTAAATTACTCCTAGCCTAGAACCTGAAAGTTGAGACAATACCTTCAGTCTTATTTTTTATCCTTCCTCAGGCTTCCCAGGCTATGACCTAGAGGACTGGGGGTAGGAGAAACACAGTGAGACAGGGGTCTTTAGATTTAATTTTGTTTATTGATTTATTTAGAGACAGGATCTCACTCTGCTGCCCAGGCTGGGGTGCAGTGGTGCAATCATAGCTCACTGCAGCCTCAATTTCCTAGGCTTAAGCATTTCTTCCACCTCAACTTCCCAAGTAGCCAGGATTACAAGCACTTGCTACCATGCCCAGCTAATTTTTTTGTTGTTGTTGTTGTTGACGACACAGATTGGTATTGAACTCCTGGGTTCATGCGATTCTCCTGCCTCAGTCTCCAAAAGTGCTGGGATTACAGGCATAAGCCACACTGCCTGGCCCCTTGTAAAACGTTTAAAAACCAGACAGCCAAGCACAGGGGTCTGAGGAATAAAGATTGTTGTAATGTATTCTTTTATCAAATGTTCATAAAAACTATTGAAGTAGTTATCCCTATTTTACAGACTTAAAAACAAAAAACAAAAAAAGCTATGTAGGTTTCCTGTCATCGTGGTCGTCGCCGCCGCTGCTGCTGCTGCTGAGGCTGCTGGCGAGGCCCGAGGATCGGCTGGCGGCAGGGGCGGAGCCAGACGAGGGAACTAGAGGAAGCGAGCGAGGAGTGCGCAGAGCTCGCTTTTCCACCCGCCCTAGGAGCTGGAGCAGACCGGCCCGGCGCCGCCGCCTACCCGCCACACAAAGCCCAGAGCCCGCGTCCACAGCCATGTCCTCCTCCGCTGGCAGCGGCCACCAGCCCAGCCAGAGCCGCGCCTTCCCCACCCACACCGTGGCCATCAGCGACGCCGCGCAGCTACCTCTTGACTATTGCACCACGCCCGAGGGGACGCTCTTCTCCACCACACCAGGAGAAACTCAAATCATTTATGATAGAAAGTTTCTGTTGGATCTTCGCAGTTCTTCCATGGCTCAGACCCCACCTGCCATCTGCCCAATATCCCGGGAGTCACTAGCCCTGGCACCTTAACTGAAGACTCCACAAGTAGAAGTCAATAATTTGAACAACTTGAACAATCATGACAGGAAACATGCAGCTGGGGGGTGATGCTCAGTTGGAGATGGGCATCTGACTCTCCTGCAAGGATTAGAAGAAAAGCAGCAACACTGGTACCTGTGTGCACCTGATTTGGCCAATAGGATCAACAGTGAAAAGACAGAAGAGGCAATACCAGCAGTCCCCATTACAGTCTCCGTCTCCCACTCTTCCTCTGGGTGCCAAATGATGGGAAGATGAGCTTCATCTGACCATTTCTTCTCCCTGTCTCCTGTCCCCCTTCCCAGTTAAACAAGTTAGATTGAAGGCCCTTGGTGTATTTCTGTAGCGCTAAGCAGTCCTTAGAGGAAAACAGTTAAACTCTGGCTTTCCTAGTTTTTTTTTTAGACAAAGTCTTGCTCTGTTGCCCAGGCTGGAGTGGAGTGCAGTGGCATGATCTCTGCTCACTGCAACCTCTGCCTCCCGGGTTCAAGCGATTCTCCTGCCTCAGCCTCCTGAGTAGCTGGGACTACAGGTGGCCGCCACCACGCCGGGCTTTTTGTATTTTTTAGCTGAGACGGGGTTTCACCATACTGGCCAGGCTGGTCTCGAACTCTTGACCTTGTGATCCTCCTGCCTTGGGCTCCCAAAGTGCTGGGATTACAGGCGTGAGCCACCACGCCTTCTAGTTGTTTTTTTTTATTGAGAGCCACCCTCATACCCCTCATTTTTGTTCCAAATCAAATACCAACCTACAACTGCCTGGCTTCTTGTTGTTGTGCTTGGGAAGAAATGGGGAAGTCTGAGGAAGGGATACAGAGGCTTGGTGGGCCTAACACCATTCATGTTCCTTTGTATCCCACCTATGGTTCAGTGTTGCAAGATTCTGGGCTTGGGGTCTTTAAAACTAGCAGGGGGGAATGATAAAAAAGAGAGCTGCTTTTCCTTTTACCTTGAGGTATTTGTCCCTTGGGACAGAGCACAGTTTGTGCAACTCTGGTAGCATTACCCTGTGACACTGTTTTGAGGTCCTCTTCCCTTCTTTCCTCTGGGAGGAATGTCTTCTGTCTTTGGTATTATAGTTCATCTTCCCATTCTTTTACTTAGCACATTTGTGCAGGTATTTTTAACTCTGTACATCAGAAGAGAGCCCTTGATAACCAGTCTTGCTCTTCTTCTGCCATTCCTCCCTGCTTGCATCTTGTTGCTGGCAGAGTCCTCTTGTACTTCAAGAAAGTGAAGTGATTTTGTCTGCTCCTAGAGCAGGTCCACACCAAGTAATAGAGGCACTTTAGCCTCCACTTGGTGGGTAACGCCTGATCATAGTATTGTGTCAGATAATGCCTAAGAATGACCTCTGAAGAGTGTTGACCCATTTGAGTACCCAGTCTCAGTAGTCATTTTTAAGTCCAGTGAGCATTGTGATAGTTGTTCTCAGATTGCAGTTTCTTATGTTTTGAGTTTGAAGTTGATTTTCAGAATGTTCTTAGAAAAGAACTGCATTTTTTTTCCTTTGTGGATCTGCTTTGTTTGGCTGCTGGGATAGATAAGCATGGGCTTAAAAAATGTGTTCTTCCAGTTTTCTTGCCTTTCCTATCGTACTCTGAATTTCCCTCCCTACCTCCCTCACTGTCTTCCTCTCTCCTTCCTTTCCTTCCTTTTTCTCTACCTGGCCATTTTACAAATTTACATCAAAGACAGCTCAAGTGTTAGTATCTGAGAATATCTGTCACTCCTCTTATCTGAGAAGTGACCTTTTATTTTTAAGATGACTACAGACCTATTTTTAGATATGTTTTCAGTACCATTTTGAACAGCAACTTTTTAATTAAACATCTTCCAGTGTTAAGAAGGTGAGAAATGTTCACAGGCGAGTCTGCTGTTCTATGTGACCATGTTTTGTCTCCTCTCATCCCCCAGGAGCTCTTTATTTTCCCCTCTAGTTTTGGGTGTGCATGTTTGGAGTTTGTAGTGGTTGGTTTGTAAAACGACCATTCTGCCTTGTTATGGGTTGTTCATGAAAGCCTCATTCTTTTCTCTGACCCTTTAGCTTTTGCATTCACCCTCCTTCCCACCTACCTCTCCTGGGACTACTGATGGGCATAATAATCCCAGGAGAATGACTCCCCTCATAGAAAGATTAAAGCATCCATCCCCTCATAGTTAAGTAGCCATTGGTGTCCTGGGAATTTCTGGTTGGATTTGGTGCCCTGAACTTTCTTAGTAAGAAATCAGATCCCAGGGTGAGAGTAATAAGCCATTTGGCCAAGAAAGAAACCTGTTTGTTTTCCTTTTGAACTATGAAAAGACCCTGTTTGTGAACACATTTTAGAAAGAAGAAAGGAAGGATGTCTGCAGAACTTTGTTCTGTTTTCTGCTACAAAAATGTGAATAGTTCAGAGTGAAAACCTTTTGTGATGATTGATGTCTCTCAGGAATAAGCTGGATCTCCAATGTTTTGGGGATGCTTTGAGTCTCAAAAACTGATAATCAGAAAAGTATCTTCTGTTTGTTTAATGTATCCCTGTTCTGACTTTAATTAAACTCCAAATCTCATTTTACATATTCTTGGAAAAACTTTAAAAAAAAAAAAAAACAAAGCTATACAGTGGGTAAAGAGTAAGTTTTGACAGGGCAAATAGTCTTCTAGAGCCTACAGTATTGGCAGATCAGATGTGTTCTCATAATGGTTAATTGGAGTAGACAAAGGGCAGCAATTTCATAATGAGATATGCAATTTCTGATTATGGGAAACTGTGAGGTAGAGGGGAGGACATCAAAACCATTTCCTATACAGCAGTATCATTTTATTGAGGGTCAGGCTGGGCGTGGTGGCTCATGCCTATAATCTCAGCACTTTGGGAGGCCATGGCAGGTGAGGTCAGGAGTTTGAGACCAGCCTGGCCAACATGGTGAAACCCCGTCTCTACTAAAAATACAAAAATCAGCTAGGTATGGTGGCAGGCGCCTATAATCCCAGTTACTCAGGAGGCTGGGGCAGGAGAATCGCTTGAACCCAGGAGGCGGAGGTTTCAGTGAGCTGAGATCGCGCCATTGCACTCCAGCCTGGGTGACAGAGTGAGACTCCATCTCCAAAAGAAAAAAAAAAAAAAAATTGAGCGTCAACTCTAGTCCTACTGAATAAATAGGCACTTGAGACACAAATGCAACTTTTCTGTAATCTCAGAAAGAGCAGTAGGTCTAATGAATCAAATCTTGGCTCTTACTACTTTTAGAACTTAAGCCAAACCATTCTGTCATCTGGAAAAACAAAAAATAGAAGCTTGGGCCAGATCATCTGTAAGATTTCTTCCCAAGCACAACATCAGATCCAATGACTGTCAACTGAGTGTGTGCCAATGACTTATTTGAAGGTTGGAACAAACCACATAATCACCAGATTCCCCACATTCAGATAAGCCTCAATGAAGACAGTATAACACCCCCTGAAGAACAGCTGCCATCTCTGCAGGATTCTGTGAGAAGAGGGAAGTGATCCGGACCTCTTGGCTGGGGCCACACTGGGTTTATCTGTATCTGCTCCTGAATCTTCAGCCTGCTACAATCTGTTCACACCTGGGTATCTACAGTCTTGACATCCTACCACTTGCTGCTCAAGGCTCTTAACTTGAGCTGAAAGTAAATAAATTGTGCTTTCATTTTCCCTTCACTTTTGTTTGGTATGTTATTCTCTACTGTGGCTGCAAGTAAACCAATTTCAGCATCATTTTCTTAATCTAATTCATGCTATTATAAATTCCTAGTGTCCGGCTGGGCGCAGTGGCTCACGCCTCTAATCCTAGCACTTTGGGAGGCCCAGGCGGGCAGATCACGAGGTCAGGAGATCGAGACCATCCTGGCTAACACAGTGAAACCCCATCTCTACTAAAAATACAAAAAATTAGCCGGGCATGGTGGCGGGTGCCTGTAGTCCCAGCTGCTGGGGAGGCTGAGGCAGGAGAATGGCGTGAACCCGGGAGGCGGAGCTTGCAGTGAGCCGAGATCGCGCCACTCAACGCCAGCCTGGGCGACAGAGCGAGACTCCATCTCAAAAAAAAAAAGAAAAAAGAAAGAAATTCCTAGTGTCCAAGGAACTGAGAAGTTACTGAATGTTAGGAGTGGTCAATACTGTTATCCTGAGAACCCTAAAAGAACAGTTTCACAAATACAGAATATACCAGAGACTACCTCCAGCATAGCATCTGCACTTATAAAACCCCCCCCAGCCCTGAGCTACCACATCCAGTTATGAAGAAGCCAGGTGTCACAAGCCATTTACCAATCAAAACGCAGCAGGTCAGGCATCTGCTTTCCCTCTTTCTTCAGTGTACCTCTTTTGCCTTCTTCCTATTCTCTTTAACTTTTTGTTTCTTTCTATCTCATTGCTCTTCTCATTAGTCTGTCAATTACAAGACTTTTCAAAGCCAATCATTTCTATATGAGGACGAACATAATCCACACTAGTACCCAATTTTATTATGGGAGACGATACCTTTCTTGATCCTTCTGCCCAATTATCAAGCTATCTTATGTCCCAGAGATTTTTAAACTTGCCAAATAATTCCAACATGTGCCTCCTGGTCCCCAAAGCACCCTCTGCCAGATTTACCTTCCACCACTCACTTCCCTCCACACCAACCACCCTTTCCCCACCAAAACTTAACCTCTAGTTAGTCCCTTACAGTCTAAGTCCTTTGCTCTTGGCGGTCTTACTACATAGAAGGCTCTTTAAACTCTCTCCACCTGTCAACAAACTCTAATTGATCTTTAAAAAACACTTCATCTGGTGACAAAGAGAAAAAAGTTCGTGGCTGCACACTGGATGTCTCAAGGGCTGAGATGAGAGGTGCGGAATCAAAATAAGCCACGAGAAAACGGGCACTGAGGGCTCTGAGAGAAAGAAGGGGTTGGAACAACTTCCCCTACTTAACAGTTCCGTCCTGGATTAAATCAGCTGTCGAGCATAGAAAGAAACCGCGACCTGTGTCGGCCTCAATTTCCCCCTCACGCCCTCACCTTCTGCTTTCTCCACATCTTCGCAGAGAAGCCCACGCGCACCCAGAAACACACACCATTCAGCCTCAGTCCTCATGGGTACTCCCAAGCCCCCAGAAAGAGAGAGGAGAATGCTCATCCCTCTCCCAGCCTTTCTCAAAGGCCCAACCCGATGCAGCAAGCCTCGAGCCGCCGTCCCTCGAAACTCCTGCTGGCAGGACGCCAGCGACGCTCACCCAGGGCAGCCCTCCCGCGGCCGTCCGGGAACCGCTATCCCCAGGACACAACGCGAAAGCTCGACTGAGGTCCCGTCCCGCCAGGCCTCCGTGGATTCCGGACCCCGACCCCCCGGGTCACTTTGTCACCGATTTCTGCGCGCCAGAATCTCTGCAGGGGGAGACGCGGACCTCCCGCTCTTTTCAGCTCCTGTGAAGCCTCAGGCGCCCTCTCCCGCGGAGACTCACCTCTTGCTGAGCGGCCGGACCCGCACGGCGACCTGCACGTTCGCCATCCGTCTGCCACAACCCAAGTCCAGCGGGTCAGCTCAGCGGCAGCATCCCAGGCCCCCGCCCTAAGCCCAGACACAGCCCCAACCCAGCCCCGCCCGCCCCACGCGCCTCTGGGGACGCCGCCGCGCGGACGCGAGCTGCCGCCCGAGCGGGGCGGTGCCTGCCTAGCTTCGGCCAATCCTGAGCCCGGTGGGCGGGAGAACTCCCGGCCCCGCCTCCCCTCAATCCTCCTTAAAGCCTCCTGACTCGCCCCCGCCCAAACACGCGCCGCAGCCAGAGCAGGCGGGCCCGTGTGGACGTTCGGCCAGTCCTTAGCCTGGTGGGCGGGAGGATGCCAGGGCTCGCTCCGCCTCGTTCCATCCGAAGCCTCCCGGGTCGCCCCCGCCCAAACACGCGCTGCATCCCGAGCTGGGTGGTGCCCGCCGAGCCTTGGCTAGTCGGTGGGCGGGAGGACGCCCGGGCTCGCCCCGCCTCGCTCCGCCCTACAGCCTCTTGGGACGCCCCCACCCATGCGCGTGCCGCACCGGGCCCAGCAGTGCCGGCCCAGCTTCAGCCAATCCTGAGCCGAGTGGGCCGCGAGGACTCAGTGCTAAGTCTGTTGTTCCTGGCCCCGCTTACCCAGAAATAGTTTTTGTTCCTCGACTAGGTGTCCGTGCTATGTAAAGTCAAGTAAATCAACTTTTGGTCCGAAAGTTTGCAAAGTAATTTGCTAAATACTTTTATTCTCTGCGTTCGCTTGAACTGTCAATTCTGTGGTTAAATTTTCGAGGCAGGCCGGGTGCAGTGGCTCACGTCTGTAATCCCAGCACTTTGGGAGGCTGAAGCGAGATCACCTGAGGTCAGGGGTTCGAGTTCAGCCTGACCAACCTGGTGAAACCCCGTCTGTACTCAAAATACGAAAATTAGCCGGGCCTGTTGGCGTGCGCCTGTAATTCCAGCTACCCGGGAGGCTGAGGCAGGAGAATTACTTGAACCCTGGAGGCGGAGGCTGCAGTGAGCCTGGATCGCGCCACTGTACTTCAGCCTGGGCGACAGAGCAAAACCCTGTCTAAAAAAAATAAAATAAAAAAATAGAAGGCAGTCCCTTACTGGCAAGGTACTTCCTGACATCAGGGACAAAGCATAGATGGAACCAATTCAGATAAAGGGTTATTGTCCAGGTCTTCTTGTACAACCAAAAGACAGGTGGCTGGTGTTTATCTTTTCCCTTCAAGGCTTGAGGGTTAGCAGCCATATAGATAAGGGCAGTGCTGATCATAAACCCAACTGCATTTGCACAAAATATTAGCGTATCCCTTCCTGCCTTAAATCCTGGTGCTTGCTTCTCTTCCTTACTAATAAATGTCCTTTGTGGCATTTATTTTTCCAGAATAGGGAACTTGCATATGCACCGAAAAGCTGTTCAGGCAGATACCCTTTCTTCTCAATTATTTCCTTAATGGTGTCTAGGAACTCATTTGCTCCCTCTTGGTCAGCAGAAGCTGCTTCTCTTGTTATCTTGACATATTTTAAACCAAACCTTTCCAAATTTATCAAATCATCCCTTACTGGCATAAAATTGTTTGGATCCTTCACCTTCCTTTTGCTTCAAGTTGTCATATAATGACTTTGCTTGTTCTCAAATCATATTAAGAGTATATAGGTATATAGATAGGTATGTTTTCCTTTTTTTTTTTTTTTTTTTTTTTTTTTTTTTTGAGATGTTGTCTCACTCTGTCGCCCAGGCTGGAGTGCAGTGGCGCGATCTTGGCTTACTGCAACCTTCAACTCTCTGGTTCAAGCAATTCCCCTGCCTCAGCCTCCCGAGTAGCTGGGATTACAGGCGTGTGCCACCACACCCAGCTAATTTTTTTGTATTTTTAGTAGAGACGGGGTTTCACCATGTTGGCCAGAATGGTCTTGAACTCCTGACTTCAGGCAATCTGACCACCTCTGCTTCCCAAAGTGTTGGGATTACAGGTGTGAGCCACCACGCTGGCCAGGTATGTTTTTCTTACAGCAATCCTGTACCCACATAAAAGCTTCATTTTCTGTTTGTTGTTGTTGTTGTGTGTTTTTGGTTGTTTTGTTGTTGTTGTTGTTGTTTGAGACAGAGTCTTGCTCTGTTGCCCAGACTGGGGTGCAGTGGCACTATCTCAGCTCACTGCAACCTCTGCCTCCTGGGTTCAAGCGATTCTTCTGCCTCAGCCTCCCGAGTAGCTGGGATTACAGCTGTGCACCACCATGCCTGGTTAATTTTTGTATTTTCAGTGGAGATGGGGTTTCACCATGTTGGCCAGGCTGGTCTCAAACTCCTGACCTCAGGTGATCTGCCCACCTCGGCTTCCCAGAGTGCTGGGATTACAGGCATGAGTCACTGCACCTTGCCAAAAGCTGCATTTTCAATATGAGATAAAAAGACATTTCAGGGCCGGGCACAGTGGCTCACGCCTGTAATCCCAGCACTTTGGGAGGCCAAGGTAGGAGTATTGCTTGAGCCTAGTAGTTTGAGACCAGCCTGGGCAAAATGGTGAGACCTCATCTCTACACAAATTAAAAAATAAAAATAAACTATAAAAAGGTATTTCACAAAAAGCTCAAGGTTTTTGTGCCTCCTGGTGTAGCTGTGGTCATGGCTGCACAATTTTTTTAAATTTTACAATGGTCCTTACAATGGATTCATTTATCATGAAATGGTAGGCAACCACAGCTGCAGATCTATAGTACATATCAAGCAATTCAGCTTTTTCTTGTAATGTCATGACTTTTCTCTGCTTCTTGGGAGCACTTCCAGCATCACTAGTGGCACTTGGTACTGGTCCCCTGATGTTATTCAAGGCTTATGATATTGCACTGAATACGGTGAAAAACACCCAAGAACCTCAAGAGATCACTTTTTATTGTGATACACAGTTTACTGAAGAGAGGAACTGCTATGATGATTAGCATCACAGAGTTTTAAGCAGATGCTGGCAACACTTGACTCACTAAAACAGGAGGCAGTTACAAAATTACAGTAGTACAGTACGTACTAGTTTATAGAGTTATGTTTTTGGGGGGGCTTTCACATTTGTTGATTTTTATTGGCGATCTCTTTTTCAATACAATTTATGGCGTCATCACCATTTCCAGTCTGATTATACAAGTGCTAAGTGGCAGAAAGGTCTGGAATAAATACATTTTTAAAAAAAGGCAAAGCTGTGAAACTAAGTTGCATGCAACAGGTTCTATGAGGGTGGGGGAAGTGTGTGAGAAATAAAACAGAGTAAGACAATGTAATTGGAAGGTTTTAGCTAAAGTTCTTTTCAGTCATCTTTGTCTTTTACTCCATGTTTCAGGATGCTTGTGAACTCGATGTAATTGAAATTTCCCTTTTTGTCAATAGGTGCTTCTCTGTGCAGCTCATCCACTTCCTCATCTGTAAACTGATCCCCCATGGTTGTCATCAGCTCTCTCAGGTAATCTTCCTGAATGGTGCCTGTTGCTTCTTCATCAAAGCAAGCAGAAGCATTTCTGATGACATCTTCAGGATCTGTGCCATTTAACTTCTCACCAAACATAGTGAAATTAATGGGCCCTGGTGCCTCATTCATCGTGGCATCAAGGTATGCATCAGTGGGATTCTTCCCTAGAGAAGCAAGCATATCATGCAAATCTTCCTTGTTGATGAAACCATCTCTGTTCTAATCAATCATGTTGAAGGCCTCTTTGAACTCCTGAATCTGTGACTGGTCAAACATGGCAAACACATTGGATATTGTGCACTGAGGGCATTTCTTGGTGGTCTTCGTCTTTGCCTTTTTGCTCGACATGGTGGTGGTTTAATTCTGGCGCCAAACACCACAACTGGAGCCACCCTGTGCGAGATGACGAGCGACAGTGAAGAGTGTGGGGCTGTGGCCGGACAGTGGCGGCTATAGAGTTATGATTTAATACTGCATTTTAAATTTGCTTACACGTACAGTCTGTGTTTTCATAAAATTTAACTTTTAATTGATTTGTGTGTTTTGTGGTAGTAAATGATAGACTTGTATCTATATATATTTTTTGCATTCAAGATATCTGTAGGCCACACAGTTCATCTGTGAATTTTTCTTTTTCTTTTTTTTTTTTTGAGACAGAGTTTTGCTTTTGTTGCCCAGGCTGGAGTGCAATGGCACCATCTCAGCTCACTGCAACCTCCGCCTCCCGCGTTCAAACAATTCTCCTGCCTCAGCCTCCCAAGCAGCTGGGATTACAGGCATGTGCCACCATTCCTGGTTAATTTTGTAATTTTAGTAGAGACGGGGTTTCTCCATGTTGCTCAGGCTGGTCTTGAACTCCCAGCCTCAGGTGATCCACCCGCCTCCGCCTCCCAAAGTGCTGGATTACAGGCGTGAGCCACTGTGCCTGACCTGTGAATTTTTCAAGTTGTCACAAAGCTCCAAATTTCCAATATATTTATTGAAAAAAAAATTGTGGCTGGGCACTGTGGCTCACTCCTGTAATCCCAGCATTTTGGGAGGCCGAGGTGGGTGGATCACGAGGTCAAAAGATCGAGACCATCCTGGCCAACATGGTGAAACCCTGTCTCTACTAAAAATACAAAAATTAGCCGGGCATGGTGGTGTGCACCTGTAATCCCAGCTACTTGGGAGGCCGAGGCAGGAGAATTGCTCAAACCCAGGAGGCGGAGGTTGCAGTGAGCTGAGATGACACTACTGCACTCCAGCCTGGTGACAGTGAGACCCTGTCTCAAAAAAAAAAAAAAAATTGCATATGCACTTCAAGCTTATATTGTTCAAGGGTCTAATGCATAATTTTTTTAGTAAACTCAATTAGTGGATTCCCCAAATTGTGAGATAAATCTTTTATGTAAATTCATGTGTTTTACAGATATGTGAAGAAATCCCACAATACACTAATTACAGTCTTATTAAAATCTCAACTCTATTATAGATTTTGCATGTCAAGAAATCTTTTAGGTTCTGCTATTCCTCAGACTGTTCCTGACTTCATTGAGGGTTTCAGAGGATAAATCAGGGGTCAGACTGGTAGAGTCACATAGAGAAAGAAAGAAAATAAGAAAAATGCTAGGAAAACCAGGCAGCATCTCAATTCCTCCAGAATGGTCTTCACAAACTGGCATCACTGTTATGCTGGCAATAAATTTGCAAATCTCACACACCTCTTCTAGTGTAAGTAGGAAACACAGACATTCAGGCTAGGTGCAAGGGGCTAACACCTGTAATCCCAGCACTTTGGGAGGCCAAGATTGCTTGAACCCAGGAGTTCAAGACCAGCCTGGGCAACACGACGAGACCTCATCTCAACAAAAAAATTTAAAAGTTAGCTGGGTGTGGTGGGGCACAGTTGTAGTCCCAGCTACTTGGGAGGCTGAGGTGGAAGGATCCATTGAGCCCAGGAGGTTCAGAGTGCAGTGGGCTATGATTGTGCCACTGCACTCCAGCCTGGGTGAGAGCAAGACCATCTAAAAAACAAGAACAACAACAACAACAAAAAAAGGCATGCAGAGCTAATTTTTTTTTAATATCCACACATCTAAAAGTTGAATAATTAAAGAAAAATTAATCAGCACTGATTGACTCTGGAAGAGTATTAAATTAGCTTTCTCTTTGAAGTAGACCTCAGGCTTAACTTACCTCAAGCTCTTTTGATTCTGAGAGCCTATATGCCTATACTGTATAAGTTAAACAGTGCATCAGTCCTTTCTATCACTTTAAATTCAGACTAGGACTAAAAAATTTTAGTTAGAAATTACAAGTTTATTTTTATATTTTGAAAAAGGCATAATAGAAAACAAAAATAAACAACCAGGCATATCAATATTTGTGACATACACATACACACAAAAATGAATATAGGAAATAACACGAAGAAAAAGCATAGTATGTTTTGAAACCAACGTGGGGTATGAACAGATTTTTGATGAAATACAACTAAAGGTTTTAAGTGTCTATGTAATGTTCGAGATATTACGATCACTCTTATCCTACTAGCAAAAATTAGCAAACTAGGCTTTAAAACATGATTCCTGTTGTTTTAGCAGGATTTATTTTGGTAATGATCCTGCTTCCTTATAAACAACTACTTATCATTGTTGAAGTCTTCTTGTGTTAAGGAGTACAATGAGGCCAGGCGCAGTGGCTAACACCTGTACTCCCAGCACTTTCGGAGGCTGAGGCGGGAGGGTCGTTTGAACCCAGGAGTTCAAGACCAGCCTCAACAACATGGCAAAACTCTGTCTCTACAGAAAATACAAAAATTAGCCAGGCGTGGTGGCGCGTGCCTATAGTCCCAGCTACTTGGGAGGCTGAGGTGGGAGGATCACTTGAGCCTGAGAGGTCAAGGCTGCAGTGAGGTCAAGATTGGGCCACACCACACTCTCAGCAACCTGGGTGACAGAGTGAGATCCTGTCTTTAAAAAAAAAAAAAAAAAAAGGAAAGAAAAGAACAAAACAAAAAACAAAACTGATGTACATGTTTTAAAGCAAAATAGAACCCCAAGTCTAAAAGTAAAATAAGCCAAGGTTAGTTACAATACTGATTAAAAAGAGTATATCCTGAGGCAGTTGTTAGTATATCACTCTCTATTATATGCACAATAACCTCTGATAGGTAAAATATCTGAGCATTTTGCAAGGTAAACCTCCAAAGTTATACCACAGTGTGCCTTTTTCTTTGCTGTTTCTTCTTTGCCTATTCCTACAGCTACCAGTAAACACTTAGGAACTGCTTTGTATGCCAGGGTCTCCAAGACTACCTCCAGGTTCCATGATTTGCTAGGAGAATTCACAAGACTCAGCATATCATCACACAGCTATGATTTATTACAGCAAAAGCATATGAAGCAAAACAGCAAAGAGAAAAGGTACAGAGGCAAAGTCTGGGGGAAACCAGGTATAAGCTTCCAGAGTCCTCTAACAGTGGAGTCACACATATCTGTTGTTTCATTCCACCAGCAACTGAATTGTGACAACATGTGAGAAATGTTGTTTACCAGGGAAACTTGTTAGAGATACAGTGCCCAGGGTTTTTACTGGGGGCTGGTCACGTAGGTACCTTCTACCTACCATGTACCAAAATTCTAGACTCCCAGGAAGAAAGCAGGTTTTCAGCACAAACCACAGGTTAGCTACCATGAACGACTCTTTTCAGTGAGTGGAGCCCTCCTGTTAAGGTTTAAATATGTCCCCCAAAGTTCAAGTGTTGGAAATTTAATTGACATTGTAAAAGTGTTATGAGACCTTTAAAAAGTAATTAGGTAAGGAGGGCTTTGCCCTCATTAATGAATTAGTGCTGCTATCTTGGGAGTGGGCTCATGATAAAAGGCTAAGTTTAGACCCATATATCTTTCTCATGCTCACTTGCCATGTGGTGCCTTCTGCCATGGCAAGACCCTCACTAGATGCTGGCACCATGTTCTTGGACTGCCTAGCCTCCACACCTGTCAACCAAATAAACTTCTGTTCATTATAAAATACTTAGTTTGTGTAATTCTGTTATGACAGCAGAACAGACTAAGATACCTTCTGATATCTAAGTTCCCAGATGCAACAGCTGAGGACAAACCTTATAATCAGGCCTTTCAAAGGATAAGTCAGGCTGGCTGTGTTACTCTTTTCTGCATACTTAGTGACATTCCCACAGGAATAATCATCATAGACATTTTCAGATTCAAGAAGACCCTTCTAATTCAGAAACACCTTTTTTTTTTTTTTTTAAGACAGAGTCTTGCTCTGTTGCCCAGGCTAGAGTGCGGTGGCACGATCTGGGCTCACTGCAACCTCTGCCTCCTGGGTTCAAGTGATTCTCCTGCCTCAGCCTCCTGAGTAGCTGGGATTACAGGCACATGCTACCATGCCTGGCTAATTTTTGTATTTTTTATTTTTTTGGAGATGGAGTCTTGCTCCATCACCCAGGTTGGAGTGCAGAGGCACGATCTTGGCTTACTGCAACCTCTGCCTCCTGGGTTCAAGCGATTATTCTGCCTCAGCCTCCCAAGTAGCTGGGATTACAGGCGTCCACCACCATGCCCGGTTAATTTTTTATATTTCTACCAGAGATGGGGTTTCACCATGTTGTCAAGGCTGGTCTCAAACTCCTGACCTCAGGTGATCCACCCATCTGGGTCGGCCTCCCAAAGTGTTGGGATTACAGGTGTGAGCCACTGCGCCCGGCCTAATTTTTGTATTTTTAGTAGAGACAGGTGTTTCGCCATGTTGGCCAGGCTGGTCTCGAACTCCTGACCTCATGATCTGCCCACCTAGGCCTCCCAAAGTGCTGGGATTACAGGCGTGAGCCACCGTGCCTGGCCAGAAACACACTTCTTTTTTTTGAGACAGGGTCTTACTGTGTCGCCCAGGCTGTAGCGCAGTGGCGTGATCATGACTCATTGCAACCATGACCTCACAGGCTTAGGTGATCCTCTTACCTCAGCCTCCCGAATAGCTGGGACTACAGGCATGCACCACCATGGTCGGCTAATTTTTTGTTTATTTTGTAGATATGGGATTTCACCATGTTACCCAGGCTGGTCTTGAACTCCTGGGTTTAAGTGATCTGCCCGCCTCAGCCTCCCCAAGTGTTAGGATTACAGGTGTGAGCCACCACACCAGACGATAAACACACATTTTTAAAAAAAGAGAATTTCCCACCTGAGAAATGGTTAATTCACTTATATTAATAAATTGTCATGGCTATTTTTTAGCTTCTCTAGTTTTACTGAAAGGTAGAATAAAAATATATGAAAAACAAAGGAAAAGTCAGTTTGGTCTTAATGAACCTGAGATCTTGATACTCCAATATAAAGCAGGTTCTTTCAGTATTACCAGCAGCAAAGACTATTAATACCCATGTTACAGTCAACTAGAAATAGACTTCATATGACTACACATAATTAAGCAAAAATAAAGTTGATGACTACTTGGCATTAATAGTTTGGACATGAACTTTAGAAGTAAAAGGTAAAGGAGGCATTATAATATCATGTTTATAAAGATAACTTTCTTCAGCTAATATTTTGGGGATACAAGACGAAACTTCGTTTTGTTGTTTACGCCACTTGAGTATATTCTCTGCCAGTTCTTCTGTCTCAGTCACCAATATATCCATCTTTGCTAAAGCCTGGTTCTGTAACATTTGAAAAGGGAAACAGGAGAAATTATGTCTCTTATTAATTCATTATATCATCAGTAACTGATACCAAAGGTTAACACATGATCTTTTTCCAGCCCCTTACTTCAAAAGCTCCTTAAAACTGTGCTTTCCCACTTCTTACAGTACAAACCTACTCTTTGTGAGTTCAACTCTTTTGTCTTCAATAATCACTCAATGCAGATGACCCTCAATTTATATTGCTAAACCTAACTTCCTTCCTAAAATTCAGGCCCACATTTAAGACTACTGGTAATCTCTATCTGGATGTACCTTCAATATCTCAAACTCAGTCTAACTACAGTTCAAAAATGATTGACCATTTACTACATGTGCAAGATGTGTCAAAAAATAAACTTACTAACCTCTTTTTTTTTTTTTTGAGATGGTGTCTCACTCTGTTGCCAGACTGGAGTGCAGTGGCGCAATCTCAGCTCACTGCAACCTCCGTCTCCTGGGTTCAAGCGATTCTTCTGCCTCATCCTCCCAGGTAGGTGGGACTACAGGCACGTGCCACCACGCCCAGCTAATTTTTTGTATTTTTAGTAGAGACGGGGTTTCACCATGTTAGCCAGGATGGTCGTGATCTCCTCACCTCGTGATCCACCCACCTCAGCCTCCCAAAGTGCTGGGATTACAGGTGTGAGCCATTGCGCCCAGCCCACTTACTAACTTCTTTAACCCACACTTGATACTACTCACCTTCAAGTCACCCAGACTAGAAACTTCATTATTTTTGATGTGTCCCTTGTCCAATTCATAGCCAAGTTCTAAAAATGTGACCTCCAAAATCTAAAAAAATTATCTTCTGTATTCCTATGCTTTAAATCTTTTATCTGAATGACGGTAATTAGTCTCCAGGTTTTTCTGCCTTTGGTTTCTCTGCCTAGTCTTCTAATCCAGAGCTGATCAAACTTTAATGTGCACAGGAATCACCTGAGGAACTTGTTAAAACGTAGATTCTGATTCTGAAGTTCTAGGGTGCATGATGTCTGTAGTTTTGTATTTATAACAAGCTTCCAAGTGATGTTGATACTCTCTGCCCATACTCAAGAGTAGCAAGGCTCAGTCTGCTCTATCCAATATTTTCTCCATGATTAAGGCAGTTCTAATCAAGTCACTCCTCTGCACCCTTCACTAAAAAAAGAAAACACACACACACACACACACACACACACACACACACACACACACATTCAATGGCTCCCCAATACTCAGACAGTAAAGTCTAAGGTTATTAGTCTGGTTTTTAAGGCACTGCATAAACTAACCCTGAGCTAATCTCCTCAATACCTTTACGCATCAGCCAAAGTGGAGTATCACTTTTCCCCCATACTCTCTGGGTTCTTTGACTTTTATGTCTTTCCTCACATTGCTCCTTTTGGCCAAACTATTCTTTCTGATGCATGTCCGAATTTCACTTATTCCTTAAGATTCAGCTTACTTTGGCAAGTGCGGTGGCTCAGGCCTTTAATCCCAACACTTTGGGAGGCTGAGGCAGGTGGATCACCTGAGGTCAGGAGTTGGAGACCAGCCTGGCCAACATGGCAAAACCCCGTCTCTACTAAAAATACAAACTATTAGCCAGGTGTGGTGGTGGGCACCTGTAATCCCAGCTACTTGGGAGGCTGAGGCAGGAGAATCGCTTGAACCCAAGAGGCGGAGGTTGCACTGAGCCGAGATTGTGCCATTGCACTCCAGCCTGGGCAACAAGAGTGAAACTCCATATCAGAAAATAAATAAATAAATAAAGATTCAGCTTACTGCTAACACCTAAATAAATCTTTATTGCAAAGCTGGACATGGTGGCTCATGCCTGTGATCTCAGCACTTTAAGAGGCCGAGGCGGGTGCCTCACTTGAGCTTAGGAGTTCGAAACCAGCCTAGGTAACATAGTGAGAACTCGTCTCTATTTAAAAAACAAAACAAAAACTTTATTGAAGTCTTCCTATCCCTATCCTACTCAGAATCCTCCTAAACTGGAAGTAATTCCTCCCTTTTCTATGCTCAATAGATGGCATCTCTTTGTAATTCTTTGCTGCATTTATTATGCAAATATAATCCTATAAGTAGAAAATGTATATTTTACAGCTGTCTCACCAAACGTTGAGAATTTGAAGGCAGGGATTGGTCATATCTATCTTTCACAATACATGTAGCATAGCCACGGCACAATGAAGCCAACACATGTTTATTAAATGTTGGAATAAAATAATTTAAAATGGCTTCTAAATAAAAATTATATAAAAAAGAAAATGTTAAATCCAAGGTCTAAATAAATAAACACTTCTTCTTCTTTTTTTTTTTTTTTTTTAATGGGAGATGGAGTCTTGCTGTCGCCCAGGATGGAGTGCACTGGCACGATCTCAGCTCACTGCAACTTCTGCCTCCCAGGTTCAAGCAGTTCTCCTGCCTCAGCCTCCCGGGTAGCTGGAATTACAGGCACGCACCACCATGCCCAGCTAATTTTTGTATTTTCAGTAGAGATGGAGTTTCACCATGTTGGCCAGGCTGGTCTCCAACTCCTGACCTCAAGTGATCCACCCGTTGTGGCCTCCCAAAGTGCAGGGATTACAGGTGTGAACTACCATGCCAGGCCAAGAAAATACTTCTTGATTTAAAAATTAACTAGCTCGTAATATTAGCTATTAAAAAGCTAAACTGGGAGAGCACACCTCTAAGTTTCTAGTAAAAAATAACTGAAGATTGCTATATTAATACTCACCATTTTCTTTAGATTTGCAGCTAAATGAGGAATATTTCTAATTGTTTCAAGGTGGGTTTCTAATCTCTCAATGAAAGTCACAGCCAACTCCAGCAAATGTACCATATATCTGAAAGAGAAAGAAAAAAGTCAACCATTTTTTAAAGTTTAATTGTTTTACGTTCCTTTTCTTCTCCTTTAATCAGGACTTTTAATTTGAGATAAGAATTACAATCAACCTAGAGAGCCAATAACAACCTTCCTGCATTCATAGAAATATTAGTGATTAAAAAAAGGTCCTTCTCTTTCACTTTAAGCAACTTGTCATCCAAATAAAAAAATGGAAAGAGACAACAGTAATCCTATCTGGAATCCAACTTAATGTTAGAGAAACCTCAATGTTAATCATTTTCTCCCTAGATAAAAAAACCCCATTCCATTTTCTTTTCTTTTTTTTTTTTTTTTTTTGAGATGGAGTCTTGCTATGTCACCAGGCTGGAGCACAGTGGTGCAATCTCGGCTCACTGAAACCTCTGCCTCCTGGGTTCAAGCAATTCTCTTGCCTCAGCCTCCCAAGTAGCTGGGATTACAGGCGCCCACCACCACGCCTGGCTAATTTTTGTATTTTTAGCAGAAGGGGTTCATTATGTTGGCCAGGATGGTCTCGATCTCCTGACCTTGTGATCCACCAGCCTTGGCCTCCCAAAGTGCTGGGATTACAGGCATGAGCCACCTTGCCCAGCCCCATTTCTTTTTTTTTTTTTTTGAGACAGAGTCTGACTCTGTTGCCCAGGCTGGAGTGCAGTGGCACAATCTCGGCTCACTGTAATCTCTGCCTCCTGGGTTCAAGTGATTCTTGTGCCTCAGCCTCCTGAGTAGCTGAGATCACAGGCGTGCACCACTATATTCAGTTAATTTTTGTATTTTTAGTAGACACAGGGTTTTGTCATGTTGGCCAAGCTGGTCTCAAACTCCCAGCTGGCCTCAAGTGATCAACCCATCTTGGCCTCCCAAATTACCGGGATTACAGGCGTGAGCCATGACGCCTGGCCTCATTCCATTTCAACTTACTCATTCTCTGTGAAGAATGAAGACAATAAGGATAAATGTACTTAACTGAAATAGCCTACATAGAAAGCTACTTTGAATCTCTGCACTTGCAAAAATGCTTTCAAATCATTGCCTAGTTCTTAGATGTAGTACAATATATACATTAAGGGTAATGATAATGTACTAAACAGATACTGAATATAGCCACAAGAAAGGGGTTTTGTTTTCTGTTTTGAGACAGAGTCTCACCCTGTTGCCCAGGCTGGAGTGCAGTGGCACAATCTCAGGTCATTGCAACCTCTGCCTCCTGGGTTCAAGTGATTTTCCTGCCTCAGCCTCACCAGTAGCTGGTATTACAGGCATGTGCCACCATGCCCAGCATATTTCGTATGTTTTGGTAGAGATGGGGTTTCACCATGTTGGCCAGGCTGGTCTTGAACTCCTGGCCTCAAGTGATCAGCCACCTCGGCCTCCCAAAGTGTTGGGATTACAGGCATGAGCCACTGTGCCCAGCCTTGTTTTGTTTTTTTGGAAGAATAAGTTTTTGTATATCTATTATTTTCCTACAAAATAAAAAATCTGACACTTAAGATACTGATTTGCTTAAGCTAGTGAGGCACTGGCGGAGAAAGTTAGCAATGAGATCCCCAGATGCTTGCTTCGTATTTATTTGAGACAGGGTCTCACTCTGTCACCCAGGCTAGTGCAATCACAGCTCACTGCAGACTTGACCTCCTGGGCTCAGGTCACCCTCCCAGCTCAGGAATACAGGTGTGTTCCATCATGTGTTGCTAATTTTTATATTTTTTTTTTTTGTAGAAACAGGGTTTTGCCATGTTGTCCAGGCTAGTATTTATCATTAGTCATAATCTACATCTTCAATTTGATACTTGTAATACTCTGTGAGGAAGAGGGCAATAGAACTCATCTCTATTCTATTTATTGGGAAACTAAGGCAAAAATGTAAATCATTTGCTCAAGGCTTTGAGGCATATAAACAGTAGAGATGAGAACAGAATCCAGGTTTTTTCCTCCCTTAGTTGATAGTGTTTTCATCTGCCCCAGTTAAACCCCGCCAATAGAATTTTTACATATAGGCAACATTAACTCAACAATGAATGTACTTTACAACAATGAATTTACTTCACATACAAACAGTTTTTATTGTTACATGTTATGGATCTAATTTCTTTCATTAAACTCATAATTTATAATTCCCAAAACACGATGGCCAAGTTCTTCCTTTTTGCCATAGGTATAATGGTTTAAAAGCAAAGATTTTCTTTCTGATTTAATATATCACCATTAATAATGTTAACAAATACAATCACTAATTGTTTTATGAATTCTGCTACAAAGTAACTGCAAAACAAAAAGTAAACTCAGAAAACAGGTGTAACTGTTAATTTCTACTTTTCAGTCTAACCTGTGATAAACAGCTTCAATAGGTAAGTTTTCCTGGCACATGGGTTTCAACAGTCTTTGCCTAAGGGATCTCTTCTCTTTCAGCACTGCTTCCAAATGATTATTCATGCTTTGCAGAGTATGACACTTCTGAGCTATACAAATTAAAAAACAGTAATTATAGTTAGCAATAGGACAAATAACAGAATAATTTCTTCTTTGCCTTGGTTTGACACTACCCATGTCAAAAATTCATCCTATCATTACCCTCCTGTCTCCTTTTTGCTGTCTTTAATACCAATACCAATTTCATTTTCAACAACTTTCTCTTAGTCGGTTTTTGTATATCTAATATATTTCTATTATCTCTTTTCCTAGTGATAACCAAATCTAGTGCTAAATTCTTTCTCTGTGTTTCTCATCTCTACTTCTTATTCAGTTCTTATAGCCAGAGCTATATTCTTAACACAAAGTCTTTTTTCCTATCCCTGACTCTAATAGTCTATAAAAGACCATCGAAAAAGAGTCACCTTAGCTGGTGCTCTAGCTCATACCTGTAATCGCAGTGTTTTGGGAGACTGAAACGGGAGAATTGAGGCCATGAGTTCGAGACCAGCCTGGGCAACATAGCAAGACTTCATCTCTACAAAAAAATTGAAAAAACAAAAATTAGCTGGGCATGGTGGCACATGCCAGTAGTCCTAGCTACTTGAGAGAATCAGTTGAAACCACGTGTTGAAGTTACAGCGACCTGTACTTCAGCCTGGGTTACAGAGTGACACACTCTTAAAAAAAAAAAAAAAAGTCATCCTACAAGCTATTTCTGATTATCTCATTATTTTCCCCATTCAGTTAATGGCTGCCAATTGACCTTTCTTTAAAATTCTTCTTTGGAAAAATTCAGATTTGCAGAAAAGTTTCAAAAAAAGCTTGGTGAACTCACACATACATTTTACTTATTCACCGATTATTAACATTTGGCTACATTTTCTTTTTATCTTCTTTCTCTCTCTTCTCTCTCTCTCTCTCTCTCTCTCTAATTTTTGCTGATCCACTTTAGAGTAAGCTGCAGACAGCATGATATTTTTTACCTGTAAAACGTTAGCATGTATTTCCCAAGAAGAGGAACATTCTCCTATATAACTACAGCACATTATCAAATTCAAAAAATAACATTAATACAATACTACCAATATTTAATACAGTCCATATTTAAACATCACTAAGTATCCCAATAATGTCCTTTACAGCAAAAAGAATTTTAATTTTTGAGACAGGGTCTCACTCTGTCACCCAGGCTGGAGTGGAGTGCTACGATCACAACTCATTGCAGCCTCGACCTCCCAGGCTCAAACAATCCTTCTGCCTCAGCCTTTCATGTAACTGGCACTACAGGTACATGCTACAATGCTGGCTAGTTTTTGTATTTTTTTTGTAGAGATAGGGTTTCACCATGTTGGCTGGTCTTGAACTCCCGGGCTCAAGCAATCCACCCACCTTGGCCTCCCAAAGTGCTGGGTTTACAGGCGTGACTCTCCACGCCTGGCCACAAGAACATTTTCTCATCAAATATTCAAAACATTGCCAGCCATGGTGGTATGTACCTGTGATCCCAGCTACTTGGGAGGGTGATTTGGGAGGACTGCTTGAGCCATTCAGGACTACCCTAGGCAACATAGGAAGACCCCATCTCATTAAAATAAAAAATCGATCCATGATCATACAGTGCTTTAGTTGTCATGTCCCTTTAGTCTCTTTTAATCTGAAAAGTTCCTCAGACTTTGTCTTTCAAGTTCTCCTGACTTTGAAGAGCCAATTTGGTGACTTTTTATGCTATTTGTACTACTCAAGCCAACAGAACTTCTATTTCAGCATAGAAATACAAGATTTCATTAGCTTTGGGACAACACCTGGAAAAATGATGGTGTATCATAATTTGACTGACTGGTGCTTATTTACAGTAATCCAAGAAAAAGTTGAAATTCCAGTGATTATCCACTTAACCAAACCACTTACCCAAAAAGAAAGGATGAACAACATCTGCTGTATCTTTTTCTAGTTTCAGGAGTTCAATTTCCAGGTTTTTCTACATGAGGAACAAAAGTAACATTTAGCTCAATCAGAAAGTGTCCATGGCCAGGTGCGGTGGCTCACTCCTGTAATCCCAGCACTTTGGGAGGCTGAGGCAGGTGGATCACCAGAGGTCAGGATGTAGTGAGCCGAGATTGTGCCACTGCACTCCAGTATGGGTGACAGAGTGAGACTCTGTCTCAAAAAAAAAAAAAAAAGAGTCCAGGGGATTTACTGAAGTTTTTCATTTTGCTGTTCTTGCCCTGCTGCTGCTACTCTTACTACTATTACTGTAACTACTATTAGTAAGTAAACATGTAGCTAGCTAGTTATGTGCTAGACACTGTTCTAAGTTCAAAGGAATTGCTGTTTGAACCAATAAAGTTTTTTTGTTTTTGAGACAGGGTCTCCGTCTGTCACCCAGGCTGGAGTGCAATGGCCCAAACATGGCTCACTGCAGCCCCGATTTCCTAGGCTCAAGTGATCCTCCCAGCTCAGCCTCCCAAGTAGCTGGGACTACAGGTGTGTGCCACCATGTCTGGTTACTTTTAAAATTTTTTGTAGAGACGGGATCTCCCTGTGTTGCCCACACTGGTCTCAAACTCCTGGGCTCAAGCAGTCCTCCCACCTTGGCCTCCCAAAGTGCGAGGATTATAGGTGTGAGCCACTACATCTGGCCAACTTTTGTTTTTGTTTTCCTATACTAGGAGTAGAAAGTGAAAAGTTCAGGCCGGGCGCAGTGGCTCACACCTGTAATCCCAGCACTTTGGGAGGCCGAGGCGGGCAGATCATGGGGTCAGGAGATCGAGACCATCCTGGCTAACATGGTGAAACCCCATCTCTACTAAAAGTACAAAAAATTAGCCGGGCATGGTGGCGGGCGCCTGTAGTCCCACCTACTCATGAGGCTGAGGCAGAAGAACGGCGTGAACCTGGGAGGCGGAGTTTGCAGTGAGCCGAGATTGTGCCACTGCACTCCAGCCTCCAGCCTGCGTGACAGAGCAAGACTCCGTCTCAAAAAAAAAAAAAAAAAAAAAAAAGAAAGTGAAAACAAAATGATTTACCTGGTAGATTTCAGCTTGAATATTTGTGATCTGCTGTAGTCTGGTGAAGTTCACAAAACAAGAAACTGTTTTCTTAGACATGTTTAACATCTCCTATTGGTAAATGAATAAGGAAAGTAGCAGAATGTCACAAAAAGTTTCTAGGTACATTGGAATAGCATGCCCATAGTCTAAAATATGAGAAAATATTATGTTCAACACTGCCTTTGAACATGAAGTACAAAGTAAAATAGTAGCAATGTGTAATTCCTGTTTTAGAACCTTCACCATCACAAATCACTTGCTCAAATATTTAAAAAAAAAATAAGAGAAACAAACAACACACTCCCTTTGTATTATTTCCTAAGGTACCATACAAAATAGATTTGTATTACTGATAGTTTATCAAAGGATTCAAAGGCTAAATTTGTTGGAGAATCACCTCTACCTTTCCAAATGACTCAGGCCCAGTCTCTCAGAGCTTCCGGGGTTGAAATCAAATATTTTCGCCTTCATGGAATTATTTATCTGATTCGTTAAATGACCTCAGTTGCCTACAAGTCATTCATACTGTGTATGTTCACATTCTCATCTTTTAGTTAAAGGATTATTTGTATCCAGGCATAATTATTCTTTTAAAAAGGTTACCCCTTCTTTTTCATCCTTTCATTCCATGAGTCCATGCACATTATCTCAGAATTGAGTATTATCTTGTGCATTCCTAGACTTCATCCATAATTTTCTCTATCATCTTGCTTTCTAGAATGCTAGCACAGCAAAGAACTTCATATATATATAATATATACATTATATACAATGTATATATTATATATAATATACATTATATACAATGTATATATTATATATAATATACATTATATACAATGTATACATTATATAATGTATATATAAAATATATATTATATATAAAATATATAATATATATAAAATATATATTATATATAAAATATATATTATATATAATATATATATTTTTAAATGGAGTCTCACTCTGTCGCACAGGTTGGAGTGCAGTGGTGCAATCTCGGCTCACTGCAAGCTCTGCCTCCTGGGTTCATGCCATTCTCCTGCCTCAGCCTCCCGAGTAGCTGGGACTACAGGCGCCCACCACCATGCCCGGCTAATTTTTTTGTATTTTTTAGTAGAGACGGGGTTTCACTGTGTTAGCCAGGATGGTCTCGATCTCCTGACCTCATGATCTGCCCACCTAGGCCTCCCAAAATGCTGCGATTACAGGCGTGAGCCACCGACTGAGTTTCGCTCTTGTCACCCAGGCTGGAGCACAATGGCAACATCTCTGCTCACTGCAACCTCTGCCTCTTGCATTCAACTGATTCTCCTGCCTTAGCTTCCCAAATAGCTGGGATTACAGCTTCCCAAGTAGCTGGGAGTTTTTGGGATTACTGCCACCATGCCCAGCTAATTTTTTTTTTTTTTTTTGTATTTTTAGTACAGTTGGGGTTTCACCATGTTGGCCTGGCTGGTCTAGAACTGCTGACCTCAGGTGATCCACCCGCCTCAGCCTCCCAGAGTGCCCAGATTACAGGCGTGAGCCACCGCGTCCAGGCCAAAGAACTTTAGAGATCAGATAGGCCAGGGACTGGAAAACTATAGTCCATGAAATAAATGCAGCCCATTACCTGTTTTTGTACAGCCTGTGAACCAGGCATGGTTTTTATATTTTCAAATTGTTGGGAAAAAGAAAATCAAAGACAATATTTTATAACAGGCTGGGCACAGTGGCTCATGCCCGTAATCCCGAACTTTGGAGGCCGAGGTGGGTAGATCATTTGAGGTCAGGAGTTCAAGACCAGCCTGGACAACATGGTGAAACCCCGTCTCTACTAAAAATACAAAAATTAGCCAGGCAGGAGTGGTGCACACCTGTAATCCCAGCTACTCGGGAGGCTGAGGCAGGAGAATTGCTTGAGCTTAGGAGACAAGGTTGTGGTGAGCTGAGATTGCCACTGCACTCTAGTCTGGGCGACAGAGTGAGACCCTGTCTCAAAAAAAAAAAAAAAAAAAAAAAGCCTGGGCGCAGTGGCTCACACCTGTAATCCCAACATTTTGGGAGGCCATGGCAAGTGGATTACCTGAGGTCAGGAGTTTGAGACCAGCCTGGCCAACATGGTGAAACTCTGTCTCTATTCAAAAAAAAAAAAAAAAAATTAGCCAGGCGTGGTGGCAGGCGCCTGTAATCCCAGCTAGTCAGCTAGTTTGGGAGGCTGAGGCAGGAGAATTGCTTGAACCTGGGAGGCAGAGGTTGCAGTGAGCCGAGATCGCGCCACTGCACTCCAGCCTGGGTGACAGAGCGAAACTCCGTCTTAAAAAAGAAAAGAAAATGATCTGAAATTCAAATTTCATGGTCCAGAAATAAAGTTTTATTGGAACATGACTTCTCTCATCCATTTACACACTATCTCTGGCTGCTTTTATACAACCACCTAGTTGTGTAGCTGCAACCATATGGCCCACAAAGCCTTACATATTTACTCTCTGGCTCTTCATAGTAAAAGTTTACTGTCCAAAAATAATCAATTTTATGAACACTTACTGAGTTAGTCAACGAAATATTCAAATATGAGTGAAACAAGCTCTCTACCCTCATGAGGCTCATAATGGATGGGAAGAAAAAGGTATTCTAGATAGAAAGATCAAAAACATTACAAATGCTCAATAACCACCAGTGTTAGCATATATGTGAAAAGAGGGGTAAGATGTAGCTGAAAACATAGTCTCCAACATAATCATAGATGATCCTGAGTGCTATGCTCAACAATCATACTGCAGAAAATGGGAGCAACTGAACATTTTCTGGTGAAGAAGTAATATAATCATACATAATACTTATTTAGAAATACAGGCTGGCATGATGGCTCACACCTGTAATCCCAGCACTCTGGAAGGCTAAAGCAGGAGAACTGCTTGAGCCCAGGAGTTTGAGACCAGCCTGCACAACACAGGGAGACCCTGTCTCTACAAAAAATTAAAAAAATTAGCCAGGCAGCCGGGCGCCGTGGCTCACGGCTGTAATCCCAGCACTTTGGGAGGCCGAGGTGGGCAGATCACGAGGTCAGGAGATCGAGACCATCCTGGCCAACATGGTGAAACCCCATCTCTACTAATAATACAAAAATTAGCTGGGTGTGGTGGCGTGCCTGTAGTCCCAGCTACTCGGGAGGCTGTGACAGGAGAATCGCTTGAACCCAGGAGGCGAAGGTTGCAGTGAGCAGAGATCACGCCATTGCACTCCAGCCTGATGACAGAGAGAGACTCTGTCTCAAAAAAAAAAAAAATTAGCCAGGCATGGTGACATGTGCCTATAGTCCCAGCTACTTGGGAGGCTGGGGTGGGAAGATCCCTTGAGCCTGGGAGATTGAGGCTGTAGTGAGCTGTGATCATGCTACTGCAACTCCAGCCTGGGCAACAGAGTGAGACCCTGTCTCAGCGGCGGCGGGGAAGGTGGGGATATTTAACTGGGGCAGTATGAAAAATAAAACTGGCTGGGCGTGGTGGCTCACACCTGTAATCCCAGCACTTTGGGAGGCCGAGGGGGTAGATCACCTGAGATCAGAAGTTGGAGACCAGCCTGGCCAACATGGTGAAACCCTGTCTCTACTAAAAATACAAAAATCAGCCAGGCATGATGACATATGCCTGTAATCCCAGCTACTAGGGAGGCTGAGATGGGAGAATCACTTGAGCCCAGGAGGCTGAGGCTGCAGTAAGCTGTGAGCGCACTACTGCACTCCAGCCTGAACAACACAGAGAGACTCTCTCTTAAAAAAAAAAAAATACACCTACAAAACAAACAAAATAAAAACACTAATGAAGAGGGAGGAGGGAATAGGGAATAGTACAGAGTTTACATCTGGAGTGATAAAGATGTTTTTGAAAATAGTTGCACAATATTGAGTATAGTAAATGCCACTGAAGTGTACATTTTAAGACAGTTAAAATAGTAAATTTTATGTTATATGTATTTTACCACAATAAAAAAAAAAGAAGGAAAACCCTGGTAACTAGCTAACATAAAGAAAAAACACTAGTGGAGAAATAGACTGGAGAGGTTGGATATTTAAACAGGTGGCTGCTACAGTATTCCAGGTAAGGATGAGAATGTGGACTAGGTCAGTAACAGTTAAAAAGGAAAGGAAGAAAAGATGGGAGTTCCTGCAAAGATGGAATTGACAAATCTTAGTTGATATGGTAAGGGATAAAATCCAGTTAATACTCTAAGGATTTTGCTTCAGGTGAGTGGACAGAGTTATGCCATTCACTGAAGTAGATAACACAAGATATTTTACTGATGGCAAAATTGAGGAACAGGAAAGTATTACTCCAACTTCACACTGCCAGTGTGTGCCAAGATGGAAGTGAGAACACATCTAATCCACTGCCCTTCCATCATATCAGCTGACCCTTTTTTCTTTGTTTCTCTCAGGAGGTAAATGAAAGTAAAATATTTTCTACAATTTATCACATTGTAACCAACCTGTTCACTGGTATATCTCCCTCTCTCCATGCTTACACACTAATCTTAGTTGTACATCTGGCAAACTAGTAAACTGTCGGGTTCAACAATAGAGTAATGGTGCTTAGCTAAGAACATGCAAGAGAAACCAGAGGAAAAATAAGAATGTTTAAGAAGCAGATAACAAAAAAGGAGAGAAGAAAGAAAGAGGGTCAGGTGCAGTGGCTCTCACCTGTAATCCCTGCACTTAGGGAGGTGGAGGCTTATTTTCCATAATAAATAGGAAGTACAACTATTTGAGGATTGAGACTTAGTTTAACACATTTAAAAAAAAAAAGAAAAAAGTATCAGGGATTGGGGAATACAGAAAAGTCTTTTCCTTTAGCTATTGTTACTATATATTGCTATTACATGCCCCAAAGGGCAAAAGAACCCTGAAAATGAAAGGATCCTGAGAAAAAGGAGTCTATTCAGGGTATTTCTGTTTATTCCGTGGCTAGGCACAAGAAGAAGCTCAAATCCAGAACCTTTATACTTAATATAAAAATCCTGGCCTGTAATCCCAGCACTTTGGGAGGCCGAGGCAGGTGGATCATGAGGTCAGGAGTTCGAGAACTGCCTGACCAACATGGTGAAACCCCGTCTCTACTAAAAATACAAAAATTAGCCGGGCGTGGTGGTATGTGCCTGTAATCTCAGCTACTTGGGAGGCTGAGGCAGGAGCATTGCTTGAACCCGGGAGGCGGAGGTTGTGGTGAGCTGAGATCGTGCCATTGCACTCCACCCTGGGCAGTAAGAGCGAAACTCCATCTCAAAAAAAAAAAAAAAAAATCCTGGTAACATTATATACCATATATGTATGTATAAACTTGTAATTGGTGGGCACTCTTTCTTCTTTTTCCTATCCCTTCCTTTTCATACTGAATTCTAGCTGAGGGACATTAAAAGGGAGGTAGTATAGCAGAGAATTTAAGAGCAGAGGCTCTCAAATGGGAGAAGAGGTATAGAGGAGAGTAGGACACAAGTTAAGAAAACAGAATTAGTAGATTCTGTGGGTTTTTTGGTAGATCCAGACCCTGATCTTATTAATTGCCAATAAGCAATGATCAAGCTTTGGTCAAGACTCCATGACTCACTCACACTTGCTGGAAAAATATCTAGAATGTAAGGCCACTAAAGCAGTCCCTAGGGGAATAAACTAAAGCAATACCCCATTATCCTACAGATAGCCCTACCTTTCTTTCACCAAATCACTCTCTAACAGATTGAAACAAAACTTCAAACAAGCTATGTTTTCTAGAAGAGTTGTATCAAATCACAATTTTAGGAATCACTCAATTTTTAAAAAATCCTTGCCAGCAGGAACTCAATAGTCTTAATTTTTAATGCACAAAAAATGATGTGCATTAAAGGGATGGGCTGTTTGAAGGGATGACGTGACAAATCATTTTGAAAGAATCAATGCTAAATCCTTCTAATAGGAAAAGGTTTTTGGCTGGGTGTAGTGGCTCATGCCTGTAATCCCGGCACTTTGGGAGGCCGAGGCGGGTGGATCATTTGAGGTCAGGAGTTCGAGACCAGCCTGACCAATATGGTGAAACCCCATCTCTACTAAAAATTAAAAAAATTAGCCGGGCGTGGTGGTGCGCGCCTGTAATCTCAGGTACTCAGGAAGCTGAGGCAGGAGAATTGCTTGAACCAAGGAGGCGGAGGTTGCAGTGAGCCAAGATTGTGCCACTGTACTCCAGCCTGGGCAACAGAGTGAGACTCTGTCTCAGGGAAAAAAACAAAAAAAACAAAAAAAAAGAGACAAAAGTTTTTATGTATAAAGTTTGCTTAAAGTAAAACCAACCTACAAGTCTGTAAATAGCTCCCTCATTGGGACTAGCTGTGTAGTAAGGTTGTCAGAAGTCTTAAGGAGCTATGGAGTGGGATCTTAAGGAGCTATGGAGTGGGACATGTTAACTGTAGGTAAAACCAGTAACTGTCTAATTAATGTTACTTGAGAGACAGTAGACACCCCCAAGACAACCACCACCCCCAAAAAAGAGTTCACCCATCAATGCCTGAAATTCTGTCACCAGTGCCTTACTCCTTTGGTTTAGGCATTTGTATTTCCTACCAATGCTCTTTAGAGGGATACCAAGTACCAAAAGTTGGGGGGTTGTTTTTTTTTGAGACAGGGTCTTACTGTGTCACCCAGGCTGGAGTGCAGTGGCACGATCTTTGCTCACTGCAATCTCCACCTCCAGGGCTCAAGCGATTCTCATGTCTCGGCTTCCCGAGTAGCTGGGATTACAGGCACCTACCACTATACCCGGCTGATTTTTGTATTTGTAGTAGAGACTGGGTTTCACCATGTTGGCCCAGCTGATCTCAAACTCCTGACCTCAGGTGATCCACCCGCCTCGGCCTCCCAAAGTGTTGGGATTACAGGAGTGAACCCTCAAAAATGTTTTCTATTATGAGTTTGCCAAACTATTTTGTGACAGGAGAACTGGACAATACAAGTGAGAGTACTAGGTAACCTGATAAGAAGAAAAAGGCTGGGTTCAGCTCCCAGTACTTTGGGAGGCCGAGACAGGCAGATCACCTGAGATCAGGAGTTTGAGACTACCCTGGCCAAAATGGTGAAACCCCGTCTCTACTGAAAATATGAAAATTAGCAGGTGTGATGGCAGGTGCCTGTAGTCCCAGCTACTCGGGAGCACGAGAATTGATTGAACCCAGGTGGCAGAGGGTACAGTGAGCCAAGATCACACCACTGCACTCCAGCCTGGGCAACAGAGGGAGACTATGTCTCAGAAAAAAAAAAAAAAGAAAAGAAAAGAAAAAGAAAATACAGGAGAGGGCCGGGTGCAGTGGCTCACGCCTGTAATCCCAGCACTTTGGGAGGCAGAGGCAGGCAGATCACGAGGTCAGGAGATCGAGACCATCCTGGCTAACATGGTGAAACCCCATTTCTACTAAAAATACAAAAATTAGCCGGGTGAGGTGGTGAGCACCTGTAGTCCCAGCTACTCATGAGGCTGAGGCAGGAGAATGGCATGAACCCAGGAGGTGGAGCTTGCAGTGAGCCAAGACTGTGCCACTGCACTCCAGCCTGGGCAACAGAGCGAGACTCCGTCTCAAAAAAAAAAGAAAACACAGGAGAGAAGGGAGGAAGGATTACACTGTAGAGTGCTGTGGTCACTCCTGGTAAAGTTAGTCAACTAGGACCACCTGAATCTCCCCATCACCCAGACAATGGGTGTTCAACAAAAGCTTAAAATCTTTTAATACAGTATCACAGCCTCTTATAACAGTTCATCTTGAGAGGGGATACAATGTGTCAAAAGGGAGAGTACTAAGATCTAATTCTCCTTTAACAGTCTAGTGACCATGGGCAAGTTTCTTGGTCTAAGCCTTAGTTTCTTAAATTAAAAAATACTGTAAGGTATTAGAGTCTCTAATGGCTCTTCTGACTATAAAAAGTTATGTATTTTCCGTAAATCTTCCATCATGTTTGTAGTGCTTTTTTTTTTTTTTTTTTCCCTGAGACAGGGTCTCACTCTGTCGCCCAGGCTAAGTGCAGTGGCCCGATCGCATCTCACTGCAACCTCCATCTCTTAAGCTCAAGCCATCTTCCCATCTGAGCCTCCAGGACCCATGTGGTCCGCGGAGTAGTTGGGACTACAGGTGTACGCCACCATGCCGGCTAATATGTGCTGATTTTTACAGATCAGTTTAACTTTTCTGTTTTCTTTTTAGTGAAATTTCTCAACTTCCTCTATATATCAAAATTTATTTCCCCATTTTTCTCAATGCCCTTGATCCCACTTGCCCCATGCCCTCCTGTCACTGCATTCCATTATTTCCTCACATGTTCAATTTCTCCCTCTGTTGGCTCCTTCCTCCGACATGCTCCTCTTGCCCAACCTAAAACTGCCACTCCGTGACTCCTTGGGTTAATGTCTCTTTTCTCTCCTTCTCAAAATTAATCTCTTCCTCCATTCACGTTCCAAGGTCTTATCTTTTTAGCCAATACTTTTTTTTTTTTTTTTTTTTTTTTGCCTTTAAAGATGCCAAGGCCGGGCGCGGTGGCTCACGCCTGTAATCCCAGCACTTTGGGAGGCCGAGGCGGGTGGATCACGAGGTCAGGAGATCGGGACCATCCTGGCTTACAAGGTGAAACCCCGTCTCTACTAAACATACAAAAAAAAATTAGCTGGGTGTGGTGGTGGGCGCCTGTAGTCCCAGCTACTCCAGAGGCTGAGGCAGGAGAATCGCTTGAACCAGGAAGGCGGAGGTTGCAGTGAGCCGAGACCACGCCACTGCACTCCAGCCTGGGCGTTAGAGCGAGACTCTGTCTCATATAAATAAATAAATAAATAATAAAATAAAATAAAAATGTCAAAAAAGAGCTTCTGGCGCTCTTCTCTACCCAGCACCTCCCGCCCCAAATACGATTCAACACTTCCCACAAACGAGGGTTGTTGGAAATGCTTGTTCCGCAAGGGGACAGAACGACCCGTATTTCCCATCCCCGCCCTTACACTACAGTCTAGAGGCAGTATCACTGGATGAAAAAAAGGCTGGTAACAGTCTAATCTCCCACAAACTGGACTGGGACAAATTTACCCTACAGACACTCAAAACACAGTCTACCCTAAACACCATCTACTCAGATCCCCGCTTTCCAAGCATCCACGGCAGAACGTTCGCGGCTGTTGCCTGGAAGGGGCTCTTATTACTCTAGTACAGACCCCAACCAGGACCCTCACCACTCCCACAGCCAGCAGCACCAACTCACAGCCATATTGTTGCCACCTTGGGCACCCCCTTGATGACACCACCGCCACCCCCACGTACCTGATTGACCATCCCCGAAGCTATGAAGTGGCCTAGCACTAGCCCAGCGCCGTTAGGCGCGGACGCCGGGTCCCACGGGTTGGCAGCGGCCATGGCTCGGACGCACCTTCCGCGAAGGCGCCAAGAGTGAGCGGGATCGCAGGGCGAACGCACGGCGCGGCTCGATGACGTCACAGGGCGTTCCCGCCCGGGACTAAGCCGGGGAGCGCATCCCGGCTACTGCGGGTCCTGGGTCTTCACCTGCGGAGCCTTACGGCAGCTGAGCGGTGGGAGGCGAGTCCGGGGCTCCCTGATCTTCCGTAGGCTCCCAGAGGCGCCTGGCCTCCGCAGAGCTGCAAAGGCGGCAGGGCTTGGTGGTCGGGCTGTGTGTTCTTCCGTTTCTTCCTTGTCGCTCTTGGGTCGGGCCCCAGGAGCCAGGGATCGGCGGGAGTTGAGAGCTGGGGCAGGAGCCCCAGCCGGGAGGCCGACCGGGTGGACTGGGCGGTGACAGCAGCGCTTCCTTCCCGCAGGGACCTGAGCCGCGGCGCTAGGATGGGAAACAGTGCGCTCCGCGCTCATGTGGAAACGGCGCAGAAAACTGGTGTCTTTCAGCTTAAGGACCGAGGGCTGACCGAGGTGAGACTGGGAGGGACACGACCAGGGAACTTAAAGGGAGAGGGACGGCGGGGGCGGCGAACTTAGTCGGTGCGGGATTCCCCACGCTGTGAACTCCTTTCTCCAGTTCCCCGCAGACTTGCAGAAGCTGACGAGCAATCTCAGGACCATCGACTTGTCCAACAACAAGATCGAAAGCCTACCGCCTTTGCTGATAGGAAAGTTCACTCTGCTGAAGAGCCTCTCCCTGAACAACAACAAACTGAGTATGGCTCTCGCCAGGGAGGCTTTTGCTAGTGATCAGCTGTTACCAGGGGTGGTTTTCTCTTACAAGCTGATTTTTGTTTTTGTTATGAAACCGTGCAGGAGGGCTCAAGTTGCGAATGCCGGAATCCTTGAAGCCTTCTTTCTACTTCTTGTAATTACATCTAAAATAAGCCTTATAATGATTGGGTGTTATAATGATTGTTACTGGGTTAATTTGGACTTGAAAGAGAAGAACATTTTGGGGATGTAATGTAAACAAAGCTACCTAACTTGGAATGGGGGATGGATGAGAAGGGGAGGATCTTCCAAATATCACAAAATTGCTGTCGGATTGTGCCTTGGGCCCCTTTACAAAAGGAGCCCATTATACACACAAATGCTCTCCGGCATTTTGATGGCACCCTCACCTTCTAAAGACTATGTTGGTAAAATGCAATATCTAAAAATGGCACATGTGGGAGTTTTACATATATTAACAAGAGGCGAAGCAGGCTGCCATATAGTCTTTATAAACTTCATCAAAGTTGTTTTCAGCTCTATCACATTCAGGTTTTAAAAAAATTTTTCTTTGCCAGCTGTTCTGCCTGATGAGATATGCAATCTGAAAAAACTAGAGACGCTAAGCCTAAACAACAATCACCTTAGAGAGCTGCCGTCTACCTTTGGGCAACTCTCTGCCCTCAAGACCCTGAGCCTCTCTGGGAACCAACTGGGAGCATTACCTCCCCAACTTTGTAGCCTACGGCACCTGGATGTGATGGATCTCTCTAAGAACCAGATTCGAAGTATACCTGACTCAGTGGGAGAGCTGCAAGTCATCGAACTCAACCTCAACCAGAATCAGGTCTAGAGCTTTAAGGTTTTTTTTCCTACAGCATATGTGTGGCTTTAAGGTCTCCTGATACCTGTTAACCTCTTGTTTCCTAAACTGCCATCATAGAGCTAAGTATCAGAGGCTAAATGAGAGGTTTCTTCTATAGGCTGAACTAATTTCAAGGCCCAAAGTGCCATGGAATTAGTTGAGACACTGGATGTGTTAGTTGTGTAGGTGTTTTGGGGAGGGTGGGGTAGGTAACAGGGAGAGATCATTTCAAAAGTTAAACTACTGTCTCACAAATCTTGAAGACTTCTTCAGATCCTCCTCAAATATATGCCCCTAACCAGCTAGCCAGGAGCTATGTCAGGGATATAATGTGGAAATGAGGCCTAAACTGAGGTTCTCAGAGTCGGGAGTCAGAGGTAATTCAGTTTTGTTTTTCGTTTTGTGTGGGGTTTTGACATCTTTGTTACAAAGTGTGTCTCCTTTTGCTGAAGAATATTAAGTGATAGGCTTTCTGGAGATAGCCCATTTCACTGTTGTACAGCTTTAATTATAATATTTGAAATTTGTTTCCATTACTTTGGAAGCTTTCAATTAATATTTGTCTGGAAAACCAATCCAAAGATTCTTGTCTAGGCATGAAGGCACAAGTGATGAAATATTAAACACTGTGAGACTGGATGGCCTTTAGTTTTCTAGTGTCTGTATTTCTAGATCTGCATGGTCCATTAAAGTGGCCAGAAGCTGCATGTGGTTATTACTTTTCTAGATTGTAGTGATTTTACATCATGATGAAATTCAGTCTGTCTTTGAGGAATTGGCCTCATGTTTTTTTACCTTAAGTGGATATTCTTGTATGTTATAGAGCTTCTTGGGGGAAAAAAAAAACTGAATCAATTAAGCAGCAAGTATTAGTTGAGGATTTGCTCCACATTCACCTCTGCCAGTACCTTTATTCAGTGGTTCTCTAAGTTTAGTATGCATCAGAATTAACCAGAAAAGCTTGTTTAAAGAGATCACTAGCCCCCTACCCTCAGTGTTTCTGATCCAGTAGGGCTGGGATGAGGTCTGAGAACTTGCATTGCTAGTTATTGAACTTATTAAAGTTCCCATGATTTCTAATAAGTGATGGTCTGAGATGATACTGGGCAGAATCAAATAATTTGGTGACTTTTAGTATTTAAATGGCAAAAGGGGTGAGTCAAAGACAATTGCTTGGTATTGAGCTTGAGGGCCTAAAGGAACAGTAGTGCTATTGAGAATGGACATGCTGAGTTGTCTGTGGTGAATCTTGTAAATGGAAATATCTTACTGAAAGTTGGAAACGTGGGAGCAGAATAGAGGTAAGAGTATAGATACAGATCTTGAGGTCATAACAAAAGTGATGGACTTTAATGAATGAGCTTTCTAGAAGAAGTTTAGAGAGAAGATGACATATGAAGTATTACAGACAGCTACTTGAAAAATGCCCATAAAAACAAGAGAAGTAAGGAAGAATCCAAAAGATAGGAAGAAAAACCAAAAAAGGACAAAAATAAGGGGTTTTAAGGAAGGGATAGATAGTACAGTTAAATGCAGTAGGGACTGAGGACAATGGATCCTTGAATTTGGTAGTAAAGTGGTCAGTATCTATGTACACATAAAACATTGGCAGTAAATGTACCAAAATGTTTATGGTGGTTATTTCTGGGTGGTGGATTCCAGGTAAACTTTTTTCTTTAAACCTGTGATTCTCAAATTTTCTATAATGAACATACAGTGCTTTTATCATCAGAAAATTTTGTTCCCAAAAAGCCATGGGTGACCTTCATAAAAGCATTTTTTTTAAGTGGGGGCGTAGTAACAGAAGCTAGATAACAGAGGCTTCTGGAGTGAGTAGGCAGTGAGAAAATGGAGGTGGTAAAAGAGGGGAAAACTAGAACAAATAGTCAAGTAAAGATTTTTGTTTTGTTTTAATGTACTAAAAGTAACCAGTATAGTGCTTATGCTTTTTCCTGTTATTCTTTTGTGGTTTTTCAATAGATATCTCAGATCTCAGTGAAGATATCTTGCTGTCCACGCCTTAAAATTCTTCGCCTGGAAGAGAATTGTCTTGAGCTCAGCATGCTTCCCCAGAGCATCCTCAGTGATTCCCAGATCTGTCTGCTTGCTGTGGAAGGCAATCTTTTTGAAATAAAGAAACTTCGAGAACTGGAAGGCTATGATAAGGTATGAATTAATGTACTTCTGCATTTCTAGTCACTACCCCAGAGAAGACAATGGTGAAGTAATCCACAGAAATGTTTATAGCTCATGTCAACAGGATTTGTTCTTCCCCATTTTGGAAGTAGATTCAAAGCATTGGCTGAATGGTATTGTACCAAGATGACTTTTTCTCTATAGACAGCTTATTGTAAAGCATCTTTGTCTTCATCTTTGTCTTTTGATATATATATATATATAGTGTGTGTGTGTGTGTGTGTGTGTGTGAGACAGGGTCTCACTCTGTCGCCCAGGCTGGAGTGCAGTGGCGCAATCTCAGCTCACTGGCGCAGCCTTCACCTCCTGGGCTCAAGCGATTCTCATCCCTCAGCCCCCCTAGTAGCTGGGATCACAGTCGTGTGCCAGTATGCCTTGCTAACTTTTGCAGGGATGGGGTTTTGCCTTGTTCGCCAAGCTGGTCTCAAACTCCTGGGCTGAAGTGATCTGCCCGCCGCAGCCTCCCAAGGTGCTGGGATTACAGGTGTAAGCCACCACACCCGGCCCTATGTGCTTTATTTATTTATTTTTTTTGGAGGCAAGGTCTCACTCTGTCACCTGGCTGGAGTGCAGTGGCAGGATCTCAGCTCAAGTGATCCTCCCATCTCAACCTCCTGATTAGCTGAGACTACAGGCGCTACCATGCCTCATTTTTCTATTTTTGGTAGATTGCTCAGGCTGGTCTGAAACTCCTAGGCTCAAGCGATCCACCTACCTTGGCCTCCCAAAGTGTTGAGATTGCAAGTGTGAGCCTCTGCACCTGGCCAAAACTATGTAATTCATTTTGCATTTACAGCAGTTATATTTTGTAGGAAATGAAAAACCACATGCAATAAAAACCAAAATGAAAAAAAAAATAGTTAGGCTTATATTTATTTACTCATGCCAAAATACCCCTTATGTATTCTTTCATGTTTTTTAGTACATGGAGAGGTTCACAGCCACCAAGAAGAAGTTTGCGTGAAGTTCTCCAGGACTATGGAAACCTTACAGGATACTGACTTAGAACCTCTGTTGGAATGTGGCTGAGTCAAAGCCTCCTGTTGTTGTTAGGGGTATCTACAGTAAGGAGATGATACTTCAGGAGATTATATTTCACTCAATGATCTTTTCTCATTTCAGGGCTCTTCTCAAATAAGCTAAAAGAAAAAGGATCAGGAGACAGGAAAAGTCTTCCGTTTTGAGTCATGAGTAGGGCAATAGACAAGGTTCTCTTCAAAACCATCATTAGTTTGGCTTTAAGAAACCAGTAGCTAGCTGCTATTTATATGGTGAGGGGGTGCTGCCTGGTAACAGAATAGCTCCACACCACAGCTTGAGATTTTGTTTAGTTTCACTGTGTGAGCTTTCATAAAGTCTGTTGCCATTCCATCTCTGTGTTAACACTTCATATTTTTATGAAATTCAGATAATTTGTGAGAGGCTGGCATGGATCTAAGGATTTATTATTTTTATTCTAGTCCATCAGTTCAGTCGCAGTTTTTATACTAGGACTTTAGGATGTACATAAATGTGTGACTGTTTGTCTTGATTAAAAGTGCACTTTGGCCTGGGCATGGTGGCTCATGCCTATAATCCCAGCACTTTGGGAGGCCAAGGCGGGTGGCTCACTTGAGGCTAGGAGTTCAAGACTAGCGTGGCCAACATGAGGAAACCCTGTCTCTACTAAAAATACAAAAATTAGCTGGGTGTGTTGGTGCATGCTTATAATCCCAGCTACTTGGGAGGCTGAGGCAGGAGAATCGCTTGAACCCAGGAGGTGGAGGTTGCAGTGAGCCGAGATTATGCCACTGTACTCCAGCGTGGGTGACAGAGTGAGACTCTGTCTCAAATTAAAAAAATAAAAAATAATTTTTTTTTTTTAAAGTACGCTTTGTTGGCTGGGCACGGCGACTCACGCCTGTAATCCCAGCACATTGGGAGGCCAAGGCAGGCAGATCACGAGGTTAGGAGTTCGAGACCAGCCTGGCCAACATGGTGAAACCCTGTCTCTACTGAAAATACAAAAATTAGCTGGGCGTGGTGGTGGGTACCTGTAATCCCAGCTACTTGGGAGGCTGAGGCAGGAGAATTGCTTGAACCCAGGAGGCAGAGGTTGCAGTGAGCCGAGATCATGCCATTGCACTCCGACTCTGGGCAACAGAGCAAGACTCTGTCTCGGGGGAAACAAAAAAAAAGTGTGCTTTGTCAAGAGAAGCACCAGCAGACCTCTAAGAACTGCTCTCTAAGGCTGCGGTAGCAAATTATCTACTATTGCAGGTGCCTTATTGGTAGAGGGCTCTGAAGAGCCAAAACTGTATATGCAACACTTGTAAGATAAAAGGGACTTTAATAATCAAGATTTTCTTGAAGATTTGTTAGAAATAATGTCTTATTTCTGGTAACCTTTCCCTTTTTGTATTTATAACTCTACTAACCAAATTACCTATCAATAAACCATTACTATAATATTTTAAAACAACCTATGTTTATCAAGCTTACTCTCTGAGTGACAGAATATACTAAATAAAGAATTTTTTAATGAACTTTGGCTGGAAGCAAGGTTAATCCTTTAAAGGAGGAGGACAGGAGAACTTAAACCTATAAATAGATTAGGAAGACATGTTTCATGCTTATGTTCAGATTGTATGAGTAGTGAAATGCCTTCATGTGACATAAACATTTTGTGATACTAGAACTATGCTTATTAAGAGAATCTGAGGTTGGGCGCGGTGGCTCACGCCTGTAATCCCAGCACTTTGGGAGGCTGAGGTGGGTGGATCACGAGGTCAGGAGTTCAAGACCAGCCTGACCAATGTGGTGATACCCCATCTCTACTAAAAATACAAAAATTAGCTGGGTGTGGTGGCACGTGCCTGTAATCCCAGATACTCAGGAGGCTGAGGCAGGAGAATTGCTTGAAACCGGGAGGCGGAGCTTGCAGTGAGGGTGCCATTGAACTCCAGCCTGGGCAATAGAGTGAGACTGCGTCTCAAAAAAAAAAAAAAAGGCCGGGCGCGGTGGCTCACGCCTGTAATCCCAGCACTTTGGGAGGCCGAGGCGGGCAGATCACGAGGTCAAGAGATCGAGACCATCCTGGCTAACACGGTGAAACCCTGTCACTACTAAAAATACAAAAAATTAGCCGGGCGTAGTGGTGGGCGCCTGTAGTCTCAGCTACATGGGAGGCTGAGGCAGGAGAATGGCGTGAACCCGGGAGGCGGAGCTTGCAGTGAGCGGAGATCTTGCCACTGCACTCCAGCCTGGGTGACAGAGCCAGACTCCATCTCAAAAAAAAAAAAAAAAGAATCTGAAGGTACAAAGGTAGAGGATTTCAGACTACCACTAACATCAACATTTAGAAAGCTACCATTTTGGTCATTTTCTGATTTTATCTTAGTCACAAAGCTATTACTAACTATATATCAACAGTTCTCAATAATGGTTAAACCTAGCTTATCCATTAAGTCAAGAGATCACACAAACCTACTATTTAACCTCCACGACAAAATCTTTCTGACGTAAATCTGGTCTAGGTGTTCTCTTTTTCCCATATGTTACTTTCTTTTTTGAGACAGAATTTCATTCCAGACTGGAGCGCAGTAGCACTATCTTGGCTCACTGCAACCTCCACCTACCAGGTTCAACTGATTCTTGTGCCTCATTCTCCTGAGTAATTGGGATTACAGGCATGCACCACCACACCCAGCTCATTTTTGTATTTTTAGTAGAGACAGGGTTTCACCGTGTTGGCCAGACTGGTCTTGAACTCCTGGCTTCAGGTGATCCACCCACCTCAGCCTCCCAAAGTGCTGGGATTACAGGTGGGAGCCAACACACCCAGCCTCCCATATGTCATTTTCTATTTCTCACTTTGAAAGGGGTACTAGTTTATCCATACCAGTTTAGGAGTTTTGTTTTTTCTAAATTTTAATGTTTATTAATCTTATTGATCTACTGAACAATTAACATTTCTGTGTTTTATCAGTACTTCTCATCTAATAAATCAGAACTTATACATTTTTTTTTTTTTTCTGAGACGGAGTCTCATTCTTTCACCCAGGCTGGAGTGCAGTGGTGCGATCTTGGCTCATTGCAACCTCTGCCTCCCAGGTTCAAGCAATTCTCCTGCCTCAGCCTCCTGAGTAGCTGGTACTACAGGCAGGCGCACGCCACCACGCCCTGCTAATTTTTTGTATTTTAGTAGAGATGGGGTTTCACCATGTTGGCCAGGCTAGTCTCGAACTCCTGACCTCAGGTGATCCACCCGCCTTGGTCTCCCAAAGGGCTGGGATTACAGGCGTGAGCCACCACGCCTGGCCAGAACTTATACATTTAACAATTTAAATGTTCCCATTTAATTATTAATTGGAGTTTAATCCACACTCTTATCAGAATCCACAACTACCACCCTTCACAATTTGGGCCTAGACTTATTGCCCTTTCTTCACTCTCATTTGCCTGCCCACCCATATCAGATTATTCTCTCTAAACCCACAGTGCAGTCTTTTCTGACCTCCTTTATACAGCTTGTCCCTCAGTGTCCATGGAGGATTGGTTTCAATACCTCCATGGATACCAAGTCCATGATGCTCAAGTCCCTTATACAAAATGACATAGTATCTTCCTGATACTTTAAATTATCTCTAGATTACTTATAATACCTAATATGCCTACACATAACTTCATTTGCATAGATTCAACATAGTATTTGATGCATGCTAAATTAAGGTTTTGTTTTTTAGAAATTTGAGGCATTTTCCCGCTCAAATATTTCTGACCTGCAGTTGAATCCACAGATGTGGAACCCATGGATACTTAGGGCCAACTGTATTGTTCACTCAGTTGGGAATGCCCTTTTTTTTTTTTTTTTTGGTCCAGAGGCTCACTCTTGCCCACGCTGGAGTACAATGGCGCGATCTTGGCTCACTGCAACCTCCGCCTCCCGGGTTCAAGTGATTCTCCTGCCTCAGCCTCCTGAGTAGCTGGGATTACAGGCAGGTGCCACCACACCTGGCTAATTTTTGTATTTTTAGTAGAGACGGGGTTTCACCATGTTGGTCAGGCTGATCTCAAACTCCTGACCTCAGTTGATCCACCTGCCTTGGCCTCCCAAAATGCTGGGAATTGCAGGCGTGAGCTAACGTGCCCAGCCTGCCCTCTCTTAATTAATATGCTCATTCTGTATGTCTAAGCCTCTTTCCTGCGTCTAAGCCGAATTAACTGCTCACCCATCTGTTACTATAGCACTTCTCACATTCTATATTTATCTTTCATGATAGACTAACTCTTTGAGGGCAAGGGCTATATACAGTAATATGCCCAAAGTTACAGCAAACAAGATTTAGATTTAAATATGAGCTAATCAAGTAAACTAGCTTGTGGTCTAAAGACCCAGATTTGAATCTGGCCACTAGTCCAAGTCACCTAATTTTTTTTTTCTTTTTTTGCGACAGATCTTGCTGTGTTGCCTGGGCTAGTCTTAAACTGGACTCAAGTGATCCTCCCATCTTGGCCTCCCAAAGTATTGAGATTACAGGTGTGAGCCACTGCCTGGCTTTTAAGTCTCTTTTTTTTTTTTTTTTTTTTTGAGACAGAGGCTGTCTGTTTCGCCCAGGTTGGAATGCAGTGGCACAATCTCGGGTCACTGCAACCTCCACTTCCTGAGTTCTAGCAATTCTCCTGCCTCAGCCTCCTGAATAGCTGGGATTACAGGTGCCCACCACCACGCCCAGCTAATTTTTGTATTTTTAGTAAAATGGGGTTTCACTATGTTAGCCAGGCTTATCTCAGACTCCTGGCCTCAGGTGATCCCCCTGCCTTGGCTTCCCATAGTGCTGGGATTACAGGTGTTAGCCACCACGCCCAGCCTATATGTATTTTTTGAGACAGGGTCTTGCTCTATTGCCCAGGCTGAAGTGCAGTGGCATGATCACAGCTCACAAATGCCTTGATCTCCTGGGCTCAAGCTATCTCCTCCCACCTCAGCCTCTTAAGTAGCTGGAGCTACAGGTTATCTGCCACCACACTCAGCTAATTTTTAATTTTTTAGAAAGACGGGGTCTTCCTGTGTTCCCCAGGCTGGCCCCAAACTCCTGGGCTCAAGCAATCCTGCCTTACCTCCCAAAGTGCTGGGATTACAGGTGTGAGCCACCACATCTGGCCCAAGTCACCCAAATTTTTTACAGCTTGGTTTGGAAGGCAATGTAGTATATTAAAATTATGGGCCCTGGAGTCAGAAAGATCCAGGTTTGAATACAGAGTCCGTCATTTATTAGCTTTATGAATTTGAGCAATTTCGTCTCACTTGTAAATATAGGGAATAGCTCCTACCTCTCAGGTATGTTGCAAAAAACTATATAAAAGCACTTAGCATAGTGGCCATGACAGAGTAAGCACTCAGTAAATCATGCCATTTATCTCATCTATAAGGCATGAAAGTAGAATTTTACAAGTTGTACAGAAATAGAAGGCTTGGAGTGGACACTACATTAAAAGGATAAAAAAATGGAGCCAGGCAGAGGCAGGCATCTATAGTCCCAGCTATTGAGGAGGCCTGAGGCTGGAGGATCCCTTGAACCTAGGAGTTTGAGGCCAGCCTGGACAACAATGTGAGATTGTGGCTCCAAAAAAATAATAAAAAATAGGCTGCTCTGCCTATGGAGTAGCCATTCTTTTATTCCTTTACTTTTTTAATAAACTTGCTTTTACTTTATGGAAAAAATAAATTTTTAAATGACTAGATGAGAAACTTGAATATCAATCTGAGAAATAAAATCTGATTAGGAATGTAATTGGGATAACCTGAAGTTTTGGTAAGAGTGACCTAAAGAAAACAGCACTTAGATAAGCTACTTTGTTTTCCTTTTTCACTTTACTATTTTTCTGATATATATTTGTTCATATTTATGGGGTACTTGTGATATTCTGAGACATGCATAGAATGTATAATGATCAAGTCAGGATATTTATGTTATTCATTATCTCAAACATTTATCATTTGTTTGTGTTGGGAACATTTCAAATCTTCTAGCCATTTTGAAACTTACATTAAGTATAGTCACCGTACTATGCTATCAAGCATTAAAACTTATTCCTTCTATCTAACTGTATGTTTGTATCTACCCATTAACCTACCTTCCTTCATCGCCCCACCCTGTACACCCACTACCCAGCCTCTGGTAACTATCATTCTACTCTCTACCTCCATGAAATAAATTTTTTAGCTCACATGAGTAAGAACATGCAGTATTTGTCTTTCTGTGCCTGGATTATTTCACTTAACACAATGACCTCCAGTTCCTTGGATACACCTCCAGTGTATTCATGTCACTGCAAACAATAGGATTTCATTCTTTTTATGGCTGAATAGTATTCCACTGTGTATATACACATTTCCCTTATCCATTCATCTGTTGATGGACCCTTAGGTTGATTCCATTATCTTTGCTATCATGAATAGTGCTGCAATAACCATGGGAGTGCAGGTATCCCTTTAATATATTGATTTCCTTTCCTTTCAATAAATACCCAGTAGTATGATTGCTGGATAGTATGGTAATTCCATTTTTAGTTTTCTGAGAGATCTCCATATTTGTTTTCCATAGTGGCTGCACTCATTCACATTGCCACCAAGTGGGAATTAGTTCTCTTTTCTCAGCATCCTTGCCAGCATTTTCTCACTTTTGATAATAGCCATGATAACTGGAATGAGATCATCTCATTGTAGGTTTTATTTGCATTTCCATGATGATTAGCAGTGTTGAGATTTTTTTCACATACCTCTTGGCCATGTGTGCGTGCGTGTGTGTGTGTGTGTGTGTGTGTGTGTGTGAGAGAGAGAGAGAGAGACAGAGAGATGGGATCTCACTATGCTGCCCAGGCTGGTCCTGAACACCTGAGCCCAAGTGATCCTCCCGCCTCAGCCTCCCAAGTAGCTGGGACTACAGTGTATGTCTTTAAAAAGCTAATTCTAAGTGCAACTGAGTTCAGGATGTCTGGGCCATAGATGTTTAAGTTAAGGACAGACTCATAATCCACACATGAAATGGAAAGGTTTAGAGTATAGAAACAAAAGATGAATTAAAACTGAAGCAAAGAAATAGGCATGGCTATAGGGGACACAGATCATTATGGTTATAAGACTGGAAACTTGAAGAGGGAGCTTAGTGTTAAAAAACAAGCTCAGTGGGGGATATAATTTTTTACCTCTTTAGTTATAGGTCAGTATTATGCTCAAGGCCACACAACTAGAAGTAAATGAATGAACCAAAATTTGATCCCAGGTGGTCAGACTCCAGAGCTTGTGTTAACCATTTACTACCTTTCAAAAGTGAATCAAGTTTCCAGACAATGTTATGGGAGAAAATCAGAAAGGGCTTTAAGTGAACAGCCATTTCTAATGCATGATGGAGTCTAATTTTGATGGCCTCACCTCTCTTTTTTCTCAATAGCAGAAGCTGTGGGAAAGTTTCAACCTGGGTTCCATGGACGGGCTTTCAAGACCTCCATTTATGGACCTCACTTATGCATGATTTGCATTTGTGTGCCTGTTTCTCTGGGGAGAGGCTATGTTGTCTTTCATCAAATTCACAGAGATGCTTGACCAGAAAGAGCTCCACTTTAGAGAGAATAGCAGCTATTGCTTATTAAGCTCTTACATTAGCCAGGAACTGTTCTAAGTGCTTTACCTGTGTTACCACTCTATGCAATACAATGCTATGTAGGAATTATAGGCATACCTCATTTTACTGCACTCCATTAAGTTTTTTCACAAATAGACAGTTTGTAGCAACCCTACATCGAGCAAGTCTATCAGTGCCATCTTTCCAACAGCATGTCCTCACTTTGTCTCACATTTTGAAAATTCTCACAATATTTCAAACTTTTTCATTATTATGATATGTTATGGTGATCTGTGATCACCGATGGTACTATTTTAACTGTTTTGGGATGCCACAAACCATGCCAATATAAGATGGCAAACTTTTTTGACAGGGTCTCGCTCTGTCACCCATGCTGGAGTGTAGTGGCGCAATCATGGCTCGCTGCAGCCTCAACCGCCTAGGCTCAAGCAATCATCCCATCTCAGCCTCCTCAGTAGCTGGGACTATAGATATGCACCACCACACCTGGCTAATTTTAAAATTTTTTTGTAGAAACGGTCTCATCTTCTTGCCCAAGCCATAAGATGGCAGACTTAATTGAGAAATGTGTGTTCTGACTGCTCCAACAACTAGCCATTCCTTATCACTTTCCTCTCCTTGGGCCTCCCTAATCTGAGACAGAATATTGAAATTAGGCCAATATATAGCCCTGCAATAGCCTTTAAGTTCAAGTGAAAAGAAGAGTCATAGCCGGGCGCGTTGGCTCACACCTGTAATCCCTGCACTTTGGGAGGCCGAGGTGGGCGGATCACCTGAGGTCAGGAGTTCGAACCAGCCTCGCCAACATGGCAAAAACCCTGTCTCTACTAAAAATACAAAAACTAGCCAGACATGGTGGCACACACCTGCAATCCCAGCTACTCGGGAGACAGAGGTTGCAGTGAGCTGAGATCGCACCATTGTACTCCAGCCTGGACGACAGAGCAAGACTCTGTCTCAAAAAAAAAAAAAAAATGCCAAGACAGGCTAAAGGCTAGGCCTCTTACGCCGGTTAACCAAGTGGTGAATGCAAAGGAAAAGTTCTTGAAGGAAGTTAAAAGTGCTACTCCAGTAAACACAAGGCCCTAACTCCCTTCAATGCTATAAAGGCTGAGAGGTGAGGAAGCTGCAGAAGAAAAGTTGGAAGTTACCCAAGGTTGGTTCATGAGGTTTAAGGGAAGAAGCTGTATCTGTTAACATAAAAGTGTAAGATAAAGCAGCAAGTGCTGATGGAGAAGCTGCAGCAAGTTATCCAGATAATGATGATGGTGGCTACAGTAAACAATAGATTTTTCAATGTAGATGAAACTGCCTTCTATTGGAAAATGACACCATTTAGGACTCCCATAGCTAGAGAGAAGTCAATGCCTAGCTTGTTTCAAAAGACAGGCTGACTCTCTTGTTAGAGGCTAATAGAGCTGGTGACTTCAAGCTGAAGGCATTGCTCATTTAACATTTTGAAAATATAGGGGCCTTAAGAATCATGCTAAGTCTACTCTACCTGTGCTCTATAAATGGAACAATGAAACCTGGATGATAACACATCTGTTTACAGCATGATTTACTGAATATTTTAAACCCACTGTTGAGAAGTACTGCTCAGAAAAAAAAGTATTCTTTTCAAAATCTTACTGCTTATTGATAGTGAGCATCAGAGTATATGGTCACCCAAGAGCTCTGATGAAGATGTACAAGATTAATGTTGTGTTGTTTTCATGCTTGCTAATATATCCATTCTACAGCCCTTGGATCAAAGAGTCATTTCAGCTTTCAAGTCTTATTGCTTAAGAAATAAATGTCATAAAGGTATAGCTGCCATAGTGATTCCTCTCATGGATATGGGCAAAGTAAACTGAAAACCCTCTGGAAAGGATACCGTTAAGGACATTCATGATTCATGAAAGGAGGTCAAGATACCAACATTAACACGGGTTTGGAAGAAGTTGATTCCAACCCTCATGGATGACTGGGCGTTTGAAGACTTCAGTGGAGGAGGCCGGGTGTGGTGGCTCACGCCTGTAACCCCAGCACTTTCGGAGGCAGAGGCGGGTAGATCACAAGGTCAGGAGTTCGAGACCAGCCTGACCAACGTGGTGAAACCCTGTCTCTACTAAAGATAAAAAAATTAGCTGGGCACGGTGGTGCCTGCCTGTAATCCCAGCTACTCAGGAGGCTGAGGCAGGAGAATCGCTTGAACCCGAGAGGTGGAGGTTGCAGTGAGCCCAGATCACGCCACTGCACTCCAGCCTGGATGACAGAGCAAGACTCCTTCTCAAAAAAACAAAACAAAACAAACAAAAAAGAGACTTCAGTAGAGGAATTACAGGCACATGCCACCACACCCAGCTAACTGTATGTTTAGTACAGATGTGGTTTCACCATGTTGGCCAGGCTGGTCTCAAACTCCTGACCTCAAGTGATCCATCTGCCTTGGCCTCCCAAAGTGCTAGGATTACAGGCGTGAGCCACTGCGCCTGGCCCATGGTAAAGTATTTTAAATTAAGGTATATACATTGCTTTTTAAAGACATAATGCTATTGCACATTTAATAGACTACAGAATAGTGTAAACAGAACTTTTATATGCACTGGGAAACCAAAATTCATGTGCCTCACTTCATTGCAATACTAGCTTTATGGTAGTGGTCTAGAACTGAACCCTCAGTATCTGAGGTATGCTTGTATTAATCTGCATTTACAGACAAATTAAGGCACAGAAATGATCTTACAGTCACTTCAGCTAGAGTGAAAATTCAGATAATGCCTCAGCCCATGCTTCTAACCAATCATACTGTGAGTGTAGCATGCTGGTATTCTCAGAACTATTTCCTTTATCCAGAACAGTGCTAAAATTTTTTTTTATGGTAAATGGTTTTAGGAAAGGCATTTAGGTAAAGCACAATCCTCCGTTTTACACCTTACTTTACATATTTACCATCCCTGCCAAACCACTCATTTTGACATGGAGCATTTCTATTACAGAGGGTGTAGTTGCATCTCACTTTATTTAAATATTTTCCTCTTTAGCCTTTGAAAGCTCCCACATTAACTGTATCTTCTCCAGTGAGTTGTAGTTCTCACACAGAACCATTACCCTTCCAGTCACTAGTGTATTTAAGCTCAAGTGAGTAAGACTAGTAATGATTAAAATGAACCTCACAATAAATTTTTAGCAAGGTAAGTTTAAGTCCCATCAATATTTTCAATAAATACTGGAAAGATGCTAAAGGCAGCTTCCTGCTGTAGTGTTTCTTGATGTATGGATCTTTGCTTTATTAATTTGTTAAATGAGAGCTGATGAAACTATTTTCCCCCAAATAACAGTCATAGAAACATGTTACCTATTTGAAAGAACAATACCATTAGTTAGTTAAAAAATTTAATTGTAAGGATCAAGCAGTGGTTATTGGTGAAACCAATACACACTGACAGCTTTGAAGTGTTCAGATGCTAATTTTAAAATAAATGTGACAAATACCAATCAGATGTTCATAACACTTTTCAGGATCCACATCAACTTGATTATGGACATAGTTCAATACACAAGGGTAAGAGAAAGAGTGTGTAATCACCAATAATTAAACCAGAGGCATAATTTTTTCAAATAATTTTTAGTTACAGAATAAATTCTAACTTTTTAAAGTCTAAAGCTACATAAAACTCAAAGCAATCTATTTTTCTACCTGAGGTCAAAATGACTTTCCTTTTTCCTAACTAAACATAATTCTTAGCATTGAGGTAAATCTGAATTCATGTGGTATGCTTTGTCAAACTTTTCCAAAAAATTTTAAGCCCTGCTTTAGAGAGAAATTCTCATGTTACACATATATATTTACATATTTTTTCTTCAAAGACTAATGACAATGTATGATGTTAATAGGCCTGTAATGGAACCATGATACTACTAATAATATGAAATAAAAAGCCACTCATTTATATAAAGTGTTCCTGAATGGTGCAATAAGAAATGGGATCACAGATTTATGTACATATATGAATCACTAAGAGTTCAGAAATTAAGCTCACTTTAAGAAAACTCAGCCAGGCACAGTGGCTCACGCCTGTAATCCCAGTACTTTGGGAGGCCAAGGCGGGTGGATCACGACGTCAGGAGTCCAAGACCAGCTTGACATGGTGAAACCCTGTCTCTACTAAAAATACAAAAATTAGCCGAGCGTGGTGACACACGCCTGTAATCCCAGCTACTCAGGAGGCAAGGCAGGAGAATTGCTTGAACCAGGGAGGCGGAGGTTGCAGTGAGCCCAGATCGCGCTATTGCACTCCAGCCTGGACAAGAGAGCGAGACTCTGACTCCAAAAAAAAAAAAAAGAAAGAAAACTCATTCTATTTTTCTCTTTGGAGCAGAGGTTGCAAAACTGTGATGCCTAACAAAAACGTTGTGTATAAAAGCTCCAAAACCAAGCATTAGCCTAAATTGGCTATAACTGCAACTTAAATCAAAAACTATATCCAACTAGATCTTCGTTGTGGCTATGCAACTTTTTGCTTTGTGGCCTGAAGGTTTTTACTGAGGTAACAACCTCTTATCTCTTGTCCTTCCCTCAACCACAAAAGCAAAAATAAACAACAACAAAAAACACCTCTACAGCTTCCTTCTTCATGGCTGTCTTTGGCAATGCTTCCAAATCTTGAAAGCAAAAGAACCTGCTGAAGTATATGAGGAGGATGAAAACACTAAACATGACATATGAAAACCAATCTAAGCGTATGAATTGAGAAAGAAAATACTAGAAGGAAGGCAGAGCAGCAGTCGGCCCTCAACAGAAAACAAAAAAGAAGGAGGGCTGTAACTGCTCTGGCCCTTCTTCCATATTATCTCCCAATTAGAAGAGCGTGGAACCGAAAACTTAAACTCTGAAAAGGTAATAACTTTCAAGGAGGAGCTACGGAAGTGAATAAATGATAAAGAAGAACAGCAGTAGCTTTAGCTGTCAATGAGTTTCTTTGCTCTGGCATTGGCAATATCAATACGATCTCTGTTGGTGTCAGCCTGAAAAACAAGAAAGATATCAGCTTTACAAGGTAAGTAACTCTAATAAAAATTAAACTTTTTACACTTGGAGTAACTGACACACCAAGAAAATCCAAGAAACCACGTGAAGTTACATTACAAAACTCATGTTGGGCAAGAAGTAACAGAATATGAAATTCATTTGGAAAACCCCTGGTATATAAACATGACAAAGGTGTAACATATAAGACCTTGCCAATATTTCATAAATTCTATAACGCATTTTTTCATAGTTTAACATGCCTGAAACTGGGATGCATCCTGTAATCAATGGCATTTTTTGATGCAATGAAATATGAAAGAGTGCTCTTCTCTGTTAAAGATCTGGACCTTGTGTGAGTCCTCTGAACTGAATCATAGAATCTCATCTGGATTCAGACACCCTAAGTCTAACCTGGAGAGACTGAAATAACCTTTCCAAAGATCTTTGAAACGAATCTATTACCATCCTCACCAACATCTGAATTAAAATGACAGGTAAATATAGCCTAAACCCAGACTGCAGCATTTAAAGCATCTTGTGAACCACTGTTTCAATTAAATCCATCAAAAGTGATTTAACAGAGAGCCAAGCTTAAAAACTCACCCTAAAGTTCACTGAGATTTTAATGAGGTATGACTTTCTTTTTTTCCTTTCTTTTTGAGAAAGGGTCTCACTCTGTTGCCCAGGCTGGAATGCAATGGTGCAATCACAGCTCACTGCAGCCTTCAACTCCTACACTCAAGCAATCCTTCTGCCTCAGCCTCCCGAGTAACTGGGACAATAGGCACATGCCACCATGCCTGGTCAATTTTTAAATTTTTTTAGTAGAGTCGAGGTCTTGCTCTGGTCTCAAACTCCTGAGCTCAAGCAATCCTCCTGCCTCCGCCTCTCAAAGTGTTGAGATTACAGGTGTGAGCTACCACGGTTGGCCAAGGTATGACTTTACATGTGACACATCAAAACACTGAAAACAATTTCGCTTTCACTATATTTATATCATGTAAAGTTAAGGGGGAAAAAAAAGAATCACAACTTTCTTTCACTCACATGACTCTATTTCGTGTGTCCACTCCATAAGAACTATTCTGCAGAACAGATTTTCACCTACGGACTCTTTCATGAGATGAGGATTCAGGAACTTAATTTATTTTTAGTTAACAAAATAGGCTGATGTGGGAGGAACGCTTTAGCCTAGGAGGCAGGCTGCAGTGAGCTGTGATTGTACCACCACACTACCCTAGGCGACAGAGCAAGACCCCATTCTCAATTAAAAAATTAGTTAACAAAATAAAACTCATTTGGGAGAGAAAAAAACACGCTCAAAAGCTAAAGTAGATACTAAGCTTCATGTGTGAAGGTTTAAGTAAAACTACTATATTCCAAAACTCTGGTTTCAAAATGCACCAACTACCATGACAGGGAGGACTTGGCTCTTGTTTTATGTGTTAGAACCACCACCTCATCAGAATTAAGACCTATGAGGACAGGAGCTTATTCTACCGTGTCCCCCACAGTATCTAGCACAGATGTCTATTACTGAAACACTGAACTGGGTGTCTCATTTTCTTGTGGCAATAAAAAGCTTTTACCTTGTCTGTGATTCGTTTTATTTGTGGATTTTGAGCATCAATCTCATTGCCTATGTTCAGGGCCATGTCTTTTAGATTTCCCAGGATACTGCCCACTTGAGTCAGGTTCTCTTCCATTTCATCTTCTCTGGCATCATTAGTTATGCTATCACAAGAAGACAGTTAATTCCATAGGTTTTGTTGAATTTAAATAAAAGTCTGGATTTACTTTTCACAAAAGTAAGTAACCAAAATGACTCTCAGCAAGTATAAGATCCAAAAGAATATAGGTTACCATTCCTGGGAAACATTCTATAATAAAAACTGGGAGACTCATCAAAGAGAGCACAGTATCTTAAAGCCATGTAAGAAAAGAAAGAAACTCTGAAACAGTGTTTCTCAAAGCTTAATTCCCAGCATCACCTGGGAAGCTGTTAGACATGAGAATGCTAATTCTCACACTCCATTCCAGACCTACTCAATCAGAAACTGTAAGTGCATCCCAGAAACCTACGGTTTAATAAGCCCCTCAAGTGGTTCTAATGCACAGTTAAGTCTATCTAAAGAAGCACTGCCCTAAGAGAGAGGTTGGAAAACTACGGCCCAAGGACCAAATCTGGCCACCATATGATTTTGTAAATCAAGTGTTATTCAAACACAGCTGTGCTCATTTGTTTACATATTGTTTATGCCTGCTTTAACCCTACAACAGAGTTGAGTAATTGCAAGGGACTGTATGGCCTGAAAAGTCTGAAATATTAACTCTCTGGCTCGTTACAGATCTTCTTACAGGAATCTAGCTGACCCTTGTTCTAGATGACACATTTTAAAACCTATTTTTTTCTATATATAAAAGTAAAATATGTCTAGTTCAATAATTTGGAAAGTACTGAAAAGTATAAAGAAAAGTTAATTCCATCACCCAAGGTCAACCACCACAGTCAACATTTTGTCTGGCCAGGTGTGGTAGCTTATGCCTGTAATCCCAGCACTTTGGGAGGCCGAGGCAGGTGGATCACCTGAGGTCAGGAGTCCAAGACCAGCCTGGTCAACATGGTGAAACCCTGTCTCTACTAAAAATACAAAAATTAGCTGGGCGTGGTGGCGCACACCTGTAGTCCCAGCTACTCGGAAGGCTGAGGCAGGAGAATAACTTGAACCTGGGAGGCAGAGGTTGCAGTGAGCTGAGATCACGCCACTGCACTCCAGCCTGGGCAACACAGCAAGACTCTGTCTCAAAACAAAACAACAAATAAAAAAAACCCACATTTTGTCAGTGGGCAGATTTTTAAATGCATTTTAAAAATGGAATAAATACAATTTTTATTTGTTTTATTAGGGGTCATGTACTGCTAAACTCATCTCCTAAGTGAACCATTCATTAAGAAAGGTACAGGAATATCAGGAGGAGTTGGCATACCGTTTAATGTATCCACCACTGGCTGCTCCCGTTGTTGGTTGCTGAAGCTGACCATTTGTCACCGGGCCTGGCTGTTTAGATACTACATTGCAAGGTGAGTTTTCTCCACCATCTCCCCATGTTGTCTTATAAGCCTTGCCAGACTCAAAGTTCTTTGTTCTATATAAGAGTCAGGAGTGTAGGGAGATACCAAAAAAAAGAAGACGGAGAGTTCTAATTATTAGTGCCTGTTACCTTGAGGATGACACTAATAACTCTAGTAGAAAAGCTGCATACAGCTAAGTCTAGATGATCTACACTATGCTCCATGGCAATATGGAATAGGAAATAGATGAATTATGTAAACCCATTGACACTAAAAAAAATTTTAAAAAGGTCCAAATACTACTTCTACCAAATCTTCACTAGGCTGTTAGCAAGTAGCAAAAGGCAACTATTTGATTTTTCAGGTTCCCTTAGCCTCTGGCACTATCGTTTTGCTTTTCTCTTCCTAGTGTATCCAGCACTATCTAGAAAAGAGGTTAATGCACATTACTTAAAAAAAGGTCCCTTAGAAAAGGTGTTCTGGGATACCTTAAGAGGTTCCTTGAAGGCATCTCAGAGGTTGACAAGGGATGACAGAATAAGAAGGCTGATGCTGGGTGCAGTGGCTCACGCCTGTACTCCCAGCACTTTGGGAGGCCAAGGCGGGTGGATCGCTTGAGCTCAGGAGTTTAAGATCAGCCAGGGCAACACAGCAAAAACCCATCTCTCAAACTCCTGACCTCAAGTGATCCATCCACCTCGGCCTCCCAAAGTGCTGGGACTACAGGCTCGTGAGCCACTGCTCCCTGCCTCAAAATGCCATCTCTATAAAAAAATACAAACATTAGCTGGGTGTGGTGGCACACGCCTGTGGTCCCAGCTACTCGAGAGGCTGAGGTGGGAGGACTGCTTGAGCCCAGAAGGTCGAGGCTGCAGTGAGCCATGATAGTGCCACTGCACTCCAGCCTGGGTGACAGAGTGAGACCTAATCTTAAATAAATAAATAAAATTTTAAAATAAGAAGACTGAATTTGAACCAGCGTAGTTCCAGCTGATCAGTTTTTATTAGAATTTTCCATGAAATTTTAAACAATGGTTTCTTACAAACAAACCAGCCATCAGGAAAGAAAGGCATGAATAATTTCCAAATTGGACAATCAGCGGACAAATAAGTACCTTGACCACACAAGCGGTCATTCATAAATCCTGTAGTGTAGGAGTTTTTCATTTAAGAGTTTCCTCTTTAAAAAAACGATCAAGGCCGGGCACAGTAGCTCACACCGGTAATCCCAGCACTTTGGGAGGCCAAGGTGGGTGGATCACCTGAGGTCAGGAGTTCAAGACCAGCCTGGGCAACATGGTGAAACCCCATCTCTACTAAAAATACAAAAATTAGCTGGGTGTGGCACCACGTGCCTATAATCCCAGCTACTGGGGAGGCTGAGGCAGGAGAATCGCTTGAACCCAGGAGGCGGAGGTTGCAAGGAGCCAAGATCACACCACTGCACTCCAGCCTGGGCAACAGAGCGAGACACTCCATCTCAAAAAAAAAAAAAAATCATAAGTCTAAGTGTCTTAAAAAGAAAGAAAAAGTGGCTATTACAGGGAAAAAAAAATGGCTGTTACGGAAAAGTGACACAAAACTTTTCTTGATTATTTGGCTAAAGTCAAGCTTTCATTCAATTTTAGTTTTCACTTTTCTATAAACAAAAACGAAATAGTATGTTGCTCAAATATTGATCTCTGATTTATTCTACATTTTACATTAATAAGGAAGTTTTAAAATTGCAAAAATTAAAAAGGTAGGGAAGAGATTTTATGAAAAAAGTGACTTCTTCCTTAATAGGCATGTGAGGATTCATTTTCGGCAAACCTAGAATTGAATCTTAGACTTTATCATTAACATTACAGAAAGGATACTACTAATTTTTTTTTGTGAGAGGCATTGCAAAGGCAAATTTATGAACACTGAAGAGCTAGTTCTCCAAGTGTGTTTCATGGTACCACTTTAAGTTATCATAATTATGTTTCTATGCTGTTTTTATTAATTAACCCATTTATTTATTAAGAAGCCATGTTAAATTTTTCTTGGAACAAGGTAGGATATATATTTTTAAAATAAATATTCACATGTATTCTTTGTTAATAATAAGAAAGGTCCCAGGCAAAATTCTAGAGCAGAGTAAGTGCTAGTAAATAAAACAAAAGCAATATATTAGTTTATCAGAAAGTTAATAACCACAAATATTAACAGAAGTAACAGAAGTGGGGCTTTTATTAGAATTTCGGATTGTGGAACAGGTGCAAGAGAGAAGGTTGAAATTCCAAAGTAACTAATGAGATATTATGTTTCTGACAGCACAAAAAGAGGAGTGGACTGGGACATGACCTTGGGTTCTGGTCTATTAAGGAATATATATGCATTCCAACCTCCTTCCCAACATTAAGAGGCAATATTTGAAAAAATTCTTTACACTTATGAGAATTCTTCTTTCCACAATTAGATATAAGGGCATAAAATGCAAATGAATTGTTTAAAAATGATCATGTGAATGATTTTTAATTGAAACATAGTCTATAAACAAAGAATCAGATTGGTTATCAAACTCTGCTGTCTTTAAAATGACTGGATCTTGGCCGGGTGCGGTGATTCACACCTGTAATACCAGCACTTTGGGAGGCCGAGGCAGGCAGATCACGAAGTCAGGAGTTCGAGACCAGCCTGGCCAACATGGTGAAACCCTGTCTCTACTAAAAATACAAAACTTAGCTGGGTGTGGTGGCGCTCGAATGCAGTCCCCGCAACTCAGGAGGCAGAGGCAGAAGAATCACTTGAACCTGGGAGGCAGAGGTTGCAGTGAGCCCAGATCGTGCCACTGCACTGCAGCCTTGGTGACAGAGTGAGACTCCGTCTCAAAAAAAAAAAAAAAAAAAAAAAAAAAAAAGAAGACTGGATCTTTGAAGATGTTCTTTCTGTAACAAGGGGAAAAGACACAAAAAGCTGACTTTGAATTTTTTTTTTTTTTTTTGAGACGGAGTCTCGCTGTATCGCCCAGGCTGGAGTGCAGTGGCACGATCTCAGCTCACTGCAAGCTCCGCCTCCCGGGTTCACACCCTTCTCCTGCCTCAGCCTCCCGAATAGCTGGGACTACAGGCGCCTGCCACCACGCCCGGCTAATTTTTTGTATTTTTAGTAGAGACAGGGTTTCACCGTGTTAGCCAGGGATGGTCTCGATCTCCTGACCTCGTGATCCGCCTGCCTCGGCCTCCCAAAGTGCTGGGATTACAGAAGTGAGCTACCGCGCCCAGCTGACTTTGAATTTTTTTACAGCTTTGCATTGTGTTGGCATGTTTACCTTCAAATGGGATGGGGAAAAAAACTACTTGTTTTTCTTGCAGTTATAGTATGTTCTGCGTGTTTATGAAGGGGTGGTGGGACAGTTCAGTGCGTCTCATTCAGCATGTCCACTCTAGGTAATGCCTTTTGGTTGCTCAAGACCCTGTTACTGGCCATCACCCTGGAGTTTCCTCCACCAAGTTGGAACCTGTTTTTAAGGCATTGTCAGATAGCTGCTTATCTAAGTTAATAAAATAAAAAATGTTCACAAATATAAATATGTTTTTAAACTAATTTACTTTCCTTCCAAAGGGTCTTAGATGCTTTAAAGGTAATACCTTCCAAACTTGACTGAGTATCAGAGTGACCTCAGCAGTCCCCAACCTTTTTGGCACTGGGGAACCAGTTTCATGGAAGACTATTTTTCCACGAATGGGGACCAGGGGATGCTTTGGGGATGAAATTGTTCCACCTCAGATCATCAGGCATTAGTTAGATTCTCATAAGGAGCGTACAACTAGATCTCGCACATGCACAGTTCACAATAGGGTTCTTGCTCCTATGAGAATGTAATGCCACTGCTGATCTGAGAGGAGGCAGAGCTCAGGCAATAATGCTCACCTCCTGCTATGAGGACCAGTTTCTGTTAACAGGCCGTGGACCAATAGTGGTCCATGGCTGGGGGGGTTGAGGGCCCCTGCTGTAGAACACATAGATAGTAGGCTGCACTCTGAAGATTCTACTCCAATACACATGGAGTATAGCCTGGGAATCGTTTGTTGTTGTTTTATATAAGGTCAGTGGGACATTTAGCGATCCAGGAGGAGTACTTTAGATTACTCTGGTAGTCTATTATAGACTCTAGTAGTCTATATATTGGAGCACTAAATAATTAATCTAGAAGAAGCAAAGGGACATGTCAGGATTAAAACAAAACAAAAAAAAGCCAGGCGCGGTGGCTCACACCTGTAATCCCAGCACTTTGGGAGGCCGAGGTGGGTGGATCGTGAGGTCAGGAGTTCAAGACCAGCCTGGCCAAGATGGTGAAACCCCGTCTCTACTAAAAATACAAAAAATTAGCCAGGCGCAGTGGCAGGTGCCTGTAATCCCAGCTACTTGGGAGGCTGAGGCAGGAGAATCACTTGAACTCGGAAGGCGGAGGTTGCAGTGAGCTGAGATCATGCCACTGTACTCCAGCCTGAGGGACAGAGTGAGACTCCATCTAAAAATAAACAAACAAACAAACAAACAAAAAACAAAAAACAAAAAAGTAACAGCATTTGGAGTAAAATAACTAAATCCCAATCCTAGGCATGTCATTCAGAAGCTACAGAATCTTGAGCAAACTTCAGTGTCAGAGCATCCCTTTCTTTGTACGTAAAACTAGGATAATAACAATACTTAATGTTTAGCAGGGCTGTAAAATGTTCTGTTGATAACAGACATAAAACTGCTTTGTAAATCACTGGATAAATATTTTCATTCATTGGCTTCAACTTCAACCTGACCTTTAGTCAACAGTTCATGCCTGTAAGTGCATGGGTTACCAACTGGCATGTTTACTTTTTGGTCCATTACCATTTCTTGGCTTTGAGATCTACAGGTACATGAATGTAGTTGGAATATCGTGACATGAAAGATTACTAGGACCAGGTTGTTTTAGTCTACAGTAAGAAAGAATAGTTCTAATCTGTGACAGGACTCTTGAAAATAAAATGTACAGCCCCTCTGGGAAGAAATTAGTCTTCATGATAAAATGCCTAAGTAAATTTGTGATAAATTTTAATGAAGTTCAGAACTCCATCTAGAAACTTAGATTTACAACTGACTGTTAGTTCTGAGTGGTCTAATAGTCTTTAACTGGAACCTTTTTTTTTTTTTTCCCACTTAAACGTCTCATTCAAAAATGGCAAGTTTTCGGGTGTGTGGCTCACGCCTGTAATTTCAGCATTTTGGGAGGCCAAGGCGGGTGAATTACTTGAGGTCAGGAGTTCAAGACCAGCCTGACCAACATGGTGAAACCTATTCTGTACTAAAAATACAAAAAATTAGCCGGGTGTGGTGGCGCACGCTTGTAATCCCAGTTACTCGTGAGGCTGAGGCAGGAGAATCGCTTGAACCTGGGAGCAGAGGTTGCAGTGAGCTGAGACTGAGCCACTATACTCTAGCCTGGGGGACAGAACGAGACTCTGTCTCAAAAAAAAAAAAAAAAAAAAAGGCAAGTTTTAAGTAAGAATCTGAAATATCCCTTAGTCAATTCAGGAAGCTGGTATCAAGCATAAAACTGTAAATATCAAGGTATGAGCACAAAAACGATAATTTCTTTTTTTTTTTTTTTTTTTTAGTTTTGGTTGCATCAATATTAGTTTTAACTGAATTAAAAATAGCAAAAATAAAACTAAATATTAGCTGTGACTATTTCACATCAAGGAGAAAAGGGACCAAATAACTATTAACTAATAATAAAGAGTGAATGTGAGTGTGTGTATGCTTTGGATAGTCAAACTAAGAAAAGAAGAAAAAAGGAGGGCAGGAAACAAAGGGTAGAAATCAAATACTTAATTTTTTAACATTTAATCATGTTCATAATTCTCATAAAGATCTAAACTTAAGAGTCAGACACAATAATAAACAGTAAGCTGACAAAACTTACCTCCCATGAAAAATTAATATTAGTTAGTTTTGTATTAATTCAACATGAAATCACAGCAAGTTAACACATGATGTAACAGGAATTATAGAATAGTTTATAACATATGTAGAGGGGAAACCCTTATTTAAGGAAAGAAGATACCAGATATGGTAGCATTTAAAATTTTATATCCCACCTTGTTCCAAATAGGATTTGAGACGACTAGACTGGCAATTGATTCCTTAATTTGGTAGTGGCCTAAATCATGGGTAATCCTAATCATTAGAAGCAAAACTTTAATAGAGGAAATCTTGACTCAAGAACCAGAAAAAAGTAGGGAAACTTAATGGAAGACAGGATGCTAAAATCAAAGTCTATGAAGACAGAGAAGCATTTAGCATGACTTCCCTTACCTTTTATCAGAACTAGACTGCAGCAGCTGTCTCAAAGATCAACCTATTTTAAATTTCTTAAGAAACTCCAGGAGTATTGTTATTTTGGTAATCTTAAATGTTATTTAGCAAAAACTTAGTTATCAGAGACATTTGTCAAAGGATGGTATTATAAATTAAGGTCCTTTTGTCAAGTCCATCTTTTGTGAGATAGCACCCATCAAGAACAAATTCACTTTACACTACACACCACCACACAGTTTAGAGACAGTTTTCACCATTCACAAAATCCATGCACATGCACAGAAAAGCCATTTGAAGCATCACCTTTAGATAGCAGGTTAGCAGCCCAAACTGCGCCACAAGACTGCATCTTAAAGTTCCCTTTGATCAGTTACTGAGCCCGGCTTCTGATGTTAAATCTTCATTTTTAGTAAGCAGATTAGAAAGGAAGAGATTAGGTGAGAGAATGAAATGCAGAAAATAGTAAATGCCAGTCAAACAGAACAGAAGCAGGTTTAAAGTTTTAAAAACATAATGCATTCAATTTCCTGCCTGGTTTCATAGAAACAACCAACATCTGAGAATCTAGATAAAAAGAAAAATAAGAAAACTATTTAAACCAGAGCACATTTCATTTTTCCTCAGAATTTTGGGTGATGATATTCTTTCCTAAAATTAGACAATATGAGAGAAGGCAAAAACCAATGGAGTGCTTTGAGACTCCTTCCTCTTAGTGATTAAGATTTCTCTTAATGACTTCTATTATGTATTTTATTTTCTTATATATTTTTTCATTGTAATTTTAAAAAATCTTTTTACACGTCAAACTCTCCCACCAGCCAACAAGTTTCTCAAGGACACTCAAATCAACAAGTGTTTATTGAGTAACTACTGTATATCCAATACTATGTGAGGTATAAAAAATCATGTCATGATAAATAAAACAGGCAGGGCCAGAGGTATGCCTTACTCATATTTGTGTCTCCAGTGAGCAGGATGGAAGAAGCACTAAACCACTGAATGAAATATAATTCAATATTCATTTTAATTAGTCGGAGCTGAATTTTTACACCTTGGTATGACTTAAGATCGGAATAGCAGTAAACCTGTAGTGCCAATTTGGAACTTCTCTAGTAAGTGGTCCAGAAATGCCAATTTGTCTTCAAACTATGTGCCATTGTTAGACTTTATAAAACAGGCAAGTTAAGACAGAAGAATACCTTATCTAAGAATGTTTAAGGCCGGGTGTGGTGGCTCACGCCTGTAATCCCAACACTTTGGGAGGCCAAGGCGGGCGGATCACGAGGTCAGGAGATCGAGACCATCCTGGCTAACACGGTGAAACCCCGTCTCTACTAAAAATACAAAAAATTAGCCAGGTGTGGTGGCGGGCGCCTGTAGTCCCAGCTACCCGAGAGGCTGAGGCAGGAGAATGGCGTGAACCCGGGAGGCGGAGCTTGCAGTGAGCCGAGATCGTGCCACTGCACTCCAGCCTGGGCAACAGAGCGAGACACCATCTCAAAAAAATAAAAATAAAAAAAAAGAATGTTTAAACTGGGACATCAAGCAGTTTACTATTCTGAGACTTCCCATTTTAAATCTGTCTGCTTTCAAATTCTTGTTAATTAGAATTACAATTTATCAATTACTGCCTAAGATATGTGATTTTAAAAAAGGATTTGTGGGCTGTGCGCGGTGGCTCACGCCTGTAATCCCAGCACTTTGGGAGGCCGAGGTGGATGGATCACGTGGTCAGGAGTTCGAGACCAGCCTGACCAACATGGTGAAACCTCATCTCTACTAAAAATACAAAAATTAGCCAGGCGTGGTGGTGCACGCCTGTAATCCCAGCTACTCGGGAGGCTGAGGCAGCAGAATCACTTGAACCTGGGAGGCAGGGGTTGCAGTGAGCTGAGATCACACCACTGTACTCCAGCCTGGTGATACAGCAAGACTCTGTCTCAAAAAAAAAAAAAAAAAAAAAAAAGCAAGGGGGTTCTGCCTGGTTTTGAATCCCAGCTCTTCCACTACATAGTGTAGCCTGGATGTAAAATGATAATAATAAAAAACATCTATCTCATATTAAGGCTACTGTTTAAGGATTAAATTAACATGTTCAGAATAGTACCTTAAATTAATGCACAGGCCCACAACTGTTACCCCAATCCATTGGGGGCAAGATGTTTTGGACAGTACCACATAATTAAATACATTAATATTTCTGTAGTGACGTTGCGTGTGGTGGCTCATTTCTGTAATACCAGCACTTTGGGAGGCCAATGTGGGAGGATTGCTTGAGCTTAGGAGTTTGAGACCAGCCTGAGCAACATAGTGAGAACTCATCTCTACAAAAACTTTTTAAAGTCCAGGTACGGTGGCTCATGCCTGTAACCCCAGCACGTTGGGAGGCCGAGGTGGGTGGATCACTTGAGGTCAGGAGTTCAAGACCATCCTGGCCAACATGGCAAAACCCCGTCTCTACTAAAAATACATTAGTTAGCAAGGTGTTGGTGCATGCCTCTAATCCCAGCTACTTGGGTGGTTGAGGCATGAGAATCGATTGAACCCAGGAAGCGAAGGTTGCAGTGAGCCGAGATTGTACCACTGCACTCCAGTCTGGGTGACAACGTAAAACTCTGTCTCAAAAAAAAAAAAGAAAAAGAAAAGAAAAGAAACAGGGTCAGGCATGGTGGCTCATGCTTGTAATCCCAGCACTTTGGGAGGCCGAGGCAGGCGGATCACCTGAGGTCAGGAGTTCAAGACCAGCCTGGCCAACATGGTGAACCCCCATCTCTACTAAAAATACAAAAATTAGCTGGGCGTGGTGGCAGGCACCAGTAATCCCAGCTATTTGGGAGGCTGAGGCAGGAGAATCGGTTGAACCTAGGAGGCAGAGGTTGCAGTGAACTGAGACTGCATCACTGCACTCTAGCCTGGGCAACAGAGTGAGACTCCGTCTCAAAAAAAAAAAAAAAAAGAAGAAGAAACAAAAGTTTTTAAAAACAAACCAGGCATGGTGACATGCACCTGTAGTCCCAGCTACTCATGAGGCTGAGGTGGGGGGATCACTTGAACCTAGGAGGTCGAGGCTGCAGTGAGCCAAGATCATACCACTGTACTCCAACCTGGGTGACAGAGTGAGACCCTGACTCAAAAAGAGTATTTCTGTAGTGAAACCAATTAATATCTACAGCAAGTAATAAAGACTAAACATAGCTTCAGTTCAGGTTACATTTTATACCCTAATGAGTTGTGGCACCATTACAGCAAAAATAAAACAAAACTTTAGGAGTTTTTTAGATTTCTGAATGGCCAGCAGGGCTTAATGGCTCATGCCTGCAATCCCAGCACTTCTGGAGGCCAAGGTGGGTAGACTGCCTGAGCCCAAGGGTTCAAGACCAGCCTGGCCAACATGGTGAAACCTTGTCTCTACAAAAGATACAAAATTAGCTGGGTGTGGTGGCATGTGCCTGTAATCCCAGCTACTCAGGAGGCTGACGCTGGAGGATAGGTTGAGGCTGCAGTGAGCCATGACTGCCACTGCACTCCAGCCTGGGTAACAGAGCGAGACCCTGTCTCGAGAAAAAAAAAAAAAAAAAAGAGAAAGAAAAGAAAAAGTATTTCCAAATGGCAAATAAGGAACTCTGGACCTGACCTGGGTTGTTACTGCTACTGCTGGTATGAAGACTAGGCCTTACACATAGGACTAAGATCTCATGTCTACCTTTAAGAAGCTCATGTTATGGTTATTCATGTGACGAGCCTAACTGAAACACAGACTAGCAGATTAGAAAGATCAAGACACAGGCAAGAATGATAGGAACAGAGCTGAGGATAAGAGATATCATACTGGCCAAGGTCTCAATGGTGTAAGAAAGAAATAGGTGGAAGAAAGACAATTACAATCAGACATCTTTAACTGAGATAATACTTTCTTCTCTTAAGGGAACTGTTTTGTTACAGCAGCCCCTTGATTCCATCTCTCAAGAAGTGCCAGAAAAAAAAAAAGAAAGAAGTGCCAGTTGGGTGCAGTGGCTTAAGCCTGTAATCCCAGTGCTTTGGGAGGCTGAAGTGGGAGGATTTCTTGAGGCCAGGAGTTTGATACAAGCCTGGGCAACATAGCAAGACCCCTGTCTCTACAAAAAATTTCAAAAATTAGCTGGGCATGGTGGCACACACCTGTAATCCTAGCTACTTGGGAGGCTGATGTGGGTGGATTGCTTGAGCCCAGATGTTTGAGGCTACAGTGAGCTATGGTGGCACCACTGCATTCAAGCCCGGGAGACAGAGGGAGAGGCCATCTCTAAAAAAGTAATGCCTTCTCTTGATCCACTGAGAAAGGGTTCTACTGAGGTTAGAGGCTGAAGAATGCTGATTCAGGACCATACCCTACCTTGTTTCCCACCAGTCTTCAAGAAAAGCTTGCCTATGCTTGGCTGGGATACACAAAGAGACATAAAATTAATACTCTGTAGCTGCATTTCCCACTTTCTATGATATTAGACCATCTTAGGTCTAATTCAGTGCTCTTCCTATTTATCAACACGTGACTTAGAGCTGATCTTCCTCTAAGATTTTAGGGGAGACTTCTTTCTCCTTGTTCTCCTAACATCTGATCTCAAGAAAATTCATCTACTTCCTCTCTTCTGTACTCTTCCAAGAAGGTACATGGAACACAAGAGAAAGGTACAATTATGTTTGTAAAACATAGCTAAGAGTTTGTATCAAATAATCTGTACATTTTAACTTGTTTGCTTAAAGTAATCTGCTAAACTCTGATTGACAAGTCATAGTTATTAAAATATGAACTTTTGGCCGGGAGCAGTGGCTCACGCATGTAATCCCCGCACTTTGGGAGGCAGAGGCGGGCAGATCACCTGAGGTTAGGAGTTTGAGACCAGCCTGGCCAACACGGCGAAACCCTGTCTCTACTAAAAATATAAAAATTAGCTGAGTATGGTGGCACATATTTGTAATCCCAGCTACTTGGGAGGCTGAGGCAGGAGAATCACTTGAACCCGTGAGGTGGAAGTTGCAGTGAGCCGAGATCACACCACTGCACTCCAGCCTGGGTGACAGAGCGAGACTCCGTCTCAAAAAATACAGAACTTTCAGTTGGTCAACCAAGGTGTAAACAGGTCAACAGACTTGTGTTAGAATAGGAAGCCAATGGATAAGACTAGGAAGAACACTGTCAAACCTTTCCTCATGGCCAAAACAAACACTAAAGTTGACTGACAAGCAATTAATCTCTACTTTCTATAACAGAAATGGCATAAAAATGTTGTTTCATAAAAACACTTACTGAAAATATAAAAATATAACCGCTGTTGGTTTACAAGACCAGCTGAGAACTGGATGAAATATTAATGTCTAAGAACCTCTTTAAAAATGAATACATTGAGGCCGGGTGTGGTGGCTCACACCTGTAATCCCAGCACTTGAGGAGGTTAAGGCGGGCGGATCATGAGGTCAAGAGATCAAGACCATCCTGGCCAACATAGTGAAACCCCGTCTCTACTAAAAATACAAAAATTAGCTGGGTGTGGTGGCATGCGCCTGTAGTCCCAGCTACTCGGGAGGCTGAGGCAGGAGAAATCACTTGAACCCAGGAGACGGAGGTTGCAGTGAGCTGAGACTGCGCCACTGCATTCCAGCCTGGTAACAGAGTGAGACTCCGTCTCAAAAAAAAAAGGATACTTTGGCTGTGTGCAGTGGCTCATGCCTGTAATCCTAGCACTTTGGGAGGCCAAGGTGGGAGGATCTCTTGTGCCCAGGAAAGAGAGGCTGCAGTGAGCTGTGATCACGCCACTGCATTCCAGCCTCAGTAACAGAGACCCTGTCTCAGAAAAAAAACAAAACAAAACTTTCAGCAGTGAGTACAGTCATTCAATCTCCAGATACTGTCGTTTCTTTTTATACTCCACTCCAATCTGTCAACTCCTTAGTTTGGCATTCAAGTTCCTCTACTACCTACTTATATCTTACTTTCCACTTCTCATCTACATGAGTCACACAGCTCAGTTAAGTCAAGCTCCTTGTTAATCTTTATTTTGAACCTTTCATAGGAAATGCCCTCACTGTTCCTCCCTGTTCATCCAAATCCTTCTTATCACTCAAAGCCCAATCCACATCCTACCTCTTCTATAAGATGCTCTCCAACCCAACCTTTATCAGTTCTGTATACCTAGCCTTGGTCACTATCATATAATCTAACATTAGATTTAGCCTTGCTCACTATCATATAATCTAACATTAGATTTATGTATTTTTTATGTTTTGCCATTCTTTCCCAACTCTTCTACTCTTTTGGCCATCCCTCATGTGCCTACCACAAAATATATATTTTGTTAATACTCCTCCTTTGAAAGGAAAAGAAAATAACTCCATCCTGCTTTCCATCATCCAGATATACATTTCCCTATACTTCCTAACCTTTTCATGTATTACTACAAATTGAAATTGGACTTGATCCCAGGATTGGTCAAATGTAAGTCACAGTTTTCAGTGAACACGCAGTATTTACACAAAAAGCTTAATCTGCCTGAAGGAGAGACAACTTAGATTTATCTAATAGAGTTCCTCATTAAGCCCAGTCATACTTCTGACCTTAGCTGGTGGGAGAAGGTGGGGTACTCTCATTACTTATTTTGAAACCATCTTAATTTATCAACTCACCTATTACATGGGCAGACACAAAGGCCACAGCATTTGTTGAGTTCTGTTAAAGTCTTCTCTGTCTCTCTCATGTCCTTATTTATTTGGTCCAAGCCTTCTTCTATGCGGTTTAGTTGTTCTAAGAATAAGTTGTGAAGTTAACACTTTGTGTTCCATTCACAGTGTCAACCAGAAAATGCTATTATTATGGAACAGCAAACTTCAACCTTGAATCTACCAATAACTCCCCACAGTGAGTATGTCAGTGTCAAAAGGTATTAGAAGCGATTCAACATGATAACAATCTTTCACGTACTGATCCGGAGGCACCTAGCCTCTTGCTGTGGAAAAATTTGTTCTAAAAAGCTTGTATATGGCTGGGTATGGTGGCTCACGCCTGTGATCCCAGCACTTTGGGAGGCCGAGGTGGGCGATGACCTGAGGTCAGGAATTCAAGACCAGCCTGGCCAACATGGTGAAACCCCATCTCTACTAAAAATACAAAAATTAGCTGGGTGTGGTGATGGGTGCCGTAATCCTAGCTACCTGGGAGGCTGAGGCAGGAGAATTGCTTGAACCCGGCAGTTGGAGGTTGCAGTGAGCTGCGATTGCACCACTGAACTCCAGCCTGGATGACAGAGTGGGACTCCCGCTCGAAAAAAAAAAAAAAAAAAAGAATCTTGTATAGTAGGACCAAGGGACGGTTATTTAGAGATCATCCTTACAACCAAGTTAAGGGTACTTTGACGAGGTCAAATCCCCATCATTTCTATAATAGGTTCAAAACCTGAGGGCTATTATAAGAGTAATAAAAACTAGACCTGATTACTCAGGGCCAACTCAACTCAAGTGTTTCCAAGCATACCTGAATCTAGATCTGTTTTAGAACTTGATTTCTGAGGATGATGTAAGAATATCACAATGTCTGGCCAGACACGGTGGCTCACGCCTATAATCCCAGCACTTCGGGAGGCCGACGTGGGCGGATCAAGTGACTCTTGAAGTCAAGAGTTCGACATCAACCTGGCCAACATGGTGAAACCCTATCTCTACTAAAAACACAAAAAATTAGCTGGGTGTGGTGGTGGACACCTGTAATCCCAGCAACTCAGGAGGCTGAGCCAGGAGAATCACTTGAACGTGGGAGGTAGAGGATCCTGGAGTAAGCCACGATTGCACCACTGCACTCGAGCCTGGGTGACAGAGTAAGACTCCGACTCAAAAAATAAAAATTAAAAAAACAAAACAAAACAAAACAAAAGGCCCGGCACGGTGGCTCACACCTGTAATCCCAGCACTTTGGGAGGTCAAGGCGGGTGGATCACCTGAGGTTAGGAGTTCGAGACCAGCCTGGCCAACATGGTAAAACCCCGTCTCTACTAAAAATACAAAAACTTAGCCGGGTGTGGTGGTGGGCACCAGTAATCTCAGCTACTCAGGAAGCTGAGGCAGGAGAATCACTTGAACCCAGGAGGAGGAGGTTGCAGTGAGCCAAGATCACGCCATTGCACTCCAGCCTGGGCAAGAAGAGCGAAACTTCATCCCCCACCCCCAAAACTAGACAAAAATAGCGAAACTCCGTCCCCCACCCCAAAAAAAAAGAAAAACATAGTTGGGTGTGGTGGCAGGTGCCTGTAATCCCAGCTATGTTACTATCATAATGTCTAAGGCACATATAACCAATACACAAAATAAGCCATGCTGGCCTAACACATACTTGGTATATACAATTGGGCATTGTTGCCTGCCATCCCAAATAGACAGTGAACATGATATATAATTCAAATCAGAAGACAAGAAGTAAACATAACATTCTTATTTTACAAAGGGAAGGCTCTCCCAAAGGCTGAAATTTGTATGTGGCTAATTTGATAGGGCTTTTTGGCATCACAGTCAAATTAAGAATTTCTGCTAATAATTTAACTTACCCTTTTGTTCATCCAGCATAGTGATGGTCTTGATTCCTGCATCCTGAGACTAAGACAAGGGGGGAAAAGCTGATAGTACAACAAAACAAACCAAAAACAACAGAAACAAAACCTACAAGAGCAACACAGAATAATTTAGAAACCCAAGCTCTCAGAGGATTAGAGCTACAGACAGAACTAGTATTCTTAAACTAACACACTTTAACATAGCAGCCCCCAAAATAATTAAGTCACAAACTCATAGTGAATTCATCTTCCCTGTCATATTCCAATACTGTTAAAGGGAAAAACAGAAAATTCCCATTAGTGCATGGTTTGACATTTCAGCAACTGTTAATTTCAAATAATAAAGCATATTGATACATTACCCTTTAATACTAATTCCAGCCAGAAGTATTAGGATCGCTCCTATAAATTTCTATACTTAAGTTGATGACTAACATTTTCTTACCTCAATGGCTAAACCCAGGATTCTCCTCGTACTTTCCAGAGACTAGGAAAGAACACAGAATTTTAGCATTCCAAAATATGTAGAAAAAAAAATCTGATCACAGGCCAAATTCATGATGCTATTCTATCTTTAAAAATTGCCAGCTCAGGCCGGGCACAGTGGCTCATGCCTATAATCCCAGCACTTTGGGAGGCCGAGGCAGGAGGATTTCTTGAGTACCGGAGCTCAAGACCAGCCCAGACAACATAGTGAGACTGTTTCCATTAAAGGAAAAAACAAAAAGAATTGCCAGCCTATCCTTCCCTTTAAAACAAAACAATGGCCGGGTGTGGTGGTTCAAGCCTATAATCCCAGCACTTTGGGAGGCTGAGGTGGGCGGATCACGAGGTCAGAAGTTTGAGACCAGCCTGCCCAACAAGGTGAAACCCCATCTCTACTAAAAATACAAAAATTAGCTGGGCGTGGTGGCACACACCTATAATCCCAGCTACTCAGGAGGCTGAGGCAGGAGAATCGCTTGAACACAGGAGGCAGAGGTTGCAATAAGCCGAGATCGCATCACTATACTCCAGCCTGGGCAATAGAGTGAGACTCCGTCTCAAAAAAAAAAAAAAAAAAAAAAGTAAGTTGATCACTACATTTTTAGTTATTTTCAGGCGCTCCTTAAGAGAAAATGTGTAAGGACTTCCAGTGTGATGTTGAAAGAAAAAGTTTTTTTAAAAAAGAGAATATTTGGATGGTGAAGTTCATGGGAATAAAAATTTAATGTAGGTAGAAATCTAAGTAAATTACAGATATTAGGAAATTGTTAAATAGAAGTCTAGCATTTCTCAAATACATAGTAGAGTATCTTTGTTACACTTAAGTAATATTAATAATTACCTAAAAAATAAAAATCATACAAATTGTTTTCACTTTAGTTTTCTGGTGAGTTAAAAAGAAAATAAAAACCAGCAATGGCACTAAGGAGCAAATGTGTTCTTTGATATTAATGGACTAGGAAGAGGCCAAAATGTCCCTAAGAAGGCTCTCTCACTCCTCCAATATGAAAACTGAAATAGAATTATTTACTTATTTTAGGTAAAACATTTACCTCATCAGTAATCTGGTGAGCTCTCTGTTGAATTTCTTCTGATGACAGATTATCCATGATGAATCAAAACTCTATTAGGCACAGAAATGGAAATGTGGATATTGTATAAGAATAAGGATATATAAAAGTTTGTGTGAGCAAAAAGTGTAGATTTATGGAATTTAGGAACTTATCAGGAAAACAGGATAAAAGAACCTCTTTCTATATCTATTAGTCTACCACAAGTAAAGAAATCAAGACCGAGAGAGGCTAAATGAATGTTTAATAAGAGTGCCAAGGGTGAACCTAAAATACAGGTTTTAGGACTTCTAGGGAAGTACTCTTTCCAACAGGAAAGTGGATCCTCTACTTAGAGAAGCAAGGCATTACTGGAAGACAAGCATTAAAAGACTATTAAAGTGAATTTTTGGTTGTTCAATGTTCTTCATGTGTTGTCTGAACATGGAAAAGCAGTAGGTGAAGAAAAGTCCAATTTAGTAAAGTAACAAAATTTGAAGTTATGTGCCTGAAGAACACAGGAAACATTTCTAAATATGCCAGTTGTCCAGGACACTCACTGGAGAAAATACTTTCACTCTTAACAAGAAAAGGGAAATGCTGGTACAAACAGCTCGGAAAAGACTAAGGTTTTTATTATGCATTAGACTCTTCCCCTCCAGTGGCTTATATTGTTTTGTTGTTTTACTGGAGTCCCTAAGAAACCAAACAATTATTCTCCTATACACAGTAACTCAGAAGGAGATCTCATAGACATCCAAGCTAAAAAATAAAACATTTCGTAGGTGTTACTCAGCACGGCTGTTATCTAATTCCTCTTTGAGAAGTCATGTGGAGTAATAACAAGCATTGTGCAACGGATCTAGGTTCTTTGTTACATTTGCTAGCTTTGTATGAATTTTCTCAAAACTCATTTATCAAAACTCACGGTCAATGACACAGATAAACTCTGGTTCTTATTACAGATTTGACCCCAGGAATCTGGCAATGTCTGGAGTTGCTTGATTGTCACAACTTGGGCCAGGTGATGGGGCTGGTTAATGGCATCTAGTAGGTAGAGGCAGGGAAACTGCTTAACATCCTACAACACTCTTCAGGAAAGCCCTCCAGCAAAGAATAATCTGACCCAAAATGTCAATTTGAGGTGAGAAACCTTGCCATGGATATACTCTTTGATAAGCAGAAAACTTAATTCCCCAAGAATGTACTGGACTGAATTCTTGGAAGGCAGAGATTTTATCTTTGTATCTCTAACACCTAATAGGATCTGATGGTAGATACTCCAAAAATAGCTGAATGAACAAATAAGTAGAAAAACAGGGTGTACTCTCAAAGTATTTACATGGCTCTTAGAAACAAAGCTGCATGTAACAGTAGCACAAAGCTCGCAAAGAATCACTAGAGCCACAAACCAAAAACTGCTATTGCAAGTGTATGATATGATCACATATAAATCTTTTCAGTCATTTTTGGCTGGGTGTGGTAGCTCATGACTGGAATCCTAGCACTTTGGGAGGCTGAGGTGAGTGGATGGCTTGAGCTCAGGAGTTGGAGTTCAGCCTGGGCAACATGGCAAAACCCCATCTCTACCAAATATACAAAAATTAGCCAGGCATGGTGGCGCACACCTGTAGTCCCAGCTACCGGGGAGGTTGGGGTGGGCGGATTGCTTGAGTCCAGGAGGTTGAGGCTGAAGTAAGTCAAGATCATGGCACTGCACTCCAGCCTGGGTGACAGAGCAAGACCCTATCTCAAAAAACAAACAAACAAAAAAATTTAAATCTTTTCAGTTGTTTTTAATTGAACCACTACTATCATGTTATTTTTTTTATTTTTTTGAGATGGAGTCTCACTCTGTTGCCCAGGCTGGAGTGCAGTGGTGTAACCCTGACTCACTGCACCTTCTGCCTCCTGGGTTCAAGCAATTCTCCTGCCTCAGCCTCCCAAGGAGCTGGGATTACAGGCATGCACCACCACGCCCCACTAATTTCTGTATTTTTAGTAGAGATGGGGTTTCACCATGTTGGCCAGGCTGATCTCGAACTCCAGACCTCAGGTGATCTATCCACCTCAGCCTCCCAAAGTGCCCAGATTGCAGGCCTGAGCCACCGTGCCTGGCCTTGTTTATAATTCTACTGTCATAGCTGTTTTATGGTTTAAGATTTTGAGGGCCAGGCGCAGTGGCTCACGCCTGTAATCCCAATACTTTGGGAGGCCGAGGCGGATGGATCACGGGGTTAGGAGATCGAGGCCAGCTTGATCGACATGGTGAAACCCCGTTTCTACTAAAAATACAAAAATTAGCCGGGAGTGGTGGTGAGCGCCTGTAATCCCAGCTACTCGGGAGGCTGAGGCAGGAGAATTGCTTGAACCTGGGAGGCAGAGGTTGCAGTGAGCCAAGACTGTGCCACTGCACTCCAGCCTGGGTGACAGAGCGAGACTCCATCTCAAAAAAAAAAAAAAAAAGATTTTGAGCCTTGATTAAAGCCATTAGTGCTCATGAAAAAAAGCATTTTAAGTTCCAAATTTAAGTTTCTATCTTGCTTGCCATAGACTGTGCTTCAGGCAAAAAGTTTCCACACTAAGATATAATCAAGATATAAAGATATCATTCATTAGATACAAGCATAAAAGGAACCAGGTATTTTATTAATTTGCTAATTGTTTGAGTCTTAAGCTTTATCATACATACACATGTCCATGCTACTGTTCCTCTTTTGTCACTCTTTCCTATTTGCAACTACAAAAAGTAAATGGAGATTATTTTTTGTACCCTCTCACCTCCACACTTTTGCACACCTTTCCTTTCTATAATACCCCACATCTGCCCAGGTAGCCTCATGCTTTTCCATCACTTCCTAAAGCCCCAACCGAGATACCTCTCCAAAGCCTGCCCTCCCCAGGCAGTAATGCTCTGAAGTTATCTATTCCTGTCATGTGTAACTCCTCAATGCCCGACAGAGAAGAAAATATGAAAAATAATATACACTAATCCATTAGTGCCTGGAAAAGGCACCCTTAGTGAGGTTTTCAGATATAGTATCCTGTGGGTCGGGAGACATTCTGGGGTAAGGAAGCCCAAATATCACAAATTATGTAATTTTGTAATTCTATTCCTAGAGGTGATTATTGCCAATTACAAGTCAGTCTTTGCTAGCTTCCTAGGAAAAAAAAAGCAAAACTCCAGAGTTAGGAGTGAATGCACTCCTGACCTCTGTGCTGCCTTCTTTAAAAGAAAAAAGAAAGCAGATATAACTGGGAGATGGATAACGTGAGGAATCACCCCTGACATCGCAATGAGGTCATTCTGAAGGACACATCCTTTCCATGTGAACTCGAAGTTCTGCTTAATATTTTTTTCTTCCCTGACCAGACAACACGCAAGACAAGTAACAGATATCTACTCCCAAGTTTGGCATGCTAACGCCAGGATGCAGCTGCCTAAGATTACTCTGTGTTCTTGAGGGTTTTGAGCACAAGTTTAGTGTGGCTGTCGCTCAGAGGGTTGGATTCAGTACTGCCTGTGGATACCAATTGGCCCTGAGGAACCTGCAGATATAAAAGTCCGCCCTCTGTAGACGGGAGTTTTGCATGTATGAATACCGTATTTTCTTTTCTTTCTTTCTTTCTTTTTTTTTTTTTTTGAGGCAAGGCTTCACTCTGTCATCCAGGTTGGAGAGCGGTGGTGCAATCAGGTTCACTACAGCCTTGCCCTCCCAGGCTCAAGCAATCCTCCCATTTAGCCCCCTGAATAGCTGGGACTACAGGTGCATGCATCATGCCCGGCTAATTTTTAAGCTGTTTTATAGAGACAGGGTCTCACTATGTTATCCAGGCTGGTCTCAAACTTCTGAAACTTTTGGGGTCAAGCAATCCTCCCACCTCAGCCTCCCAAAGTTCTGGAATTACAGGGATGAGCTACCGTACCTGGCTGAATACCATATTTTCTATCTGCATTTGGTTATAGATGTGGAACCTGCTGATACGGAGGGCTGATTGTATTTACTGAAAAAAAAATTTACCTATAAGTGGACCCACGCAGTTCAAGCCCATGTTGTTCAAGGGTCAACTGTATATGAAAGTAACAGAGTCAAAGTAGAATTGTAAGGGGAAGGACAAAGACAGACAAGGAATAATACTCCTCAAGTTCTTATTGGTCTTTGTAAGTTTGCTGAGACGAGTCAGAGAGAATGTAACCTATAATTAGCTACATAGCCTTACTCATATTTATTATTCTCTGCAGACATTTTCCTTACGGAATCAGGAAAAGGTTACCCAGAATATTACAGAAAAGAGAACTGGTGGGGTGGGATGAAAAATAAAACATCAGTTGATACAAAGATGCCATTAAACGTACTTTTCTCAGATTTAATCTAATCTATTAAATACTTGTGTCATTTTTCCAGTGCTGCTGGGAACTTATACTATGCTAATAGTGTGCCTTTCAGAGGAAAATGCAAGATTTTTCTCAGTGCTTTTACACCCTATTTCTCATGCTATGGTTCACTTGGGCTTACTAAAAGACTCCTAATTTGACCTTTTTCTTTTCTAATTTAAACCTAGGCAGGGAAAGAAAAGTTCACTGAGTACCTCTTAGGCACCAGATACCCTACTAAGTATTTATCTACATCATTATCTTCATTATACTATTTTACAGATGGAGAAACTAAGGCTCAGTTTAGGTAACTTACCCAAGGCGGCTGTGTCAGTAAAGAGCAGATTGATTATTCAAGTCGGGATCTACTCGCAAATTAAGTATAATTCATGGTCTGATAAAGAGTCTTTCTGGAGCTGGGAGTGGTGGCACACGTCTGTAATCCCAGTACTTTAGGAGGCCAAGGCAGGAGGACTGCTTGAGGCCAGGAATTCAAGACCAGCCTGGGCAACATAGTGAGACCCGTTCTCTACAAATAATCAAAAAATTAGCTGGGCATGGGGCGCATGCCTGTAGTCCCAGCTACTCAGGAGGCTGAGGCACAAGAATCACTTGAACCTGGGAGGCAGAGGGTACAGTGAGCCGAGATGGCATCACTGTGCTCTAGCCTGGGCAACAGACCAAGACCCTGTTTCCAAAAAAAAAAAAAAAGTTTTTTCTGTTGACTGTATCCACCGCCCCCTTAACAAACAATAGATCATATGAGAGCTGCTGAATATTGGAAAATAGGTCAAGCAATCCTATATGATGGCTCATTTCAAAATTTCAGATGCTTTCTATAAGACCATGAAATTTTATCTCTTCTACAGACTCAAAGAAGACAGTTAAATTGAAGGAGAAATAGACCACAGTAATCATGGTTTTCAACTGTCTTCTATTATTTCAGAAGCTGAAAATAATCTACATTAATTTAGAAAATGAAAAGAAGTCTATTGGCTAGGCACAGCGGCTCATGCCTGTAACTCTGGCACTTTTGAGGGCTGAGGTAGGAAAACGGCTTGAGGCTAGTTTGAGACCAGCCTAGGCAACACAACAAGACTCTGTCTCCACAAAAAGTAACAACAAAAATAGCCAGGTGTGGTGACCAGTGCCTGTAGTCCCAGCTACTTGGGAGACTGAGTTAGGAGGTTCACTTGAGCCTGGGAGTTCAGGGCTGCAGTGAGCCATGATCCCCACTACACTCCAGCCTGCCTGACAGAGCAAGACCCCAAAGAAAGAAAAGAAATGGGCCGGTCACAGTGGCTCACGCCTATAATCCCAGCACTTTGGGAGGCCGAGGTTGGCGGATCACAAGCTCAGGAGTTCAAGACCAGCCATTGCCAAAATGGTGAAACCCCATCTCTACTAAAAATACAAAAATTAGCCAGGTGTGGTGGTGGGCGCCTGTAGTCCCAGCTACTCGGGAGGCTGAGGCAGGAGAATCGTTTGAACCCGGGAGGGAGTGGTTGCAGTTAGTCGAGATCATGCCACTACACTCCAGCCTGAGTGACAAGAGCAAGACTCTGTCTCAAAAAAAATAAAAAAGAAAGAAAAAAAAAGAAAAGAAAAGAAAGAAGGAAAAGAAATGGAAGGGAGGGAGGGAGGAAGGGAGGAGATAAGAAAACAAGCAAGCAAGAGGCCAGGTGCGGTGGCTCACGCCTGTAATCCCAGCACTCTGGAAGGCCAAGGTGGGCAGATCACCTAAGGTCAGGAGTTCAAGACCAGCCTGGCCAACATGGTGAAACCCCGTCTCTACTAAAAATACAAAAATTAGCCAGGCGTGGTGATGCACACCTATAATCCCAGCTACTCAGGAGGCTGAGACAGGAGAGTTGATTGAACCCGAGAGGCAAAGGTCGCAGTGAGCCGAGATCATGCCACTGTACTTCAGCCTGGGCAACAGCAAGACTCCGTCTCAAAAAAAAAAAAAAAAAATGCAAGCAGAAAGGAAGTAAAAGAAAAGAGAAGAAAAGAAGAAAGGAAAAGTAAATGAGCTTCTTGGAAAGAAATACACAGAAAAAAGGCCCTGGAATTTAAATAAGGCCTTGGAAGATCCATGTGGCTTCATTTGTAAAACTGGTGAGCTACTCAAGAAGTAATGAAGAAAGAGCACTTTAAATCACCATCAGGCCAGGCGTGGTGGCTCATGCCTGTAATCCCAGCACTGTGGGAGGCAGAGGTGGGCGGATCACTTGAGGCCAGTAGTTCAAGACCAGACTGCCCAATACGGTGAAACCCCAGCTCTACTAAAAAGAAAACACAAAAATTAGCCGAGTGCAGTAGTGCACGTCTGTGGCTTGAGCCTGGGAGGCAGAGGCTGCAGTGAGCCAAGACTCACTGCACTCCAGCCTGGGCAACAGAGCAAGACTGTCTGAAAAAAAAAGAAAAAAAAAATCACCATCAATTTCACAGGGTCTTGCAAAGAATGATTTTATAAGATAATTCTTTTTATACTGGTAAACAAGGATTTTGCAGCTAAAATATTCTACCAAATTAGTTTCCTGCCTTATTCCTTCTCTGAAAATTAATCACAATAAAGCTCCTCAATGAGTTACACTCAAAGGGTTTATTACTGTACTTTTAAGTTCAGCATTCTCTTTGGCTTGATAGAAGTCTACGTCCATGGTAACCAATGCATCCGCAGCAAGAGGAAACTTCTGTTTATAGCAGGATAGCATAGTGGGTGAGTGGGAATTCCAGCATATAAATTCCAGCCTCACAATGTATTTGTTGTGTGACCCCAAGTTAATTACCTAACACCACTAAAACTCGGTTTCTGTATTTGTAAAACAAGGATAACATTCTATTTTATAGTTTTGTTTTTTTTGTGAAGATTAAAAAGAGATGATCTACACAAAGTACTTAGTACAATGCCTTGCACATGGCCGGTGTTCAATGTTAGCCATTATATTAATATTTTTACTGAAGTGGAAATAAATAGTAGGCAAAACAAAAGGAAAGTAACAATGTTGAATATGAGTCACATTTATGTAAATGTAGCTGAAAGTAATAGCTACTAAATATTAATAGTTCCATCTGCAAGGCTAAATTTGAATATTAAAGTTGATGATATAAAGTATAGGCTATATACAACTTTTTTTTTGAGACAGAGTCTCACTTTTTATTTTATTTTATTTTACTTTATTTTATTTGAGACGGAGTCTCGCTCTGTTGCCCAGGCTGGAGTGCAGTGGTGCAATCTTAGGTCACTGCAACCTCTGCCCCAGGGTTCAAGTGATTCTCCTTCCCCAGTCTCCCGAGTAGCTGGGATTACAGGTGCCCACCACTACACCTGGCCCTTTTATTATATTATTATTTTTTTTTTTGTAGAGGCAGGGTCTCACTATGTTGCCCAGGCTGGTCTCAAACTCCTGGCCTCAAGTGATGCTCCTGGCTCAGCCTCCCAAAGTGCTGGGATTACATGTATGAGCCACTTTGCCTGGCAAGGGTCTCCTTTATGTTAAGGATGGCTTCCTCCTTTTACTTCCTCTCTGGGCTTTCCTTTCTATCTCCTTCTACACAAACAACTTTAACCATTTTTATATATAGGCCCCAAAACTATGCAAATATACATACATATTTTTTTCTCTTTTTAAAAACTCTTTTCTTTTTACCATACAAAGTCTATAACTCAAATGCAAATATACTAAGTACATCACAGAATCGTATCTACTAAACAGCTTGGTTTCAGGCCAGGCGCAGTGGCTCACATTTGTAATCCCAGCACTTTGGGAGGCCAAGGTGGGTGGATCACCTGAGGTCAGGAGTTTGAGACCAGACTGGCCAACATGGAAAAACCCCGTCTCTACTAAAAAATACCAAAGGCCGGGTATGGTGGCTCACGCCTGTAATCCTAGCACTTTGGGAGGCTGAGGAGGGCAGATCACTTGAGGTCATGGGTTCGAGACCAGCCTGGCCAACACGGCAAAACCCCGTCTCTACTAAAAATACAAAAATTAGCTGGGCGTGGTGGCATGTGCCTGTAATCCTAGCTACTTGGGAGGCTGAGGCAGGAAAATCACTTGAACCCAGGAGGCAGAGGTTGCAGTGAGTCGAGATTGTGCCACTGTACTCCAGCCTGGGCAACGGAGTGAGACACCATCTCAAAAAAAAAAAAAAAAAAATTAGCCAGGCGTGGTGGCGGGCACCTGTAATCCCAGCTACTCAGGAGGCTAAGGCAGGAGAATCACTTGAACCCGGGAGGCGGAGGTTGCAGTTAGCCGAGATCGCACCGCTGCACTCCAGCCTCAGCGACAGAGCGAGACTCCATCTTAAAAAACAACACGAAAAAACAAAACAAACAAAAATCAGCTTGGTTTCAAAGTACACTGAAGCACAAGATTCAAGACAGAAATCATATTAACAAATGGGAAAGTCCCACTAAAAATCAGGAACCAAAAAGAAAACCAAAATTACATTTTCAGGCCTATAGTCCCAGCTACTCAGGAAGCTGAGGCAGGAGGATCACCTGAGCCCAGGAGTTTAAATGTAACCTGGGCAACATAGCAAGACCCTGACTCTAATTACAAAAAAAATTAAACTTCAGTTTTACAGAAGCACCTATGGTAACTTAATTGCTTGATGTCCAACGCCTGGTCTTCAAGTCCCTGTCAAATTAGGAACTTCCACAATTCTACTCTAAGTGACCCAGGAGTAATACTGGGGAGGTAGATGTAGGTTTGATTGTAATCAATTTTATTAACCCTATCAATGAGAATGGTTATGTGAACAGAAAGGGGACGTTCTATGTGAAAGATAAGAACGGGGCTCAAGAGCCAGAAGCTGGCAATCTACCCAGGAAGAGACAATGTGGCAGGCATAAGTGTGGTATCTGCCAGGGAGATACCAAGTACGGGGTGAGATTAATTGGCAAGGATTCACCCTGCCTGAATGAAATATTCACCGAAACCATCCACATAGTTTAGCTCTGATTAAGTTCACTTAGATGCTTTATTTATTTATTTATTTATTTAGGTAGATATAGGGTGGCTCACTATGTTGCCCAGGCTGGTCTTGAACTCCTGGCCTCAAGCAATCCTTCTGTCTTGGACTCCCAAAATGCCAGAAGGCGTGAGACACCACACCCAGCCACTTTGATGCTTTCTGGTTAGTTTTTCAAATATTCCGATATTAAGAGTCAGAAGCTACAGACAGCGAATATAAGCACTCTGCCGGGCGCAGTGGCTCATGCCTGTAATCCCAGCACTTTGGGAGGCTGAGGCAGGCGGATCACGAGGTCAGGAGATCGAGACCATCCTGGCTAACAAGGTGAAACCGTCTCTACTAAAAAACAGAAAATTAGCCGGGCGTGGTAGTGGGCGCCTGTAGTCCCAGCTACTCAGGAGGCTGAGGCAGGAGAATGGCGTGAACCTGGGAGGCAGAGCTTGCAGTCAGCCAAGATCGCGCCACTGCACTCCAGCCTAGGCGACAGAGCGAGACTCCGTCTCAAAAAAAAAAAAAAAAAAAGAGAGAATATAAGCACTCACGTCCCTGGAAAGGATACCCCCAACAGAAAAGAGTGGCATTCTTGCTTATACAAAAGACAACATAGTATAGTAGTTATGTGCCCAATATCTGAAGGCATAATGGTTTCAAATCCTGATTACTGTTAACTTTTCTGTGCTTCAGTTTCCTCATTAAATGAGAATAATGCTTACTTTAAGTGTTGTTACATGGATTGAGCTAATTCAAGCACAGTATTTAGAGCAGTGCCTGGCACACAGTGCTCAATAAAACTATTATAACTTTTCATAATAATTATGAAATATCTCTCGTGATTTTGGCCAGGCATGATGGCTCATGCTTACAATCTCAGCACATTAGGAGGCCAAAGCAAAAGGATTGCTTAAAGCCAGGAGTTTGAGACCAGCCTGGGTAGTAAAGCAAGTCCCCCATCTCTACACAAAATTAAACAACAAAAAAAAAATCAGCCAGGCCTGGTGGCGTGCACCTGTAGTCCCAGCTACTCAGGAGGCTGAAGCAGGGGGATCACTTGAGCTCAGCAGTTTGAGGCTGCAGCGAGCTATGATCATGCCATTGCACCCCAGCCTTGGTGACACAGCAAGACTGTCTTAAAAAACAAACAAACAAAAAAACACAAACACCCTGATTCTCATTTGTGTGGGTCAAAATCCAAGTATGATCAAGTCCAAAAAATTATGATTTTAAATTAAATTATCAAAAAGGAAGAAAAAGCCACAATGTAAGGCTTCAGTGGTGAGGCAGGAATATAATGTGTGTGTGTATGTATGGAGGGCAGGGGATGGCTTTCAAGACAGAACACATATTGTGAAGAGCTTTGTATACTATACCAAGAAGTTTGAAATTTATTTTGCTATGCTGCCTAGGTTGGTCTTGAACTCCTGACCTCAACTGATGCTCCTACTTCAGCCTCCCAGGTAGCTGGGACTACAGACACACCACCACACCTGGCTTGAGTTTTATAAGTATTGAAAGGCCATCGAAAGTAATTTCAATTTCCAAAACACTGTCAAAATAAATTTAAACAAACTTTACATCTAAGTTACAGAACTTACAGAAAGCAACAAGAAGAGAGAATTCTGGAAAAACATAGGAATCAGTGATTTAAATACTTTAGTAGCAATACAACCTAAATTGAAACCCAAACCAAAATGTCAGTGAATCTAAATGAATACAAATGGGCTTCTTCTACTCTTACTATTTAAAAAAACACAGTACATTTTGTTTCCTGGCTCCATAATCCACTTCCTCTAATTGTTAGAGGCACTGGATCCTTCTGTTTCAAGTTTCTACCTATCACAGCAAAGAAAAAGAGCAGTCCTGGCCGGGTGAGGTGGCTCATGCCTGTAATCCCAGCACTTTGGGAGGTCAACGCAGGCAGATCATCTGAGGTCAGGAGTTTGAGACCAGCCTGGCTAACATGGTGAAACCTCGTTTCTCCTAAAAACACAAAAAATTAGCCAGGCGTGGTGGCGCATGCCTGTAATCCCAGCTACTCAGGAGGCTGAGGCAGGAGAATCACTTGAACCCAGGAGGCAGAGGTTGCGGTGAGCCGAGATCACACCATTGCACTCCAGCTTGGGCAACAAGAGTAATACTCTGTCTCAAAAAAAAAAAAAAAAGGGAAAAGAAAAGAGCAGTCCTTGTCATCTGCCCGTCTGTCAACCTACAGATCTGGAAACAAAATATAGTAATGGAATAAAAAGTTCAGCACTCTTGGAGATAAGCAACATTATAATATTATACATGCTAATATATACACAATGTGGAGTACAAACATAGCTCAAAAACAGATGTCCAGAGTGTTGCAGATAAAGGAACCAAATTGGGGCGGGGGCGGGGGAAAGCCTGAATTCAGGGAAAAAAAAAGGCAGCTGATATCAAAGAGCAAACATCCTCTTTTTCCTTTTTGTTATTTTAATCTACAGGAGCCTTGACCTCCCAGGCTCAAGCGATCCTCCACCTCAGCCTTCTGAGTAGCTGGGACCACAGGCACTGGGCACCAGGTCCAGCTAGTTTTTTAAAAAATTTTTGTAGAGACAGTCTTGGCATGTTGCCCAGGCTGGTCTCAAACTCCTGGGCTCAAGCGATCCTCCTGCCTCAGACTCTCAAAGTGCTGGAATTACAGGCATGAACCACCGCCCGGCCCTAATCTACTTTCATCTGGTGGAACCAGTAAACTTTGCTAGAATTGTGTTATGATAATGAACATCATCATAGAGATCACAGAATTTTCAAGCCCATAAGCTTTAGTTCAATCTTCATTTTAAAAATGAGCTGATTAGGCCCAAAGCAGTATCTTCCAAAGTGCTGAGCAAGAATATGATTTTAACTGTTACATATGAAAGAGTTATATATTTAATAGTTATGTATTTATTATAATGGATGCTAAAAAAGCTATAAAATACATAAAAACCATGATTTCACAGATTATCACTTTGGAAGTGGGCAATGTTTTTTTAAAAAACCCATTAAACATGAAGTAAAATAACAACAGTACTCTAAATGGCAAAAATTATGATGGTGGTATGACTCATAGGTGAAGACTCCACAGCTGTCCCATGAGTACAGGCCTGTTTTTGTTTACTTTCTTTCTGGTTCTAGGTTGTGTTCTAAATGATTAGAAAAGATGTGACCTTAGACCGGGCGCGGTGGCTCACGCCTGTAATCCCAACACTTTGGGAGGCTGAGGCGAGCGGATCACCTGAGGTCGGGAGCTCGAGACCAGCCTCACTAACATGGAGAAACCCCGTCCGTCTCTACTAAAAATATAAAATTAGCCAGGTATGGTGGCGCCTGCCTGTAATCCCAGCTACTCGGGAGGCTGAGGCAGGAGAATCGCTTGAACCCGGGAGGTGGAGATTGAGGTGACCCTAGATCAAGATATTGTACTCCAGCCTGGGCAACAAGAGTGAAACTCTGTCAAAAAAAAAAAAAAAGATGTGACCTTTAGTTAAGTGGGCTTGTGTGTATTGTACCTAAGTTCATTCAGTGTACAAGAAACAAATATCAAGATACATATAGGAATTCCACTGTTTATTTGGCACAGTAAGACATCCTTATGCTGGAACTATGATAACACTAACTTTCTAGTGCATAAACACATACTACAAGCACCTAAAGTAAAACCTAGCCTGAGACAAATATTCAAGCTGCAGGCTAAGTGATATGATCACTTAAATTACTTTCACATGACCTGTCAAAGGAGTATGGCAATGTAAGGTGTTTCTCTTATTTGCTAATATTTCTTTCTTTTCCTGAGATCACTCAGATCACTGGATCACTGAGCTGAGACCACCAAGTAATTTATAAAGCAAAGAGAAGAAATTTAAGCCAGCTGTAGAAATTTGCGTTAAGTAACAAGGAGCTGAATGTTAATCACCAAAACAATGGGAAAAATGTCTCCAGGGCATATCAGAGATCTTCATGGCAGCCCCTCCCATCACAAGACCTGAGGCCTAGGAAGAAAAAATGGTTTCGTGGGCAGCCTCAGAACTTGGGGCCCTGAGTCCCAGCTGCTCCAGCTCCTGGCTAAAAGGGGTCAAGGTACAGCTTGGGCTGTTGCTTCAGAGGGTGCAAGCCCCAAACCTTGGTAGCTTCCACGTGGTAGCTGGGCCTGCAGGTGCACAGAAGTCAAGAATTGAGGTTTGGGAACCTCTGTCTAGATTTCAGAGGATGTACGGAAATGCCTGGATGTCCAGGCCAAAGTCTGCTGCAGTGGAAGAGACCTCATGGAGAACCTCTGCTAGGGCACTGCAGAAAGGAAACGTGGGATTGGACACCGCCCACCCCCCAGAATCCCCACTGGGGCACTGCCTAGTGGAGCTGTGAGAAGAGGGCCACCATTCTCCAGACTCCAGAATGGCAGGTCTACAAACAGCTTGCACTATGAACCTGGAAAAGCCTCAGGCACTCAATGCCAGCCCAGCAGAGCAGCCTCTGGGCCTGAACCCTGCAAAGCCACAGGGTCAGAACTGCTCAAGGCCTTGGGAGCCCACCCTTGGCATCAGCGTGCCCTAGATGTGAGACATGGAGTCTAAGGAGATTAAAATAAGTTTTAAGACGTAATGGCTGTCCCACTGGATTTTGGACTTGCATAGGGCCGGTAGCCCCTTTGTTTTGGCCAATTTCTCCCATTTGGAATGGGAGCATTTACCAATGCCTATTCCCCCATAGCATCTTTAGAAGTAACTAACTTGCTTTTGATTTTACAGGCTCCTAGGCAAAAGGGACTTGCCTTGTCTCAGATGAGACTTTGGACTTGGACTTTTGGGTTAATACTGGAATGAGTTAAGATTTTGGAGGCCTGTTGGGAAGGCATGATTGTGTTTTGAACTGTGAGGACATGAGATTTGAAAGGGGCCAGGGAATCTGGGCGTGGTGGCTCATGCCTGTAATCCCAGCACCTTGGGAAGATGAGGTGGGTGGATCATGAGGTCAGGCGTTTGAGACCAGCCTGGCCAATAGAGTGAAACCCCGTCTCTACTAAAAAATGCAAAAATTAGCCAGGCGCGGTGGCTCACGCCTGTAATCCCAGCACTTTGGGAGGCGGAGGCCGGTGGATAACCTGAGGTCAGGAGTTTGAGACCAGCCTGGCCAACATGGCAAAACCCCATCTCTACTAAAAATACAAAAATTAGCCAGGCCTGGTGGCAGGTGCCTGTAATCCCAGCTACTTGGGACGTTGAGGCAGAAGAATTGCTTGACCCTGGGAGGCGGAGGTCGCAGTGAGCCAAGATCGCGCCACTGCACTCCAGCCTGAGCGACAGAGCAAGACCCCATCTCAAAAAAAAAAAAAAAAAAAAAATTAGCCAGGTTTGGTGGCACACATTTGTAGTCTCAGCTACTCAGGAGTGTGAGGGAGGAGAATCGCTTGAAGTGTTGGAGGTTGTAGTAAGCCAAGATCGCGCCACTGCACTCCAGCCTGGGTGACAGAGTGTGAGACTCCATCTCAAAAAAAAAAAAAAAGAAAGAAAGAAAGAAAGGGGCCAGGGGCAGAATGATACAGTTTGGCTATTCATAATCTCATCTCGAATCTGGTGAGAGGTGATTGGATTATGGGGGTGGTTTCCCCCATGCTGTTCTCATGATACTGGTTTTATAAGGGGCTTTTTCCCCTTCACTGTCTCTCTCCTGCCATCCTGTGAAGAAGGTGCTTGGCTTCTCCTTTGCTTTCCACCATGATTATAAGTTTCCTGAGGCCTCCCCAGCCATGCAGAACTGAGAGTCAATTAAACTTCCTTCCTTTATAAATTACCCAGTCTCGAGTATTTCTTTTGCTTTTTGTTTTTTTTTGAGTTGGAGCCTGACTCTGTCTCCCAGGCTGAAGCTCAGTGGCACGATCTCGGTTCACTGCAACCTCTGTTTCCCAGGTTCAAGTGATTCTCCTGCCTCAGCCTCCGGAGTAGCTGGGATTACAAGCATATACCACCACGCCTGGCTAATTTTTGTATTTTTAGTAGAGATGGGATTTCATCATGTTGGCCAGGCTGGTCTCGAACTCCTGATCTCATATGATCCTCTCTCCTCGACCTCCCAAAGTGCTGGGATTACAGGCGTTAGCCACCAAGCCCGGCCTTGGGTACTTCTTTATAGCAGTGTGAGAACGCACTAATACAGACCCCATTCCAGGAGATGACAAATAGCAAAAGGCAAAATGATACTCCCTTCTTGACTTTTTTTTCCTCTCCCACTTTTATGTCTTTACGTTTCCTCCTACCATCAACTGCCTTTCCTAACATTGTGGTGACTGATTAAAGAAGAAAAAAAGGACGAGATGAAACTACACTTTACAGTACTTTTTCCCCCCACCACTCCAATCCCGAATTGTGAAATTCATTCTTTTCCTGATCCTCTAATTTGTGCAGTAATGCCGCGAGGTAAGGCTGAACCTTTCTAGAGAGCAAGGGCTATCCAATACCAGGAACCTCAGAGTCCTTCCTCAAGCCATTATCTCAGAGCTATCTGATCACTGTGGTCACCATACAGGCAGTCTATTAATGTCAACTACAGCAACACAGTAAGGGTGAGGGGCGGAAAGTGATCTCTGTTTAATTTCGAGGAAGGGTCCAGAGAATTACCATCCAGCTACCCTTCCTCCACTGGTCCCTCGATGTTCTCCCGGCACCTCCCGTCCTCTCTCCGGGCCCATCTGCCGAGTAAGGGCCAGAGAGCCCCCTCCTCCGCTTAAGCCCGACCCCACCAACTTTTCAACCAATACGATACACTCTTTCTTCTCAGGACATAGTCTCAGACTTCATCCCGGCCAGCTCCCTCCGTCCCACTCCTGGAGACTCACCAAGCGGGCGAGGCCACTCCTCTCCGGCGGCAACTCGGACACCCCAACACCGGACCTGGCGCTGCACCCTAGTCGCGCCTGCGCGCGCCGAGCCCGCGCGCCTGCTCACTTCCCGTTCGCCGCGGACACAGACACACCCCTGCAGCTGGAGCCAATCACGGTGCTGGGGGTTTAAATGTCCCTGCCACGCAGACGGAGAGTCTGGGAATTCACTAGTTAACCGGATAGATTTCAGTCCTGCCCGAAGCTGGGAGGTGTTCATGCAATAAACATTTACTGAGGGCAAACCGTATGCCAGGCACTGTGCTGGATGAACGCTGAAGAAAAGAAAGCGAATACAGTGCTTTCCCTGCTCTTCATCGCCTTTCAATATGTCTAGACTAAGATATAGATATGTAAACAAATTATAGTGGATAGAATACAGTGCATAGCACATAGAAAATTTGAGGCGCCTTTGGCTGATAATGAACAAAGCGTTTTATTCTTAGGGGTGTCTGGAAGGGTTCCCGGAGGAAGTGACTTGAGTCATGAAGGATAAGTAGGAGTTCCCCCGGAAATCCGGCAGAGAAAGAGCTAGAGTTTTCCAGGCTCTGGGGAACAGCTTATGTCGAGAACAGCATAACGCCTTCTGGAAATTTCTAGTAGTTCATCCTTGTTAGAGGCTTAGTGCTAATCGTACATCCCCGAGTGTAGAGGAAAGAAAGCTTTAGAAGGCCAACAATCGCTAGATCTTGGAAGGCCTTGGAATTTTAGACCACTTTGTACTAGGGGCACTGAAAGCTATTGAAGAGTTTTAAGCAGATGGAGGATTATTGTAAACTATTTGCTGCAGGAACCCCTCCATGCACCTCTAAGAATAAAATAAACTGCTGGAAATCAAGAAAAGAAAGTGCTTCACCAGGCACAGTGGCTCACGCCTGTAATCAATCCCAGCACTTTGGGAGGCTGAAGCGGGCAGATCACGAGGTCAGGAGTTCCAGACCAGCCTGGCCAACATAGAGAAACCCCATCTCTACTAAAAATACAAAAAATTAGCCGGGCATGGTGGCAGGCGCCTGTAATCCCAGCTAGTCGGGAGGCTGAGGCAGGAGAATCGCTTGAACCTGGGAGGCGGAGGTTGCAGTGGGCCAAGATCATGCCATTGCACTCCAGGCTGGGCAACGAGAGTGAAATTCCGTCCCCCCTACAAAAAAAAAAAAAAAAGAAAGAAAAAATAGCTGGGTGTGGTGGCGGGTGTCTGTAATCCCAGCTACATTACTATCATAATGTCTATCACTGGCGACAGTGCCAGACTCCATCTCAAAAAAAAAAAAAAAAAGTGCTTCAAGGAGTAAGTAGTCTATTCCTAAGGGATCAAGGAAGATGAAGCCTGAGAAATGTTTTTTTTAATTTCATAACACAGAGGTCACTGATTATCTCAGTGAAAGCTGTTTGTTGGAATGCTGGGGTTGAAAAAAACAACTTAGTAGTTTGGAGGTGGGGGAGATGTAGAGATGGGGACAAGTTGTAGAATGCTTTTGGAAAGTTTGGCCTTGACAGGGAGGAAGGAGGGAGAATGATGAAGGATCAAGATTTTTTGTTTTTGTTTTTTTGATTTTTGTTAGAATTAAGACAGGAGAAACTTGAGCATGGTAGGGAAGATTCAACTGAGAAAAAAATGGTTGAATAAAGGAAGAGAAGGGATAGTCAGTAGGCAAAGATCTTGAAAGGGTAAGAATAGAGGCAGTTTAGAGGCAGTTCGAAACACTGGTAAGAATAATGGTTTTGGAAGAGGGCAGGGAGGGAGAAAGAGAGAGAGAGGAGATATTTCCCCAATTATGAGAGGAAGTATGTTTCTGTATGTTTAGTAACAGGAAGTTAAAGTTCTCATTTGCTGACTTGTTTTCTCTGTGAAGTTGAAGATGGGGTCATCTTCTGATAGAAAAGGAGGTGGTATTGGGAGTTTAAAGGAAAGCTGAGAAGATTTGGAATATTGTAGAAAGTAATACAACAAGTTGACAGAAGAATGTTGTAGGACTGGTAAGCAATATTGAGGGCCTTTTTAATATGGGCAAAAATGAACTCACCATTTTCTGCCCTCCTGTGTAAATTTCTCAAGCAGCAGTCACTTGTTGAGGGCAGAGGTGGAGAAAATGTATGGTTGAGTTCATTAGTTCATTTAGGGTTGTGATGGTCATTGATATAATTCCGTGGTTCTCAACCAGGGACGATTTTGTCCTCCGGGGGATATTTGGCAATGTCTGGAGATGCTTTATTGTGATGACAGGGAAACGGGGGTGGGTACTACTAGCATCGTGTCCAACAGTGCTGCTAAACATACATACACACACACGCACACACATATATGTATATATATATAGAGAGAGAGAGAGAGAGAGAGAAGGTCTTGCTCTGTTGCTCAGGCTGGAGTGCAATGGTGTGATGTCAGCTCACTGCAACCTCTACCTTTGCAGCTCAAATCCTCCCACCTCAGCCTCCTGAGTAGCTGGGACTACAGGTGTGCACCACCACTGCCGGCTAATTTCTGCATTTTTTGTAGAGACACGGTTTCACCATGTCACCCAGGCTGGTCTCAAACTCCTGGACTCAAGCGATCTGCCTCCCTTGACCTCCCAAAGTTATAGGATTACATGTGTGAGCCACTGCTCCCAGTCTGCTGCTAAACATCTTATAATGCACAGGATACCCCTGACAAAAAAGTATATGTTCCAAAATGTCAGTAATCCCAAAGTTGAGAAACCATAATCTAGCGTTACCTTGGCACTCACCAATATCTGACTGTGGTCTTCTACAGGCTTTTCCCTGAATGATGGCCCAGAGTTTATAGGGTAAAATAGTTCCTCCATTGCATGCCTTTGAAGGAGAATAGAATGAGCAGCGTACCACAACCCTTGAGTGTTTCAAGGACTTGTGATGTCACAAACACGGAATTGGAAGTTTCCTAAACCTCTAGAACAAATCTGGATTTACATAGAAGAGGTTAATATAGCCGCTTCCTTTCTTTTTTCTCTCTCTTTTTTTTTTTTTTTTTTTTTTTGAGACGCAGTCTCGCTCTGTCGCTAGGCTGGAGTGCAGGGGCGAGGTCTCGGCTCACTGCAACCTCCGACTCCCGGGTTCAAGCGATTCTCCTTCCTCAGCCTTCCGAGTAGCTGGGACTACAGGCACGCACCACCACGCCCAGCTAATTTTTGTGTTTTTAGTAGAGAAGGGGTTTCACCATGTTGGCCAGGATGGTCTCGATCTCTGGACCTCATGATCTGCCCACCTCGTCCTCCCAAAGTGCTGGGATTACAGGCGTGAGCCACTGTGCCCCACCGCTGCTTACTTTTATTTGAGACGTTGAAGGTCTTGTTAAACAGAGATGTTATAATCTCAATAATATAGGAGGGACACTCCACATAATTATCAACCTGAATGTCATTTCATTTATCTGATAGTCTTAGTCACTAAAATTAGGTTTCTGAGGGAATGGGTATGGGCTAAGTTTAATAATAAATATAGGCGGCCGGGCGCGGTGGCTCACACCTGTAATACCAGCACTTAGGGAAGCCGAGGTGGGCGGATCATTTGAAGTCAGGAGTTTGAGACCTGCCTGGCCAATATGGCGAAACCCCATCTCTACTAAAAATACAAAAATTAGTTGGGCGTGGTAGTGCACGTCTGTAATTCCAGCTACTTGGGAGGCTGAGGCAGGATTATCGCTTGAACCCGGAAGGTGGAGGTTGCAGTGAACCAAGAGAGCGGTTCTGCACTACAGCCTGAACGACAGAGCAAGACTCCATCTCAAAATAACTAACTAACTAACTAACTAAATAAATAAATAATAAATGTAGGCTGGGCGCGGTGGCTGACACCTGCAATCCCAGAACTTTGGAAGGCCAAGGCAGGCAGATCACTTGAGCCGAGGAGTTTGAGACCAGCCTGGGCAACATGGTGAAACCCCGTCTCTACTTAAAAAATATTATAAATACCTTAGGCATGAGTAAGAATAAAGTCAGTATTATGGAATGTCTGCTCTGTGATAGGCAGCATTCATAGATAAACACTTGACCTATGTTATTTAATCCTAGCAACACCCTGTGAGATAACATTATCCTAATTTTAACTCAAGAACCTGAGGTTCCAAGAAGAATTGTAATTTACCCAAAGTCACAAATTATTCGTAGCTAGTCCAAGATCTGAAACTCAGGTCTGGCTGTTCTAAAGCTCTTGCACCTTCCATTCAACTTCAGAAAGTTTTACAAGGAAGGAGTGTTTTCAAAATGTAGCCCGAACAGTTGCCACTGACTAAAGGAAATGGCGGGACACCAAGGAAGAGAGTAGGAGCTACAGGGAGGCCGGGAAAGAACAAGGAGAAACAAGGAGAATGAAAAAGGGACCAGGGAGGCTGTTCATAGCGTCCAACGCTGCGTACTGACTCTCCCGCAAGCGGGCCTGCCTTTGTTCTTCCTCCATTCTTTTTGAGAAAAACCTCTTCCTGTGTGTCCGTTGTTCACTCTCTTGTGTTCAAATAAAGCTAGATTATTGAGAACTGCGGACGGCAAAGGAAAAAAAAGCGAGCGTGACGGCTTCGGTGTGCGCCTGCGCGTTGGCGGCGGCTGTGGCGGGGCCCGGCGGGGAGCGGGTCCGGAGCAGGCTCCCGGACCCAAAACTGAAGGGGGCGTCTGAGGCGTCAGGGAGCTCCCTCGCCTGGCTCTCGGCGGCCTGATGGAGTAAGAGGGGTTGGCTGTGAATGTGAGTATCGACGGGCCGGCCTGCGTTGAGCGTATCGGAGCCCAAGGGTCCTGGTCGTCTGCCCCTTAGGGAGGTTGTGGGGCTGCAAGACACCACCGGGTTTCTACTCCTGCAGGCTGCGGCTCAGGGGCAACCTGGTGGTCCACTCTCCCAGAGCCGGCGCGGGTTTATGGGCAGGCGGTGCTGCTGGCTTCGGGGTACGGATTTTCGCGGGGGCGTTCCAGCTCTGCTCCCAGCCCCAGAAGGAAACGTGGCTCCAAAGCCTTGACCTTTAGGGGAAGCCACTGACCTCCTTCGTCCCCAGTTGGGCAGGGAGTCCAAAGACCCTGGTCCTTAAAGCCCGTAGGTCTCAGGCCAGGGACACATTTCAACCTCTCGCGACTGACAACCTCCGTTCTTTTTCCTCCTTTCGTTTCTCTCCTTGTGGGATGCGTCTTGATAATAACAACTAATAACAAATAGTAACAACAGCTTACTGTGTCCGTTTAATATTTAGTCCGAATCTCGGTGTATAATTGTGGAGAGGAAATGCTTTACATCCTCTTCCCCTTTCAATTTGTTGTGTAATCATCTTTGAGAGTAAGATTAAGGCATCTTATTGAGAAGTTTGAGATATCCGTGGCTTTTAGCAACTTGAGACTGTCATCCTAGGTAAGCGAAGTTCTCTTACCTAGCAAATAAGTGCTGTATCCACCATAATGGTTTATATCCAGTTTATTCAAAGCACAAATAACTTCTTTTTTTTTTTTTGAGACAAAGTTTCGCTCTTGTTGCCAGGCTGGGGTGCAGTGGCGCGATCTTAGCTCACTGCAACCTCCGCCTCCTGGATTCAAGCAATTCTCCTGCCTCAGCCTACCCAGTAGCTGGGATTACAGGCACCCACCACCATACCTGGCTAATTTTTTGTATTTTTATTTATTTTTATTATTATTATTTTTTTTAGGACGGAGTTTCGCTCTTTCGCCCAGGCTGGAGTGCAGTGGCGGGATCTTGGCTCACTGCAACCTCCGCCTTCCAGTTTCAAGAGATTCTCCTGCCTCAGCCTCCCGAGTAGCTGGGATTGCAGGCGTGCACCACCACCACGCCCGGCTAATTTTTGTATTTTTAGTAGAGACGAGGTCTCACCATGTTGGCCAGGCTAGTCTCCAACTCCTGACCTTAGGTGATCCACCCACCTTGGCCTCTGAAAGTGCTGGGATTACAGGCTTGAGCCACCACGCCCGGCCCACAGATAACTTTTGAGTGCTTATTAAGAGCTTAGTACTGTTGTAAATAGCATGGGAAATCTTAAAATTTGCTTTAAGCCCCGTTCTCAAGTTTGGTCGTGAATGAAATAATGAAAGACAATTTTCAGATGCAACTAGAATTTATTTAGTATCTACTACACATTTGCCAATACCGCGCCATGCCTAGAGTTAACTCTTGAGTCTAGAAGATAGTAGGAGCCCTTTAATTAGAAATACTAGATGGTTTTCGAGGAGAACTTTAAAATGGCCTGGAAGGGGCCAGGCGCGATGGCTCACGCCTGTAATCCCAGCACTCTGGGAGGCCGAGGCGGGCGGATCACCTGAGGTCAGGAGTTTGAGACCAGGCTGACCGACATGGAGAAACACCGTCTCTACTAGAAATACAAAATTAGCTGGGCATGATGGCACATGCCTGTAATTCCAGCTACTTGGGAGGCTGAGGCAGGAGAATCGCTTGAACCTGGGAGGCGGAGGTTGCAGTGAGCCAGGATTGTGCCATTGTACTCCAAAAACGAAACTCCATCTCAAAAAAAAAAAATTAAAAAATAATAAAAAATGGCCTGGCAGGAGGTAGAGGGTGTGAACGAATCTGATCAGGCTAGTTCAGAACCTATTGTGTGTGTGTGTGTGTGTGTGTGTTGTTTTTTTTTTTTTTTAGAGAGAGCCTTGCTTTGTCGCCCAGGCTGGAGTGCAGTGGCGCAATCCCAGCTCACTGCAACCTCCGCTTCTTGGGTTCAGGTGATTCTCCTGCCTCAGCCTCCCGAGTAGCTGGGATTACAGGTGCCCACCACCATGCCTGGCTAACGTTTTGTATTTTTAATAGAGACGGGGTTTCACCATGTTGGCTGGGCTGGTCTTGAACTCCTGACCTTAGGTGATCCACCCACCTCAGCCTCCCAAATTGCTGGGATTACAGGTGTGAGCCACAGTGCCCGGCCTCAATTGTTTTGATTAAAAGGAAGATATTTAAAAAGGAAAGACTATGAATAGTGATTATTGTACATCTAGATTAGTGCACGTGTAGTCTGAAGGCTGCTCTACAAGAGTTGAGAGGAATGGAAGATGCTAGACGACTTGGTTCTGGGACCAGGAATGGCTCAGTGAGAAGTCTATGTATTGTGTGTTTTGTAATTGGGAGTATCTTAGTGGAGAGTTTAGGATTAATTTCTGTACCCAATGAATAAGAGCACCTGGGCAGACAAGTTACATATGAATGCTCTACTTGGACCTCTAGCATGTGAAATCACTAGTGGAAACTCTACAGTCGAGTGTGTGTGTGTGTGTGCATGTTTGTGCATGTTTTAATCTGAAAGAAACTATCAAGAAGCTCCCAGGTCTTCATCAGTGAAGGATTGGTTAAATAAATGTATGAATTTGCTAGAAAGAATGAGCCAGCTCTATATGTGCTAATATTGAGTGACCTCCCATATAGTGAGAAAGAAAAGGTGCAAAAGAGGGTGTGCATTTTGCAACCACTGTGGTTTTATAAAAATATTATGTATTGCATATACAATTGTTCCTCCATATCCGTCCATGGGTTCTGCATCCATGGATTCTACCAACTTTGGATGGATAATATTTGGGGAAAAAAAATTCACAAATTTCTGAAAAGCAAAACTTGAATTTGCTACGTGCTGAGTACATACTACATTGCATCCACATAAATGAAGTTATGTGTAGGCATTGTATTAGGTCTTACATGTAATCTAGAGATGATTTAAAGTATACGGAAGGTATGTGTAGGTTACATGCATATACTGTGCCATTTCATATAAGGGTCTTTAACATTCTCAGATTTTGGTATTGAGGGGGATCCTGGAACCAATCCCCCATGGATATCGAGGGACAACCATATATGCATAGAATATCCTCTGTGGAGGATAGTCAAAATCATAGAGACAGAAAGTAGAATGGTGGTTGCTAGGGGTTGAGGGAGGGGGAAATGAGTTATTGTTTAATGGATATAAAGTTTCAGTTATGCAAGATGCAAGTAGTTATGGAGACGGATGGTAGTGTTGGTTGTACAACATTATGAATGTATTTAATACCACTAAACTACACTTAAATGGTTAAGATGGTAAATTTTATGTTTTGTATTTTCATGCAAAAAAATTGAAAAATATCTCTGGAAAACAAATAAGAAACTCACAAGAGTGGCTGACTGGAAGTGGCGGTGGCTAGGAAACAGGAGGGGGTAGTAATAGTTTTTCCTAAAAGCTTTTTTTTTTTTTTTTTTTTTTTTGAGACAGGGTCTTGCTCAGTCACCTAGGCTGAAGTACAGTGGCATGATCATGGCTCACTACACCCTCAAACTCCTTGGCCCCAGCAATCCTCTTCCCACCTCAGCCTTCTTAGTAGCTGGGACTACAGGTGCGTGCCACCATGCCCAGCTAATTAATAAATTTTTTGTGTGTGTGAAGAGGAGGTCTCACTGTGTCACCCAGAATGGTGTTGAACTCCTGGCCTCAAGTGATTCTGTTGCCTCAGCCTCCCAAAGTGCTAGGATTATAAGTGTGCTGCCACTGCATCCAGGCCATATTTTCCCTATAAGCTTTTTTATTTTATTTTATTTTATTTTTTTAAAGATGGAGTTTCACTCTTGTTGCCCAGGCTGGAGTGCGATGGCACGATCTCTGCTCACTGCAACCTCTGCCTCCCAGGTTCAAGCGATTCTTCTGCCTCAGCCTCCCGAGTAGCTGGGATTACAGGCACCTGCCACCATGCCTGGCTAATTTTTTGTATTTTTAGTAGAGATGGGGTTTCACTATGTTGGCCAGGCTGGTCTCAAATGCCTGACCTGGTGATCCCCCCACCTCAGCCTCCCAAAGTGCTGGGATTACAGGCGTGAGCCACTGTGCCTGGCCAAAAAAATTAATTTTTTAATTGGCAATAAAATATATGTATTTATTGTGTACAATATGGTGCCTTGACATATATATATATAACAAGTCCTCACTTAACATCAATAGGATCTTGGAAACTGTGACTCTAAGCAAAACAGCATAATAACAAAACTAATTTTGCCACAGGTTAATTGATATAAAAAAGAGTTAAGTTCCTATGGCATATTTCTGGTCACAAGAACATCACCAAACTTCTAAATGAAGACCCCAAACACTTCTAATACTAAACATTGAAATAAATGTGAGCTATACGTAGATGTAAAAAAGAGTAGCTTGGGCATGGTGGCTCATACCTGTAATCCTAGCACTTTGGGAGGCCAAGGTGGAGGACACTTGAAACTGGGAGTTCAAGATCAGCCTGGGCTTCAAAGCGAGACCCTGTCTCTACAAAAAATTTTAAAAATTGACCAAGTATAGTAGCGTATACCTGTAATCCCAGCTACTTGGGAGGCTGAGGTGGAAGGATCACTTGAGCCCAGGAGTTCAAAGCTGCAGTGAGCTATGATCATGCCCCTGCACTCTACCCCAGGTGATAGAACAAACCCCTGTCTCTGGAAGAAAAAAAAAAGAAGGGCTGGGCGCGGTGGCTCACGCCTGTAGTCCCAGCACTTTGGGAGGCTGAGGTGGGCGGATCACGAGGTCAAGGGATCTAGCCATCCTGGTCAACATAGTGAAACTCTATCTCTACTAAAAAATACAAAAGTTAGCTGGGTGTGGTGGTACATGCGCCTGTAGTCCCAGCTACTCGGGAGGCTGAGGCAGGAGAATCGATTGAACCCGGGAGGTGGAGGTTGCAGTGAGCTCAGATCATGCCACCACACTCCAGCCTGGCGACAGAGCGAGACTCCGTCTCAAAAAAAAAAAAAAAAGAAAGAGTAATAAAAACAGGATATTTGCCTAATTTTTGGCAAATCAATGGGTGACCACAGTCCCACTGGTGGTGGGCTAAATCAAGGAATAAATATTTCCAAAGTGAAAATTTTAAGGAGCACTGGCTACTACCATGTGGTTAAAAATCAACAAATATGACAGGTGGGTGCTTTCGTACCACATTGTTTATTGTTGTGCATACGTCACACATTTTTATTTTATAATAATTTTTATTTATCCACTCTTTTATTTTCCAACGTCTTTATTCCAGTTCAGTGTTCAGGTGGTCAGAGCCTATCCTAAGCAGCTAAGGTTACAAGGTAGAAACCAACCCTGGACAGGACGCCATTCCATCCCAGGGTGTACTCACACACACACACCCACACTCACTGAGACTGGGACTGTTTAGACACCCTGTTCACCTATCAGGCACTTACTTCGGGGTGTGGGAGGAAACTGGAGACCTGGAAGAAACCCATGAAGGAATAAGGAGAACATACGAAGTCTTCATGGACAGTGGCCTCAGCTGGAAGTAATTTATTTTTTCTCATTAATGTTGTAACAGCATGATATTGAATGAAACAGCATTTTTTGAGGACCTGCTGTACCTTGTGGAATAGCTAGATGAAACTAATTAACATATGTATTACTTATAAGTTTTTGTGGTGAGAACACATAAACCTTGCATCACTTTCTAATGTCCCAGAAGATGTTCATGTAGGTGAAAAATCTGTTTATAATTATCTGAGCCTCAAACCAAATTTGTTTAACATAAACATACAGTATTTTTTTTGTTGTTGTTGTTTTTCTGAGGTAAGGTCTCACTCTGACCCCCCAGGCTGGAGTGCAGTGGCATGGTCTTGGCTCACTGCAACCTCTGCCTCCTGGGTTCAAGTGATTCTTGTGTCTCAGCCACCTGAGTAGCTGGGATTACAGGCATGCAAGCCCAGCTAATTTTTTTTTTGTAGAAACGGGGTTTTGCCATGTTGGCCAGACTGGTCTTGAACTCCTGGACTCTACCGATCCGCCCGCCTCCGCTTCCCAGGTGCTGGGATTACAGGCGTGAGCTACCGCGCCTGGTCAACACAGAGTATTTTTTGCCTGAAGCATAGTTAATGTGTAAATCAAGGGACTGTGCTTTCTTTAGTTCAGAAAGATTATTGAGTTGGTCACTATTTTGGGAAATTATATTGCAGACAGCAATGCTGTTTGTGTTTGTTTTGAGACAGAGTCTCACTCTGTCACCCAGGCTGGAGTACAGTGGCATGATCTTGGCTCACTGCAACCTCTGCCTCCCAGGTTCAAGCAATTCTCGTGCGTAAGCTTCCTGAGTATGTGGGACTACGGGCACGCATCACCACGCCTGGCTAATTTTTGTGTTTAGTAGAGATGGTATTTCACTATGTTGGCCAGGCTGGTCTTGAACTGCCTCAGCCTCCCAAAGTACTGGGATTACAGGCGTGAGCCGCCATGCCTATCCTATTCATGGTATTTTTTATCAACAATATCACATGCCTGTCTATATTAGTCTGATTTTGTAGTAGTCATATTTATAGTTTTATTCTTCTAATATAGTCATGTCTGAGCATTTATATGTTGATATACATGTTACTTTATAACTCACTTTCCTTTAATTTTTCATTTTTATTATAGTTAGCACATTAATTGATATTTGAAGTTTTACATGTGTAAGTAAGTTACAGTAGCTCTGCATTTTATTTCAGGAAGGATAAGAAGGTTATTACAAAATATTTACAACAAAAGGGGGTACAAAATATCTTTAAAGAAAAAATTGTATGGTGACAATTGGGGAAGCTGGCTGATCAGAACACTGGGGATTGTTATAATAAGCCTTCTATTTTTATGTATGAATGAAAATTTCCACAATGATATGTTTTAGGAAAAAAGTTGGGTCTGATGTGATTGAGAATTGCTGCTCTACAGTGTGCCTCAGAAATAGCCACAATTGGGATAAGTGTTATAAAGAAGAGATAGGGTTTCAGAAGAGCAGTGCACAGTGAGGGGTATGACCTAGTCTGGGAGATGAGGGAGTGCTTTCCTAGGCAACTGACATTTGGACTGAGATTTGAAGGATGAGTAATTAACTAGATGAAAAGGAGTAAGAGCTTTCCAGGGAGAGGGACCAGCATATGAAAAAGCCCTAAGGTGGGAGGAGTGTGGTAGGTGGGAAGAACTGAAAATGTCATTTTGTCTGATCACAGAGATCAACAAGAAAGTAGCTCAAACCTATGTAATACACATTAGCAAGGGTTGTGTCAAGCGGGCCTTGTAAGACCTTTTAAATATTTTGATTTATATCTTACATAATTAGATGCCTTTGAAGGGCTTTTAATAGTGAGGGACAAAGGCATAAAACATAAGCATGCATGAGAATAGTTTTTTCAGTGTATGGTTGAGCAAACCATGTATGTGTATGTTTAGATGGAGGCACCGTAAAATTGAGGTAGGCTGGAATGCCGAGCCACCTCATGAACAGCTGCTATTCAGGAGTCACCCAGGTCCCAGCAGACTTTGTCACTAAACCTAGGGCCTCCTACTCCATCGCATGATGGAGGATATGTCTTCTTTGATCAGTCTGTCCCGCTTGAGCATTGCTTGGAGCCATTCGAAGAGGCTGGTGGCTCTCAAAAGTGCAAACATGAGAGTCCTGTTCTGGTCATAGGCTGAGTAAGCTCCTCCTGGCCAATGCCCCCACAGATAACAACTATTATTACATCTGGATGGAAATACATAAAACCAGTAAAATCTACTGGAGAGTTACAAAAAAACCAGGCAGATTCTAGCGGGGAGTTAACACAAGAATGGGACTACTTGGAGTAATTTCCCATTTTCATGGCTTCTAACTTTAGGGCAGGCCCTGATCTATGTCATGTAGGGTGCTTAAAATTCCAATAGTAAACTTTAGTCTTTGTGGCCTGAAGAACCAGAAGATAAAGCTCAAGCAACTACAGCTGTTGGGAAGTGAGAGGAGAATCCTGGAAAGCAGAGAGAGAGGAGAAGCATCAGACTCTGTGAATAAACTCTGCCCAAACCTTGGCAGACTGCTGAATTATGCATATGTGGAGCAGACTCCAAAGAAGCCCAGCTGAGGATGAAATAACTGAGGATTTTGCCGGGCGCGGTGGCTCACGCCTGTAATCCTAGCACTTTGGGAGGTCGAGGTGGGTGGATCACAAGGTCAGGAGTTCAGGACCAGCCTGGCCAATATGGTGAAACCCCGTCTCTACTAAAAATACAAAAAAATTAGCCAGGTGTGGTGGCACATGCCTGTAATCCCAGCTACTCAGGAGGCTGAGGCAGGAGAATTGCTTGAACCCGGGAGGAGGAGCTTGCAGTGAGCTGAGATCGTGCCACTGCACTCCAGCCTGGGTGACAGAGTGAGACTCCATCTCAAAAAAAAAAAAAAAAAAAAAAAACTGGAGATTTCATCTACTGCCTAAGAGACAGATTTGTAGTTTGAGTTAACCAAGTTAGATACTATGAAAACAAAAGTAAAAAAACAAAAGTCAATACTCTTTGGAGGAATATAAAGGACTCCAGAGTTGCTGTAATATAACATTCAAAATATCCAGGATATATTCCAAAACTACTCATATACAAAGAAACAGGAAAATGTAACCTATTCTCAAGCTAAATGACACTCTAGAGAGTGACCTTAAAATGCTTAAACGTTGGGATTAGCAGGAAATGATTTTAAACTTTTATAACTATGCATTAGTAAAGGAAATAAAAATGATATAAAGGAAAATGTATTCATAAAGAATGAGTGTGAAACTAAGATAACTAAATAGACATTCTAGAACTGAAAAATATGATATCTGAAATAAAAATTTAAACTGGATGGGGCTTAATGGAAGAATGGAGATGACAGAGGAAAGCATCCTTGAAATTAAAGTTGAAGGAAGAGTGGGAGGGAAAAAGAAATACATCCTCAGTGACCTGGGATCAATATTTTAAAAACCTAGCACATTTAATTGAAATCTGGGAGGGAGAAGAAAAACAATGAGGAAGAAAAATATATTTAAAAATTTAATGGCTGAAAATTTCCCAAATTTGGTGGGTGCCTTATAGTTAAACTATTGACAGACAAAAGGAAAAATCTAGAAAACAGCAAAGAAAACAACACATTAGATACAGGGAGAGAATTCTGTTTACCACTGACGAATCATCAGAAACAGTGGAGGTCAGAAGCGAATAGAGAATCTTTAAAATGCTGAAGGAAAAAACATGTCAGCCCAGAATTTCAGATTCAGCAGAATAGCCTTCAAGAAAGAATATGGGACCGGGTGTAGTGGCTCACTCCTGTAATCCCAACACTTTGGGAGGTTGATGCGGGTGATGACCAGAGGTCAGGAGTTTGAGACCAGCCTGGCCAACATGGTGAAACCCCATCTCTACTAAAAATAAAAAAAATTAGCCAGGCATGATTAGCTGGTGCCTGTAATCCCAGGTACTTGGGAGGCTGAAGCGGGAGAATCGCTTGAACCCAGGAGGTGGAGGTTACAGTGAGCTGAGGTGGCAACACTGCACTCCAGCCTGGGTGACAGAGCAAGACTCTGTCTCAAAAAAAAAAAAAAAAAACAACAAAAAAAAAAACAGAAAGAATATGAAATAAAGACATTGTCAGATAATTCATTGCTAGTAGATCTGCACTATAAGAAATGCTAAAAGAAGTTCTTCAGGCTGTAGGGAAATGATACCAGATGGAAAGTTGAATCTTCAGAAAACAATGAAGGTTAGAACTTGTAAATATCTGGGTAGATATTTTAAAACTTTCTTTTTCATTTCTTAAAAAAAATTACTATAGCACAAAAAAGCATCATCTTGGGGGTTCATTTCTTATGGTAGATATAAAACATATCCCATAAAGCATGGGATGATGGGTGAGGGTAAATGGGCCTATATGGTTGCAGGGTTTTTACATATTACCTGTAGTGGTACTTTTTTTATTTTGAGACAGAGTTTCATTCTTGTCATTCAGGCTGGAGTGCAGTGGCGCTATCTCTGTTCACTGCAACCTCTGCCTCCTGGGTTCAAGTGATTCTCCTGCCTTAGCCTCCCAAGTAGCTGGGAGTACAGGTGCCTGCCACCACGCCCAGCTAATTTTTGTATTTTCAGTAGAGACATGGTTTCACCTTGTTGGCCAGGCTGGTCTCAAACTCCTGACCTCAGGTGATCCTCCTGCCTTGGCCTCCCAAAGTGCTAGGATTTCAGGCGTGAGCCACCAAGCCCGGCCAGTGGTACTTTTTAACACAGTAAAGAGTATAATGGTAAAGATATATGTTGGAATTCCTAAAAGCAACCACTGGGGGGAAAATATAATCATGCAAAGAAGTGTTGCTAAAAAAAAACTAGTAGAAAAATTAAAGTGAATAATCCAAACAAGACAGAAACAGGTATAACTGAACAAAAATAGAGGAGCTATAAATAATAAAATAGTAGATCTAATTCAACTATATTAATAACTTCATTGACTTTAATGAAATATACACTGATTTAATGCATAAAGACAAATGGCTAAAAGCAAATGCATGGAAAAAGATCATACAAAGTAGCATAAGAAGCCTAGAGTGGTTATATTTATATCAGATAAAATAGACTTCAATATAAAAAGTATCACCAGAGTTAAAGGGATCATATCATAACAATAAAAGGTCAGTTCATGAGAAAGATGTAACAGTTATAACTATGCTTGTGCCTGATATCAGCGCTTCAAAATACATGAAGCAAAAATGGATACAACTAAAGGAATAAATAGACAATTCACTGTCAGAGAGATTTGAACATTCTTCTTTCAGTGATAACAACAACAAAAATTAGTATAGATTTTGGGAGGCCGAGGTGGGAAGATTGCTTGAGCCCTGGAGTTCAAGACTAGCCTGGCCAACATGAAGAGACCCAATCTGTTCAAAATAAGACCATTAGCCCAGCGTGGTGGCATGTGCCCATGGTCCTAGCTACTTGGGAGGCTGATGTAGGAAAGATTGCTTGAACCTAGAAGGTTGAGGCTGCAGTGAGCCATGTTTGTGTCATGGCACTCCAGCCTGGGTGACAGAGTGGGACTGTGTCTTTATTTATTTTTATTTATTTATTTATTGAGACGGAGTTTTGCCCTTTTGCTGAGGCTGGAATGAAGTGGCGCTATCTCAGCTCACTGCAACCTCTACTCCCCGGGTTCAAGCGATTCTCCTGCCTCAGCCTCCCGAGTAGCTGGGATTATAGGCTCCTGCCACCACACCAGGCTAATTTTTATATTATTAGTAGAGATGGGGTTTTGCCATGTTGGCCATGCTGGTCTCAAACTCCTGACCTCTGGTGATCTGCCCGCCTTGGCCTCCCAAAGTGCTAGGATTACAGGCCTGAGCCATTGTGCCTGGCCGAGACCCTGTCTTTAAAAAAAACATCAATATAAATGATTTCCACACAACAACTGCAGAATATACTTTTTTTCCCCAAGTGTATATATAAACCAGATGCTGGGCTGTAATTCTCAGTATAGTTGAAAGGATTAAAATAATATAGTATGTGTTCTTTGACTGTAATAAAATTATTATTAATTTTTTTTTGAGACAGTTTCGATCTTGTAGGCTAGGCTGGAGTGCAGTGGCATGATCTCAGCTCACCGCAACCTCTGCCTCCTGGGTTCAAGCGATTCTCCTGCCTCAACCTCCCAAATAGCTGGGATTACAGGTGCCCACCACCATGCCCAGCTAATTTTTGTGTTTTTAGTAGAGACGGGGTTTCACCATGTTGGCCAGGCTGGTCTTGAACTCCTGACCTCAGGTGATCCACCCACCTCGGCCTCCCAAAGTACTGGGATTATAGACGTGAGTCGTAGCTCCTAGCCTCTTAATAAGATTAAATTAGAAACCAAGATGTGTAAAAGGCCACAAGTATTTGTAAATTCAGTGAATCTTCCAAATAATCTGTGAGTCAAAGAAGAAATCACAAGAGAAATTAGAAAGTACTTTGAACTGAATGATAATGAAAATACGACATCAAAATTTGTGGGATAACTGTCATGGCCAAGGGGAGCCAAAGGAGAAATGATGACTAAATGTAATGTGGTATCCTCTGTGACATGCTGGAAGAGAAAAAAGGTAGGAGGTAAAGAATGAGGACATCTGGGCTGGGCATGGTGGCTCACACCTGTAATCCCAGCACTTTCAGAGGCCAAGGAGGGCAGATAGCCTGAGGTCAGGAGTTCCAGACCAGCCTGGCCAACATGGTGAAACCCCGTCTCTACTAAAAACACAAAAGTTAGCTGGGCGTGGTGGCAGGTGCCTGTAAAGCTACTCGGGAGGCTGAGGCAGGAGAATTGCTTGAACCTGGGAGGCGGAGGTTGCCGTGAGCTGAGATCATGCCACTGCACTCCTGCCTGGGAGACAGAGCAAGACTGTGTCTCAAAAAAAAAAAAAAAAAAAAAGAAAAAGAGGACATCTGAATAAAATATGGCTTCCATAATAACAGTGTATCAGGCTGGGCACAGTGGCTCATGCCTGTAATCCCAACACTTTGGGAGGCCGAGGCAGGTGGATCACAAGGTCAGGAGTTTGAGACCAACCTGGCCAATATGGTGAAACTCCATCTCTACTAAAAATACAAAAATTAGCGGGGCATGGTGGCGGGTGCCTGTAGTCCCAGCTACTTGGGAGGCTGTGGCAGGAGAATTCCTTGAACCCAGGAGGCAGAGGTTGCAGTGAGCCAAGATTGTGCCATTGCATTCCAGCCTGGACAACAGAGTGAGACTCTGTCTCAAAAAATAAAATAAATAACAATGTATCAATATTGGTTTGTTAATTGTGACAAATGTAACATTCTGATGTAAGATTTTTGTCTTTTTTTTTGAGACGTAGTTTCAGGTGGAGGTTACAGAGGTTGCAGTGAGCTGAGATAGCACCACTGCACTCCAGCCTGGGCAACAGAGTGAGACTCTGTCTCAAATAAATAAATAAATAAATAACAGTGTATCAATATTGGTTTGTTAATTGTGACAAATGTAACACACTAATGTAAGTTTTTTTTGTTTGTTTTTTTTTGTTTTTTTTGAGGCTGAGTTTCACTCTTGTTGCTCAGGCTGGAGTGCAGTGGCCCGATTTTGGCTTACTGCAACCTCCACCTCTCAGGTTCAAGTGACTCTCCTGCCTCAGCCTCCCGAGTAGCTGGGATTACAGGTGCTTGCCATCAAGCCCAGCTAATTTTTTTCTTTTTAGTAGAGATGGGGTTTCACCATGTTGGTCACGCTGGTCTTGGAACTCCTGACCTCAGGTGATCCACCTGCCTCAGCCTCCCAAAGTGTTGGGATTACAGGCATGAGCCACCACACCTGAGCAACCTGGATAATTTTTAATTTTTTTGTGGATACACGAATTTTGCTGTGTTGATCAGCCTAGTCTTGAATTCCTGGCTTCAAGCCATCCTCCCAAAGTGCTGGGATTACAGACGTGAGCTACTGACGTGGCCAAATGAAAGATGTTAATATGGGAAACTAGAGGTGGGGTATATGGAAACTATACTATCTCTATCTTTGCCACTTTTCTATAAATCTAAAACAATTCTAAAATAAAATGTTTATTAAAAAGTACTAAAAAATGTGGGATGCCAGTGAAGCAGTGCTTACAGAGAAGTTTATGGGTTTAAATATATTTATTGGAAAAGAAAAAAGGCCTAAAGACTTGACCTCAAGTTCTACCTTAAGAAGCTAGTAAATGAAGAACAAAATAAACCCAATGTATGTTAAATGAAAGGTAATAAAGACAGCAGTAGAAATTAAGAAATAGAAAAAGAAAATAGACAAAACTGGTCTTTGAAAAGATTAATAATATTAACAAACCCATAGATAGACTGATAAAGAAAAATACAGTTGACCTTTGAACAGCTCAAGGGTTGGGGGCACCGATACCCTGTGAAGTCAGTAATCCATCTATAGCTTTTGACTCCCCCAAAAACTTAACTACTAATAGTTTATTGTTGACTAGCAGCCTTACTGATAACATGAGTTAATTAACACATATTTTGCATGTTATATATGTTGTATACTGTATCCTTAAAGTAAGCTAGAGAAAAGATATTATTATTAAGGAAATCTTAAGGAAGAGAAAGTATACAGTTGACCCTTGAACCGCACAGGTTTGCGGTTCGCAGGTCCACTTATACACAGATTTTTCTCTGCCTCTGCTACCCCTGAGACAGCAAGACCAACCCCTCCGCTGCTTCCTCCTCGGTGTACTCAGTGTGAAGACTGAGGATGAAGACCTTTATGATGATCCACTTTATGAATATATATATATATACAAAATGGATAAAGATTACTAAATGTACTGTTAACAATGAGATGAAGCTGGGCATGGTGGCTCACACCTGTAATCCCAGCACTTTGGGAGGCCGAGGCTGGTGGATCACCTGAGGTCAGTTCTTGATCAGCTGGCCAACATGGTGAAAACCAGTGTAAGGTGACTAAAGTGAGGATGGCAGTAGGTTTGGATTCCTTATTTACTTACTTCTAGTTTGTCACTTCTCAGTCACCTTGGTTGAGATCACAGAGTTGGATGGTTTGTATTTCCTTGGCTTCTAGTCTTTGTCAGGGCCTTTAAAAAGAGCAGTGGTTCCCATCTAGAAGACTGGGCTAATTACAGTATTTCAGAAAGCTTAATGGAATTTATGTATTTACCCAATTTAAGAATATATAAACTAAAGTTACTTTGCCTGGAATCATGTCACCTCAGGGTTTAAATACTAAATCTTCCTTATCGATTGAATACTTTGCTGGCAGTTATATTTTGATTTTTTAAGAAAATGAAAATGAGTATTCTTAATACATGCAGATTAGAAATGAGCTTGTGAAAGGAAAAAATAACTAAAAAGAGGGAGACTTTGGTTAAAAGGTTGATATAGAGTATTTCTATTATATTGTATGGCTTTATTTTTTTTATCCATTTGCTAGGGGTTGATGTTGTTGGCTTTGTCAAATAAAAGCACAGTTTGTATTTTAGTGCTTGGTTTTCAACCAAGTAAATATATAAAAACTCCACAGTAACTGCTATAATTTCTACCAGAGAGTCACACTCTTTTACTGACTTTATTGCTTCTAAGTTTCTTGTTCCTGTTTTGCTTTGGTGGTTAATAATTGGAAGCACAATTTAAAACATTTCTGGACGTATCTTTACCAATTTCTCCAACCCTTAGAATAGTGCTTAGTGCTCAATAAATGTTTGTTGAATGAAGTAACAAAATAACGCATGTAAGTAGTAATTAAAGTTGAAGTAGATGTTACATTATAAAGCAGTTAGAAGTAGTATGCTACAGCACTTAACATTTCTGTTTGAGATTTAAGAGATTATTAGTAATATGGAAAGTATAAATAATACTGTACCTATCCACAAAGGTATATTTCTTTGTTTTGGTAGCTAATTGACATTCAGCTTTCTTAAATGTCCATATTTTTACCCGATAATCTTACTTTAGTGTTTTGAATTTTATTTTTTATTTTTATTTTTTGAGACAGAGTCTCGCTGTGTCGCCCAGGCTAGAGTGCAGGGGCGTCATCTCGGCTCACTGCAACCTCTGCCTCCTGGGTTCAAGCGATTCTCCTGCCTCAGCCTCCCGAGTAGCTGGGATTACAGGCACGTGCCACCATACCCAGCTAATTTTTGTATTTTTAATAGAGACATGTTGGCCAGGCTGGTCTTGAACTCCTGACCTCAAGTTATCCACCCACCTCGGCCTCCCAAAGTGCTGGGATTATAGGCATGAGCCACCATGCCTGGCCTGAACTTTATTATTGAATAAAATTATTTAGGCATTCAGTAATATTATGAAGTGGGTTGCATGGCAAGAAAACTGCCGAGTAATCACAGGAGTGGAGAACCTTAGGCCTCTTTCATTGGTCCTTCTGCCATATTATCTAGGAGTTACAGATTAAACTGTGGTAGTTTGTAACCTCATTATGTCACAGTTTTAAAATCTCCTAAGGAATGTACCCCAAATGAGGAAGCAGATCTATTAGAGCCTGATGTTTTCTGTAGAAGAAGGAACAATGCTGCTTGGGGAGTAGATTTAAAATTTCATATAGAGCATCTCTAGCAGGGACTTGAGGAAAGTGTGCTAGTGCCAGAGGATTATGAAAGAGTAAACCATTGTTGAGTCTTAATCTAAACCCCTGGTATTTTCTTTCTTTCTTTCTTTCTTTTTATAGAGAGCCTTACTCTTACCCAGGGTGGAAGTACAGTGGCACAATCATAGCTCATTATAACCTCAAACTCCTGGGCTCAAGGAATCCTCCTTGCTGTGCCTCCCAAGTAGCTGGGATTACAGGCATGAGCCATAGTACCCAGCTAATTCTTTCATTTTTTGTAGAGACACTATGTTGCCCAGACTGGTGTTGAACTCCTGTCCTCAAGTGATCCTATCACCTCAGCCTCCCAAGGTGCTGTGATTACAGCTGTGAGCCACTGTGCCTGGCCTCAAACCCTGCTATTTACTCAGCTCAGTTACTAAACTCACATTTAGTAACCCAAGATGGATAGTTCCATTTGGAATAATCAACAAATACTTTTGAATTCCTTATGATATGTCATACACTGTTCTAAGTGCTAGACCGAACTATACTAGTGAACAAAATATGCAAAGTCCTTTTTCTCACGGAATTTAAATTTTAATTGGCAGAGACAGAGAATAACAAATACATACTATGTCAGGTAGTAAAAGATAATGTTCCAGATGTCACTTGTTCATAAACTATTCCAAAATTTCCTGGCTTAAAACAACTCTTGTATTGTGTCTCACAATTCTCTGGGTTGAAGAGGGCTTATCTGGATGGTGTATGTATTGGTCTCACTTGGGGGTCTCTCATTGGTGGCTGGACCTGGAGCCCCCAAGATGGCTCACGCTTCTGGCTGTCAGTTGGTCCTGCTTGTTGTTTGGGTACTCAGTGGGGGCCTCAGTTCTTTTTTTACCTGGCCTTTCCCTGTGGCTTTGGCTTCTCACAGCACGGTGGCTGGCTTTCAAGAGGGAGTGTAACAAGTGGGCAGAGGCAGAAGGTACAGATTTCTGAAAGCCCAGCCTCTTAAGTTATACAGCATCACTTCTGCCACATTTTATTGATCAAAATAGTTCACAGGGAGGGGAAACAGACTCCATCCACCTTTTCATGGATGGTGGCAAGATCACATTGCAAAAGAGCACATGGGGTAGCAGATATTGTTGAGGCCTTCTATGGAAACATGATCTACCACAGTGCTATAAAAAATTAAGCAGGTTAATAGGGGAATAGAGAAACTGGAACTATGTGGAGAGGTGGGGTGTCAGAAAGTGCAATATTATGTAGAGGGTTAGGCAGGGCCTCTCCCATAAGGCAATATTTTAGATACCTGATGGAAATGAATGAGCCACGGGAACCATAAGGACTTTTTAAGGAAGAATATTCCAGGCAGAGAACAGAAAATGTAGAGGTGCAAAGGTGGGAGGATCTGTGATGTGAACAAAGAATAGCAACGAGGGGAATGCAAGTGCACCAGAATGATAGAGGAAGAACGGGAGGGCATGCGAATGATTCGGAGAGGAAGAGAGAAACAGATATTGTAGCCATGGCAAAGACTAGGTTTTCTGTGAGTGAGATGGACGCCATTGGGAAATTCTGAGCAGAGGAATTACATACAGGTTGAGTTCCTTTATCCGAAATGCTTGGGACCAAAAGTGTTGTGGAGTTCAGATTTTTTCGGATCTTGGAATATTTGCGTACTTACTGGCTGAACATCCCAAATCGGAACATTCCAAATCTAAACTGCTCCAGCGGGCATTTCCTTTGAGCATCATGTTGACACCCAAAAAGTTTCCGGTTTTGGATCATTTCAGATTTCAGATTTCAGATTTTTAGATTTGGAATTTTCAACCTGTATATGTTCTAACTTAAACTTGTTTTTTTTTTTTTTTTCAAAGTTGGAGTCTTGCTCTGTCGCCCAGGCTGGAGTGCCGTGGTGCAATCTCAGCTCACTGCAACCTCCGCTCTTGGGTTCAAGCAATTCTGCCTTAGCCTCCTGAGTAGCTGGTATTACAGGCACCTGCCACCACACCCAGCTAATTTATGTATTTTGAGTAGAGACGGGGTTTCACCATGTTGGCCAGGCTGGTCTCTAACTCCTGACCTCGTGATCTGCCCGCGTCGGCCTCCCAAAATGCTGGGATTACAGGCGTGAGCCCCTGCACCTGTCCATTCTGAATTAAACTTTAAAAGAATCTTATTCTAAGAATCTTTGGCTACTCTCAAAACACTGTTTTGAGAATCAGCTGTGAGAGGACAAGAGCAGAAGGAAGGAGTCGTTTCAGTAGTAGGGTAATGCCGTGTGGGATGAGAGATGTGCTGGGTGGTGAGAAGTGTTGGAATTTGGCTATATAGCAAGGTAGGTCTGACAATTTCCTAATGAGGGTGGATATGGGGTGAAAAAGAAGGATCAAGGATGGCTCCCAAAATGTTTACCCTATGCACCTGGAAACGGAAAGATCTGGGGGAGGAGCAAGGTGGAGGTGAGGAAGATAAGACTTGTAATTTTGGTTATGTGAAGATGAATGTAAGAAGGTACTGAGGAGAAAAGGTTACTAAATGTTACTTCCTCATTGCAGCTGTGACGTTGAGTGCTTCAGATCTGGTCACTATGGTACGAGAACGAAAATGCATATTATGCCACATCGTGTACAGCTCAAAAAAGGTAATAATGGAAGAGGGAGAATCTGAGGCTTTATGACTATTTTTTAAAGAGACATGTTATTAATAGATGTTATTAATATTAATAGACATATGTTATTAATAGGAAAAGCTTTGACAATGTCTTATTTATGCTTCTTTTCTTTCCTAAACCATAGTCTCATTCCACTGGTTTCTTTCTCGTTACTGCCTCCTAAAGCCAGTACCTGTATTATTAAACTTCTGTCCATCCAGAATTTGAGCGTATTCAAAACTAGATGACACAGAAATTTAGTAACCAGTTATAGGGAAGATACCTTAAAATTCCAAGGTTATTTGAAGTCATACTGCTTTCTGTAATTTTAAAATCATGTACTTTTTGATTAGCTAAGGATATAGCATCTATTATATGTACCTACAATCTGTTTATGCCTATGCTTGTGAAAAATGCAGCACAGCAGAAATGGTATTAACAATATCCTAGATGTCCACAAGGTGGGGATGTTGCTCAAAGTAAAACTTTTTTTTTGAAATGGAGACTTAACTGTGTTGCCTATGCTGGAGTGCAGTGGCGCAATCTCAGCTCACTGCAACCTCTGCCTCCCCAGTTCAAGTGAGTCTCCTGCCTCAGCCTCCCAAGTAACTGGGATTACAGGCATGTGCTGCTGGGTATGGCTGATTTTTGTATTTTTAGTAGAGACAGGGTTTCACCATGTTGCACAGGCTGGTCTTGAACTCCTGACCACAGGTTTTTCACCTGCCTCGGGCCTGTCAAAGTGCTAGGATTACAGGCATGAGCCACTGTGCCCGGCCAAAACATCTTTTTAGGACCTAAAATTGGCTGCAATTTGTGTCACTTTTTGCCTTTACCTGCCTTTATCATTTGCTTTCAGAGTAGTGCTGCTAGTTTAAATACTGAGGAATTTATTCTCTTTGCTTTTAAGATGCTCTTGATTGTTACTGGAAATGCAGAGAACTGGGAGGATCATGGGCTAGGTTAGCCAGGGAAGTGTGAGTGGAAGTGGTAAACTTTGAAAAGTGTCTAGAGTAACGATGGTTTAAGAGAAACGAGGAAGAGATATTTTGGGTAGGAGAACAACATGTACAGAGACAAATGGAATGGAGTATGACAGTTCTAGGAGTTGGCAAGAAGGCTCATCTGATTAAAACAGTTTTGCCTTGGGAATAGCAGGACTGTAATTTGTAATTAAGTGAAGATAGTTGATAAACAGTGTTGGATGCCAGACTGAAGGGTCGATTATGATCCACCAAGTAGACTTGGGTGGATACTATTTTTTTTTCTATCTAGATTTCTGTTAGTGATGGAAAAATTAGTGAGATTTAAAAATCATGTTTAATAATATACCTGCTACTGTTTACAAAAATAGAAGAATGCTCTTCTAGTTTTAAAAATTTGATGAAGGTTTATACAAATTGTCAATAAGTCAGAATTCCTTATGACTACTTTCACGTTGGACAGAGGTAGGGAGAAGATGTGAGATGGAAAGGCTGCTGTTCAGAGATGTGATATCAGAGTTTCATAGAATAGCAGCCCTATCTTGTGATACCATGATTTTGTGATTTTGCCATTTTAAATCTTTCTGGCTCTGCTACTCTGGTTTCAAACATACTTTTATCTCTTCATACTTTTCCATGATCATAATGAAGTTAAATGAAGGGCTGGAATTATCTACTCCTGCCCTAGGAAAAGCTGATTGTAGTTTTTATTTATTTTCCTTTTTTTTAAAAAAAGGAAAAGCTGGTTGTAGTTTTTATTTTTATTTTTTGCCTTTTTATTTTTTTTTAAAGCAAGGGAATGGCCTGCTTTAAGTGAGTGGTATGACTTAAGAAAGTAACAAAATGGGTTAGTTGGAAGGGATAACTGATACTTATTTTCAGATAGGACTATGAACAATTGGTGTTGAAGCCATGCTTGTCTCCAATTTCCCAAACTAGTGTAACTCTGGTTTCTCCAAATAAACTATGGAGGAGAAAAGGTTCTAAGTGACTTGAGTATGGGGAAAAGCTGTGTAAGGTATCCCTGAGTATCCTGAGGCCCATTAACATAAAATACTGAGAAGCCCTGGAGTTAAATATATGTGTATAATAGAGATGGAGTCTTACTGTGTTGCCCAGCCGGTCTTGAACTCCTGGCCTCAAGTGTGAGCCACTACACCTGGTCATATTTTTTGTATTATTCAATGTTTTCCACATGTGTTTAACCATGAGTCCCCCCTCCCCTCCAACCAACCCAGCCTTTAAAAATATAATACTGATTAATATACAAGGCCTAAATAGAAGCCTAATACATGAGAAGGAATGCATTTGGGGCTATTACCTTAATCCTGTGCCTGTGGATCTTTTTTCTTTTCTTTCTTTCTTTTTTTTCTTTTTTTTTTTTTGTTGTTGTTTTGTTTCATTTTGAGACAGGGTCTTACCCTGCTGTCTAGGCTGGAGTGCAGTGGAGCCATCTCAGCTCACTGCAACCTCTGTGTCCCAGGCTCAGGTGATGCTCCCGTCTCAGCCTCCTGAGTAGCTGGGACTACAGGCATGTGCTATTTTTTAATTAAAAATTTTTTTTTGTAGGGATGATGTCTTATTAGGTTGCCCACACTGATCTTGAACTCCTAGGCTCAAGTGATCCTTCCACCTTGACCTCCCAAAGTACTGGGCGTAATTACAGGTGTGAGCCACCATGTCTGGCTGAATTTTTTCTAATGATTTTTGAAAGCTCAGTTGTCTCAATGTTTGTATTCATTCCTTGGAGCAGGATGGGAGAAGGTTTTGCATGTAAATTTAGGACAAGATTAGTGAAGTGTTTTAAAAAAAACAAAAGTCACATTAAAACTATTAGTGGGTGATAACATTTTTATAGTAAGAAGAATCAGTTTTTTTGTCAGACAAACCCATTTCAGTGAATGCTGTTTTGGTCAGGAATGGTTTTGTTGTAAGGAACAGAACTCACTTAAATTTAGCTCAAGTAAAGGGGATTAGGCATATTGGTAAGCATCTAAATCAAGGAGGAATTGAATAACAGGAAGCATTGAATAACAGGACTTGAGAAGTTTTTTTTTTTAGACGGCGTTTTGCTCTTGTCGCCCAGGCTGGAGTGCAATGGTGTGACCTCGGCTCACTGCAACCTCCACCTCCTGGGTTCAAGTGATCCTCCTGCTTCAGCCTCCTGAGTAGCTGGGATTACAGGCATGCGCCACCACGCCCAGCTAATTTGTATTTTTAGTAGAGACGGGGTTTCACCATGTTGGTCAGGCTGGTCTCGAACTCCTAACCTCAGGTGATCCACCCGCCTCCGTCTCCCAAAGTGCTGGGATTATAGGCGTGAGCCACCGTGCCCCACCGAAGATGTGTATATTAATCGATTTTTCATTCTATTCTGTCACTAACTTGTCTTAGTTTTCAGGTCCACAAGTGTTAATTTTAGTTAGCGGCCAGTCAGTTGTGGCTAGAAGAGGTCATGTGTAAAGCTACTCTCTCCTTATTTTTTTATTTTTTATTTTTTTTGAGACGGAGTCTTGCTCTGTCTCCAGGCTGGAGTGCAATGGCGCGATCTTGGCTCACTGCAACCTCCGCCTCCTGGGTTCAAGCGATTCTCCTGCCTCAGCCTTCTGAGTAGCTGGGATTACAGGCACGCGCTGCCATGCCTGGCTAATTTTTGTACTTTTAGTAGAGACGGGGTATCACCATGTTGGTCAGGCTGGTCTCGAACTCCTGACCTTTTGATCCGCCCACCTCAGCCTCCCAAAGTGCTGGGATTATAGGCGTGAGCCACCGCACCTGGCCTACTCTCTCCTTATGAAGCATCTGTAGAGCTAGGAAGGAAACGATGGTAATCTTCAGTAAAATTGCCATTTAAAAGAAGTGTTTTGGCTGGGCACAGTGGCTCATGCCTGTAATCCCAGAACTTTGGGAGGCTGAGGTGGGTGGATCACCTGAGGTCAGGAGTTTGAGACCAGCCTGGCCAACATGGTGAAACCCCATCTCTACTAAAAATACAAAAAATTAGCTGGGCATAGTGGCGCATGCCTGTAATCGAGGCTACTCAGGAGGCTGAGGCAGGAGAAACTCTTGAAACCCTGGAGGCAGAGGTTGTCGTGAGCCGAGATCGAGCCGCTGCTCTCCAGGCTGGGCGATAGAGCGAGACTCCGTCTCAAAAAAAAAAAAAAAAAAAAAAAAAGGCGTTTTGAATCACAACCCTGTTTATCACACTATAGTAGATAACTTTAAGTAACAGTGGGTTGTGTTGTATTGTTTTTGACAAATGAACTGTATATAATGAAAAATTTCAATGCACCAAATGCTTACAGTGTGACATGGTGTTTGAAGCATTAGCTTTGGTGTCAGATCTGCCTGGGTTTGAATCCCACTTTGACCACTTGATTATTTGTCACTCCGAGAGGGCAAGACTAAATATTTTGTTTGTTTGTTTGTTTTTTGAGACAGAGTCTCACTCTTGTTGCCCAGGCTGGAGTGCAGTGGCGTGATACCAGCTCACTGCAACCTCCGCCTTCCCAGGTTCAAGCGATTCTCCTGCCTTAGCCTCCCAAGTAGCTGGGATTACAGGCGTTCACCACCAGCCCAGTTAGTGGTTTGGTTTTTTTTTTTGGATTTTGTATTTTTAGTAGAGATGGGGTTTCACCATGTTAGCTAGGCTGGTCTCAAACTCGACCACATGATCCACCTGCCTCAGCCTCCCAAAGTGCTGGGATTACAGGCATGAGCCACTGTGCCCGGCCAAGACTGAATATTTTCACGCTTAACCTTCAATGCCTAGCTCTATTCTTGGCATATAATAAGAATTTGATAAATATTTGGTGAATGAATGAGGTAACTTCTCTGCATTCTTCAGCATGAAGTTAATCATACTCCCTCGGCAGTATTTTGCAGTTCAAGTGAGAAAATGTTTGAGGGACTTCACACGGAATGCAGTAAATAGCAATAACACAACAAGTGTAGTAGCCCTTTATTATTATATATGTGAACAGCCATTCTTTAATTATGGCATACTGGCTGTGTATACTGTAGAGTGACAAAGGGATAGACATTTATAGCTTTTTGAGTTTTGTGTATGTGTATGTGTACATGTGTGCATGTTTTTTCTTTTTTCTTTTTTTGAGACGGAGTCTCGTTCTGTCGCCAGGCTGGAGTACAGTCGCACAATCTCGGCTCACTGTAGCCTCTGCCTCCCGGGTTCAAGCGATTCTCCTGCCTCAGCCTCCTGACTAGCTGGGACTATAGGCACGCACTGCCACGCCCAGCTAATTTTTGTATTTTTAGTAGAGACGGGGTTTCATCATGTTGGCCAGGATGGTCTCGATCTCCTGACTTCGTGATCTGCCCACCTCGGCCTCCCAAAGTGCTGGGATTACAGGTGTGACCCACCACGCCCAGCCGTGTGCATGTTTTTAAGTGGCAGCTTTCCCACATATTTTCTTCCCTCTAAGGATGGGAAGAAGGGAACCTACTATAAATGTTCAAACTTTTCATTGGAACCAAACAAATCCACTGGGGAAGTGAGGGAGTGGACAGTGAAGATAAAGGATTGATTAAGCTGCTATGTTCAAAGTATTTTTTTAAAACTTTCTTATCTAGCATAGAGAGGCTCTGTTATGTTTGTAACTCCTATCTAGAATTGATGTATCCATCTATATTCATTCAACAAATGCTTATTGATGACTATATGCTAGGCCCTGTCCAAGACATGGGTAAAGTAAGAGTTGTAGCTTACTCTTGAGAAACTGTGGATAAAAGAAGCCAAATAGTTGAAAAGTTGAGTGATTTGAAAGGTTTTTTTTTTAAATGAACTTTAGTAAATTCTTTATAATGGGATAGAATTTAACTTACTTAGTTTACTCTTAAGTGTTTTGCTTCCTAAAGATAATACTTTCTAATCTTTTTGGAAAGCCACTTAAATATGTCTTTTTAAGAATTCTTTTTATTTAAACATGAAATATATTAAAAAACACAGTTAATTATTAAGGAACTGATTTCAGTATTAAATTGAGAATAACCAAAAACACATTTTGACATAAGGAGTTTGAGCCCCAATTTTTGATTGAGGAGGAACAGAGGAGTTTTTTTTTTTCAAAGCAATCCTGCTTAGTTTTAATCTACTTTCTTTTATTTTGAAGGAGATGGACGAACACATGCGGAGCATGTTGCATCACAGGGAACTTGAGAACCTCAAGGGCAGGTATGGGAACGGCTCTCTTCCATAAGTTTGTGAATGTGGGTGGATCTGAGTGATGATGGTGCCTGTCAGTTTGTTTTGCAGTAATCCGTCAAAAGCAAATGTTGTCTTATGGCGTAGAACAACCTTTTAGAATTAATACCAAGTGTAGTAGATTTTTGGCATTCAAAAGGGATAAACTCTGATACCTTTGGGCATCTCAAATGTGTGAATTCACAGCAGCCCTATCAAGTAGATTGCAACAAAGGTGAGTTGGGATGAGCTAACTCTCTCATTAGTAAGCTTTCTCATTCCTACGTGCTAGCCTTGCAACTAGGACATTTTGTATTTTTACTTCAGCAGTGTTACAAATTATTGCATGCCATAAACGTTTAGTATTGCTGGAATTGTCTGAGACATCCAAAGTCTGCTAAATAGCACTGAATCTCATTGGTATAAACAGAATTGAAATATAAACCTTAAATGTATTTAAGAATGCTGGCCAGGTGCAGTGGCTCACGCTTGTAATCCCAACACTTTGGGAGCCCAGGGTGGAAGGATTACTTGAGCCCAGGAGTTTGAGACCAGCCTGGGCAACGTAGAAAGACCTTGTCTCTACAAATAAAGAAATTAGGTGGGTGTGGCAGCTAATAGCCTGTGGTCCCAGCTATTTAGGAGGCTAAGGTTGGGAGGATCACTTGAGCTTAGGTAGGTCAGGGCTACAGTGAGCTGTGATTGTGCCACTGCCCTCCAGCCTGGGTGACACAGTGAGACCCTGTCTCAAAAAAAAAGAAGGATGCTATTCTGTGATTTGAAGCTTGAGATGTTTAAGGAAAGGAAATCTAATAAGTGGACACCTTTAAAAAATGAAATGTAGGCCAGGTGCAGTGGCTGATGCCTGTAATCCGAGCATTTTGGAAAACTGAGCCAGGCAGATTGCTTGAGCCCAGGAGTTCAAGACCAACCTGGACAATATGGGGAAACCCCATTGTATTAGTCTATTCTCACGCTGCTAATAAAGACATACCCAAGACTGGGTAATTTATAAAGAAGAGAGGTTTAATTGACTCAGAGTTCCACGTAGCTAGGGAGGCCTCACAATCATGGCAGAAGGTGAATGAGGAGCAGAGTTACATCTTACATGGCAGCAGGCAAGAGAGCTTGTGCAGGGGAATTCCCATTTATAAAACCATCAGATCTCCTGAGACTTATTCACTACCATGAGAACAGTATGGGGGAAACTGCCCCTATGATTCAGTTATCTCCACCTGGCCCTACCCTTGAGATGTGAGGATTATTGCAATTCAAGGTGAGATTTGGGTGGGGACACAGCCAAACCATATCACCTGTCTCTATCCCCTGCCCCACAAAAAACCCCCAAAATTAGCTGGGCATAGTGGTATGTGCCTGTAGTCCCAGCTACTCATCAGCCTGAGGTGGGAGGATGCTTGAGCCTGGGAGGTGGAGGTTGCAGTGAGCCAAGATCACACCACCACACTCCAGCCTGGTGACAGAGCCAGACCCTGTATCAAAAAAAAAAAAAAAAAAAAAAAAGTAGCATGTGTATATTCCATGTCTTTGGTCTATTTGTGATTTATTTTGATGTATTTGACTTCTGTCAATTTGAAGTTTGGAAACAAGATAGATGGAGGAACATTGGGAACCTAGGAAATAGGAATTATATCTTATCCCATGAATAATAGTTACAAGTTTGTGGTTTTTTGTTTTTTTTTTTTTGAGACGGAGTCTCACTCTGTTGCCCAGGTTAGAGTGCAGTGGTGCTATCTCAGCTCACTGCAACCTCCGCCTCCCGGGTTCAAGCGATTCTCCTGCTTCACCCTCCTGAGTAGCTGGGATTACAGGCGTGCGTCACCACATCCGGCTAATTTTAGTAATTTTAGTAGAGACGGGTTTTCACCATGTTGGTCAGACTGATCTTGAACTCCTGACCTTGTGATCTGCCCGCCTCGGCCTCCCAAAGTGCTGGGATTACAGGCGTGAGCCACCATGCCTAGCCAGTAGTTACAAGTTTTGATCAGGATGTCAACCTAGGTCATTTGAAATTTATTTTTTTGTGACCTACAGTTTAAAATTCTGTGGGCAAATTAATGTGTTATTAAACTTTCAGCATCTCTTTAGCCTATTAGTGGAATTTTTCCCTGCCCCCAGTCTCTTATTATGTGAAGGTTAGGTCTTAGCAGCAATATAAAGGAGACTGTCACTCACTCAATTTTAGTATGGGGAGCCCTTATTATTTTTAATATATACTTTTTTGAGACAGGGTCTCACTCACTCTGTCACCAGGCTGGGGTGCCGTGGCACGATCACAGCTGACTGCAACCTCGAACTCCTGGGCTCAAACAATCCTCCCACCTCAGCTTACTGTGTAGCTGGGACTACAGGCGTGTGCCACCACACCCTTTTGGCTTTTATTTTTGGCTTTTATTTTTTGTAAAGACAGGGTTCCTCTCTGTCTTTCATTTGGCCTTTATTTTTTGTAAAGACAGAGTTCCACTCTGTCTTTCATTTGGCCTTTATTATTTGTAAAGACAGGGTTCCACTCTGTTGCTCAGGGTGGTCTTGAATTCCTGGGCTCTAGCTGATCCTCCTACCTCTGCCTTCCAAAGTGGTGGGACTACAGGCATGAGCCACTCTGCATGGCCAGAAGCCCTTATCATAATACCTTGAATATATATGATCTCTATGTCATTAACATTCAGAATCTATGAAATGCAGTCAACTTTTGATTATGTGGAGTATTTTACTTAAAAATCCCATTTTCAACAGACTTCCTTCTAGAGTTCATTTTATTATGGGTGACTTACCTGCCACCCTACCCATATGCACTATATCATTAAACAAAACAAACAAGGTCAGTAAATCTAGTCTGTAGGAGAGAAGCCCATTGCATTCAAAGATTAATGCCTCATTTATTTCAGACGTCACTAATCATCCATTTAAAACATTTTTAAAAGTTTGGGCCGGCCGCGGTGCTCGTGCCTATAATCCCAGCACTTTGAGAGGCTAAGACAGGAGAATCACTTGAGCCCAGGAATTCAAGACCAACCTGGGCAACATAGTGGGACCCCTGTCTCTACAAAAAAAAAAACAAAAAACAAAACAAAAAAAAGCCAGGTGTGGTGGGTTGCACCTGTAGTCCAGCTACTAAGGAGGCTGAGGCAGGAGGATCCCTTGAGCCCAGGAGTTTGAGGCTGCAGTGAGCTATGATTGTGCCACTGCACTCCAGCCTGGGTGGCAGTGAGACCCTGTCAAAACAAAACCAAGTTTGGTCACATAAGACTCGTGTTTATAATCAATACAGAATCATAAAAAGTTGTTTAAAAAGTAAAAGTCTTCTCTCCACCCCCCTTTCCCCTCTAAATCCTATTTCTCTCTTAGAGGAGACTCAATGGTTGGTGCGTATCCTATCCAGACCTCTTTCTATGTATTTACGTACTTATTTATTTATTTATTTATTGAGACGGAGTTTCACACTCGTAGCCCAAGCTGGAGTGCAATGGTGTGATCTCGGCTCACTGCAACCTCTGCCTCCCTGGTTCAAGCGATTCTCCTGCCTGAGCCTCCCAAGTAGCTGGGATTACAGGCACGCGCAACCATGCCGGCTAATTTTTTCTCTTTTTAGTAGAAACTGGGTTTCGCCATGTTGACCAGGCTGGTCTCGAACTCCTGACCTCAGATGATCCACCTGCCTCGGCCTCCCAAAGTGCTGGGATTACAGGCGTGAGCCACCGCGCCTGGCCTATACATTTATATTTATAGATACACATTTTGTTTTGTGATGTTAACTTAATGAACCACATTGTCATTTATGTTTTGTTCTGTAATGTGTTCTTTTCCACCCATGCAACTACACTGTGCTATGGAGATTTTATCTACCATTTTAAATTATGTGGATCACAGTAAAATAATTAGGAAAAAGGCACTAAAAGCCTCCCTGAGCTGCCAATGGGAATGTCAGGTTTCGCACCCAAACTCATTTTCTTTAGAGGATAGCCTTTAGTACTTATTTACTCACATATTGGATATAGTGTTCCTGACCTGTAACAAATCATGTTACATATAAGAGAGAAGACAAACAGGTAGCAAGAAAAACCAGCTTACAAAATTATAGAAAACCCCATAAAATCTCAAAAATTGTTTACGGACTTGGAGCATTTACTGTAAGGACGGTCTTCACCAGCTTGTACCATAGGGACAAATAATTATCAGTCATTATTTCTTTACCCTGTTATCCTGAGTTTGTGATTATTTCCTCTGGATTTCATTTTTAACTACTGGGTTTCTGACACTGAGACTTTCTTTTTCTCTTTATAGTTGTGTCTACAGTTTTTGGTTGTGATCTGGTTAAGAATTGCAAAGTATGTGTTACTTAGGCTTTGCAGCAAGCTTGAATAAGCAATAAGTAACTGGTCTTACTTGGTTCATGGCTGTGGACATGTGAAACATTTCCCTATTTTTTCCTAATATACTTCTTCAGATGTGTGGGCCGTAAGTAACATCTCCAGATAGAGACTATTAAAAAGGCACAAACCTTTATTTATTCAGCAGCTGTTGTCGGGTAGTTAGAGCAAGCTTAATAAAGAAAAGCTTATGGAGAGAGTATCTTAAGACTTTGTGTTTCACACATGAGAGGAAATTGTGTGGTAACAGGATGAAGCTAATTTAGGCCCTCCTTTAAATGCCCTAAGGAAAATTATTGCCTTTGCTAGCCAAGGAGCAAAGCTGTACATTTCCCCCGTGATTATTTTATTTATTCACACAGTATAGTAAGTATTTTAACTGATTGTTAATAAATAATTATCAAGTAACCTCATTAAAATATTAACTTGCTATTAGGCTTTTAAAACATGGTTTCCCAAACACTATGTTGAAGCATGAATGCCTGTTGTGTAGAGAACAGAGGTAATAGAGGTAATATGCTTACTCCACACACACTTGAATTTTCAGAAGATGTGGCTACATAGAGAAAGAACAGGGTAGTATAACCACATCTCCTGAAAACGCAGATGTGTGTGGAGGTAACCATATTACCCCTACACACTTTTTGAAGTTTCTCTTTTTGAAGTTTCTTATAAAGTTTTTTTTTGAAGTTTCTTGCAAAGTTTCTATTTTAAACTGGATTTTATTTATAAGAAAAATGTTAGGGATTTGGTTTTTGAAAAATTATTTTTAGTGTTAATTTTTTTTTTTTTTTTGAGACGGAGTTTTGCTCTTGTTGCCCAGGCTAGAGTGCAATGGTGCAATCTCGGCTCACCGCAACCTCCACCTCCTGGGTTCAAGCGATTCTCCTGCCTCAACCTCCCAAGTAGTTGGGATTACAGGCATGCGCCACCACACCCGGCTAATTTTGTATTTTTAGTAGAAACGGGGTTTCTCCGTGTTGGTCAGGCTGGTCTTGAACTCCTGACCTCAGGTGATCTGCCTGCCTCGGCCTCCCAAAGTGCTGGGATTACAGGCGTGGGCACCTGGCTAGTGTTAACTTTTATACTGCACTTATTGCGTATGCCCTTCTGGGCAGGGTCTCTGATTTGTTCTCTGTCAAATAATTTTGGAACTATGGTTATATTCTTTCTCACTAGGATTGCAAAATGGTTTGAAAATGTTCCACTGTTAAGAATCCAACATATGTTTGTGCTTTGGGGGTTGCAGGGTGTGTGGGTTTACGATTATGGATGTTTATTTTTAACAGTTAAGTTCTGCCTACTTTATACGACATTCCTTAATATTTTGGAAAGTCAGTATTGCTTTCTAGTTGTGTCTTTTAAGAGCGAGGGGTTTTGATAGTTTGAGCATTAGACAGATTCTCTGCATTTTAGAAGTAAGGATAAAATCATGGATTTTATTTTAAAATACTTTTTAGGGATTATACTAAAGTCCCCAATAGAAAGATGTCTCTGGTACTGCAATATTCAGTTTAGCATTCTATGAGCTTTTAGGTAGAAAAGTAGGCTAAGATATTTTCCATAGTTTTAGAGAGTTTTAAGACAAAAATATTTTCTTTTTTTTTTTTTTTGAGGCCAAGTCTCACTCTGTCACCCAGGCTGGAGTGCAGTGGAGTGATCTTGGCTCACTGCAACCTCCACCTCCCAGGTTCAAGCGATTCTCCTGCCTCAGCCTCCTGAGTAGCTGGGATTACAGGCGTGTGCCACCATGCCTGGCTAATTTTTGTATTTTTTTTTAGTAGAGATGGGGTTTCACCGTATTGGCCAGCCTGGTCTCGAACTCCTGACCTCGTGATCCACCCACCTCGGCCTCCCAAAGTGCTGGGATTACAGGCTTGAACCACTGCGCCTGGCCAACAAAAAGATTTTCTAACTGGAAAATTGAGTTGATTGGAATGTTTATAGTGTAAATGAGATATTGTAGATTTGTTATAGTCCTCAGACTGTTCTGATGCTGCCCATTGTGATAGATTTATATAATTAACTTCTTTGTGTGTTGCTTTGAGAAACAGCTTGTTATTAACGTTCAGTTGGAATGAGCTACCATCAATTTAATTGCTTGAGAGAAAAGTATCGGTATCCCTGGTAAACTGGAGAAAGTTGAGGATTATTCTTTTTTCTTTTTTTCTTTTCTTTTTGAGACGGAGTCTCACTCTGTTGCCCAGGCTGGAGTGCAGTGGTGCGATCTCAGCTTACTACAACCTCTGCCTCCTGGGTTCAAGCGATTCTCCTGCCTCAGCCTCTTGAGTAGCTGGGATTACAGGTGCCCGCCACCATGCCCGTCTAATTTTTGTATTTTTAGTAGAGACGGGGTTTTACCAGTTTGGCCCGGGTGGTCTCAAACTCCTGACCTCAGGTGATCCATCCGCCTCGGCCTCCCAAAGTGCTGGAATTACAGGTGTGAGCCACCACGCCTGGCCGAAGATTATTCTTTAAGTGTATAAATGTAGTAAGTGCAGTTGAAAACCCTCAGTAAAAATAATGTATTTAAGTACCTGTGGAATTAGAATATTGATATTCTGGGTAATCAGGTATTGATATTTTTAGGAAACCTGGTCAGAGCACATTAAAATGAATCTTAAAAATGTCAGTATTTGAGGTTACAAAGTCAAAAAAGAGTGAAAACTTGCAAATTTTCTCAGTTTTTCTGAGCTCTTCTCCATGATCCTTACAAAATAAGGAACAGTGTTGTTTTTTTAAACTTACTGGGCATTGTTTGAGTGTTTAAACTTTGTCACCCTAAACAAGAGTGTCTATGCTAAGTATTTACTAGAAGACAGTTTCTGTTACAGGTCACCTGAATATTCATTTAAAAAAAAAAAGAAAACACCTTACCAAAAAACAGCACACCTAGAATTTAGCTGTTTTTTGGTAAGGTGTTGTTTTTTTTTTTCTTTTGTTTTTTTGAGATGGAGTCTGGCTCTATCACCCAGGCTGGAGTGCAGTGGTGTAATCTCGGCTCATTGCAACCTTTGCCTCCTGGGTTCAAGCGATTCTCCTGCCTCAGCCTCCCGAATAGCTGGGAATACAGGTGCACACCACCACACCAGGCTAATTTTTGTATTTTTAGTAGTGATAGGGTTTCACAATTTTGGTCAGGCTGGTCTCAAACTGCTGACCTCATGATCTGCCCGCCTTGGCCTCCCCAAGTGCTGGGATTACAGGCGTGAGCCCCACCAAGCCCGGCCTTTTTTTTTTTTTTTTCCTTGAATGAATATTCAGGTGATCTGTAACAGTAACTGTCCTCTAGTAAATGAAGTGCCCAGTTTTGAGGGTCTCTTCTGGTTGATGTAAATTCTGCCTATGTCTAGTTAGGTATTTGTGAGGGAAAGATGGAACAGAGGTGCACGTGTGTGTATGTGTTCTGTCTGGACAAAGACGGCATGTCCTTTTGGGTTGTTGGTTTTTTTTTTAATAGATTGGCATAGGAAGTGCAAAAATATAACTAGTCTAAATCCAGGACACATGATACAGAGTTAAGCCAATTTGGATTGTTGAATGGATACTGCTGTCTTGTAACTATGGTGTTCAGATGTTTCTCATAAATGACTGCATAGTCAGCTGACCCAGTCAAGGGATTTCCAGAAGCTAAAAAGCAGTTAAATTACTGATCTGCTACAGCTGTGGACACTGATTCAAGACTGGCTTCTGAAGACTGGCTAAGTGAGATTTGCATGAAGTATGTAAAGTAAAAAAACAAAACAAAGCAAAAAAGTCTGCCTAGTTTAACTAAAAACCTGGTTTTGCATCTCTCTCAACTGTAGCATTTTCTGAAACTTGAGAAAACACATTTGCTTGGCACAGCTGTTAACTTCCTACAACTGAAATGCTTTCCATTCCCTTTAAAATAAGCCCTTCTGAAGCAGAATGTAGATCACATGTATCATCCAGACCAAAAAAGTTTGCCTGGACTACTCCTGGGGTCCGGAATCCTCACATTCCAGGCAGAGCTCCAGCTGTTCCGATTTAGTTACCGACTTGGGATTGGCTGCGCCACCTACTCTTGTTTCCACCCCTTAACTTTCACTGGAAGAAAGCTCTAGACTAAAGATTAAATGTAAGCGCTGTCACCAGGCCTTCTGAGTGCAGCTGGCACCATGGGTGTGCTCCAGAGCAACTTCTGCTTGCTCTGAGCCCCCTGCCCTGCCTCCCCTTTCACCATGTTTCCTCTGACAAGATTTTAAGTACAGCAATTCAAGAAGATTTCTCCTCCTAAACGACATTTATCTGAAGTCTATTGCCTCTTGATTGCTGGAAAAGAATCTTAAAATCATTTCAAAAGTAACTTATAAACAAACTTATTAAAAGTGATGAAAGGAGCATTGAAATTAATTAGCACTAATTTTTCACTGTGCCAAAGTGTGCAGTGTCCTTCAGAGGAAACAATAACAGATCTGGTGAGTGTGCCATGCCAGTGGGGAGAATTGAATGTCCCTCATCTCCCTCTTTCCCTAGGGACATTAGTCATGAGTGCCGAGTGTGCGGGGTCACAGAAGTGGGTCTTTCTGCATATGCAAAGCACATTTCTGGCCAGTTGCACAAAGATAACGTTGATGCCCAGGAAAGAGAAGATGATGGAAAAGGAGAGGAAGAGGAAGAAGATTATTTTGACAAGGAACTCATTCAGTTAATAAAACAAAGGAAAGAACAAAGTCGGTAAGTAATTGATTTTTTAAAAAAAGCCTATCTATAACAGAACACAGCAGAGAATATATTTTATATCTTTGTACTGGTCAGCCCATGGCATTTAAACTTAGGTATAAAGTTTAGCTTGAGGTTGTTGTCTTACTAATCAAAGGGCAATGGAATGTTTTCTTGAACTACTGTAATATCTTCTTAAAAAAGCAAACTTAGTATTGTTCCTACATAAGCTGTAGCTACATATCTGAAATTTTTGCCATGTTGGTAACTATGTTGAGAATGGCTTTATTGGTATCCAAATCTTTTTTTTTTTTTTTAAGATGGAGTCTCACTCTGTCACCCACCCAGACTGGAGTGCAGTGGTGTGATCTTGGCTCACTGTAACCTCTGCCTTCTGGGTTCAAGCAATTCTCCTGCCTCAGCCTCCTGAGTAGCTGGGATTACAGATGCCTGCCACCATGCCTGGCTAATTTTTTTTGCATTTTTAGTAGAGACGAGGTTTAACCCCATTAGCCAGGCTGGTCTCAAACTCCTGACCTCAAGCAATCTGCCCACCTCAGCCTCCCAAAGTGCTGGAATTACAGGCGTGAGCCACCGTACCTGTCCAGTATCCAAATCTTTTGAATACCAATAAGTTTTTATTTGGCGTTTAAATTTTCCAGTGGAAAGGTGTTAGAATATAAGCTTCATTGTATAAATCGTATAGTATATAGTATAGTCGTATCGCCAAAATAACAGTGTAGTCTATAGTATATAGTATAGTCTTACTGCCAAATAACATTTCTTAGGAAAATATTTTTTGACTGGTGTGAATTAACGTGTTGCTTCTGCCAAATTTGATTTATCTTTTTGTCTTTGAATCCCCAGTGACTACCACAGTGCTTTCTTGAATAAATTTTTTTTGATAAGTGTCAAGATAATTTAAGCAATATAAATTTTCTAATTTGTACTGCATAATTTCATACCTACATTTATACATTCAGGTATTAGGCATTTATGTTTTTACCTTACTGCTTTCTGGTCTAAAGAGTTTAATTATAAAATTTGTTAAAAAGAGTTTAATTAATGAGGTAGAAATTTTCAATGTGAGGGAAAGAGAGAGAGAAGCACTTATGAGGTGGGATAATTTTTTAAGTCCCAGAACATGAAGAGAATCATTTCAGATTCTAAAATAAAAATTTAAAGATTCTTCTTTGAATACTAGTTATACCCCGTCTGTACCTCCTTTTTAGTCAGAGGCTTAACTATAAAAAGGAAGTTGTTTTTACTCTATATGTTAAAAGTTTTTTTGCCGGGAGGAACGGTGGCTCAGGCCTATTGTCCTGGTGCATGAGGAGACGAGGCCAGGGCTTTAAGACCAGCCTGGGCAACATAGGAAGCCCTTATCTATGTAATAACAACAACAAAAAATTAAAATTAAAAAAAAGTTTTTTGAACAATTCCTTGAAGGAGACTTTCTTCATCTTAAAATATCAGTAAAGGGTGAGCATCCCTAATCCAAAGTCTGAAAATGCACCAAAATCCAAAACATTTGAGTGCCAACATGAGGCCACCAGTGGAAAATTCCACACCTCATTTCATTTTACAAAATTATTCAAAATATTACCTAAAATTATCATCAGACTGTGTATAAAAGGTGTATATGAAACATAAATGAATTTTATGTTTAGACTTGGGTCCCATTCCCGTAATATCCCATTATGTATATGCAAAAATATTCCAAAATCCAAAGCAGTTTGAAATGCAAAACCTTTCTGGTCCCAAGCATTTCAGATACGGGACACTCAAACCACATGGTTCTTAAATCATTTAGTAGCTTAGTCCTTCAAATGACATTTTCATTACTTTTAATATAGTTGCAGTTTACTTTATCCTGCTTTAGGCAGTTGGAGCCTCTGGGAGACTTCTATTTTGTTCTTACATACTAGTGCCATTATTAGCTTTATCTGTGTAAATAATTAAACATTAAGTCAGAATAGATTAGACATTTGTATCATAGTTACTATTTTTTGAGTCTTTTGATGTGCCTCCTTGATGACCTATTTATAAAATCATCTACTTCTTTTTTTTTTTTGAGACAGGGTGTCGGTCTGTCACCCAGGCTTGAGTGCAGTGGCACGATGACACCTCACTGCAGCCTCAACTTCCTAGGCTCCAACAGTCCTCCCACCTCAACCTCCCGAGAAGCTGGAACTACAGGCATGCATCGCCACCATGCGTGGCTAATTTTTTTTTTTTTATTTTTATTTTTGGTAGAGATGGGGTTTAGCCATGTCACCCAGGCTGGCCTCGAACTTCTGGGCTCAAGTGATCCACCCACCTTGGCCTCCCAAAGTGCTGAGATTACAGGCATGAGCCACCACACCTGGACAAAATCATCTACTTCTTCAGGAGTATTTTTTTTTTTCTTTTTTCCTTCATGAATTTTTAACTTAGATTATTCTTTCTGGTCTATGGGTTTAGCTGAATGCTCCTATCTTCTGAATCTAGCCAATTCATGATGATCTAGGAATTCTACTTTGTGATTTATTTATCCCCCAGTTCTCCCATTTCTGATCATATCAGTATAGCTGAGTCAGTGGTCTCCTTGGATGCCAGAAGTTGCATATTGCATAGAATCAAAAGATAAAGGCAATTTGGTTAATGGTTATAAAAAAATTCTGCTACTGCATGTAATAATACTTGTTACTTTCTAAAGAGTCTCCTGTTTAGAAATGATTGTAATTTATATAATATGAGTGGATGTTTGAACTTCTAAATAGACTTTTAAATTCCGTCTTGTGAAAAAGGAAGAAGTTCCAATTTGTGTCCAAAATATCATAGACATTGAAAGCCTTTAAAGCCAATTAAAGTCAGTATTGAGTTTAAGATTTTTAAGTCAAGGTCAGAGGAAGGAACTTAAATGTGGAAACTTTGTTTTGAGATGTTGATTCTCTGAAGGCCTGTGGTTAAGAGTATAGACTCTGGCTGGAGTCAGATTGCCAAGGATTAAATCTCTGCTCTACTGCTTTCTGGCTATCTTATTCTAGGCAAGTTATGTATTCTCTCTACTGCTCAATTTCTCATCTATAAAGTAGGAATAATAAGAATACATGCCATGCCTGTAATCCCAGCACTTTGGGAGGCTGAGGTGGGCGGATCACGAGGTCAGGAGTTCAAGACCAGCCTGGCCAACATGGTGGAACCCCGTCTCTACTAAAAATACAAAAATTAGCCAGGCGTGGTGGCGGGAGCCTGTAATCCCAGCTACTCAGGAGGCTGAGGCAGGAGAATCGCTTGAACTCGAGAGGCAGAGGTTGCAGTGAGCCAAGATCGTGCCATTGCACTCCAGCCTGGGCGACAAAGCGAGACTCCATCTCCAAAAAAAAAAAAAAAATACTTGCCTCAGGATTATAAAAACTAAGTGAGATAATCTATATAAGGTGCTTAGCATTAAATGCCTGACACTCAGGTACTCAGTAAATTTTAGCTAGCAGTACTCAGTATTTTGAGCACTTACCACATGCTAAGCACCATGCCCATGCACACCATAGGCAGTTTGTAGAAGAAAATGGTTTTTACACCTATTGCTGTGATGCTTACTGAAGCTTATTCATGTTTCTGTGGACTCCTCGTCTGACATGAACATGAAACAGCTGTAGTTTCTTTTTAAAAACCTCTGGCTCATGAAGCTCCTTATAGCACATATTATGGTTACTACTTGTTTGGTATATGCTATTTTCCTCCTGTTTGTGACCTTACTGTCTCAGCTAGGTTCTAAGGCCTTCACAAACTGGAACTGTACATAAAAGTCTTCTTATACCACTAACAGTTATTGAATGGGTACTGGACAAAGTGTTTATTAATAAAAATAACCATGCAAAGTATCATCTTATTTAAAATAGGTTAAGAAATGGAGTTTTTCAGAAAGAACCTACAACTGGAAAAATCATGGTATTAAGGGCAGCTGAACATAAAATTGTACTAAATATGATAACTAGGCCGGGCGCAGTGGCTCAAGCCTGTACCCCTGTAATCCCAGCACTTTGGGAGGCCGCGGTGGGTGGATTACCTGAGGTCAGGAGTTTGAGATCAGCCTGGCCAACATGGTGAAACCCCGTCTCTACTAAAAATACAAAAATTAGCCGGGTGTGGTGGCGCATGCCTGTAATCCCAGCTAGTCGGGAGTCTGAGGCAGGAGAATTGCTTGAGCCTGGGAGACAGAGGTTGCAGTGACCTGAGATTGTGCCACTGCACTCCACCCTGGCCAACAGTGCAAGACTCTGTCTCAAAAAAAAAAAAAAAAAAAAAAGATAACTATAGCTATAAAATATACTTGTTCTTTTTCCAAAAAACCTGCATAATACAAAAATAATAATTGGATGATAGGGACAAAATCTCAGAACATGCCAAGAAAAACAAGACCAAGAAAGGGAGGGAATATAAATGTGCCAAATTTTTGTTTGTTTTTTTGAGAGAGTCTCACTGTGTTACCCAGGCTGGAGTGTAATGGCATAATCTCAGCTCACTGCAACCTCCACCTCCTGGGTTCAAGTGATTCTCATTCCTCAGCCTCCCGAGTAGCTGGGGTTACAGGCGTGCTCCACTACGCCTGGCTAATTTTTGTATTTTTAGTAGAGATGGGGTTTCTCCATGTCGGCCATGTTGGTCTTGAATTCCTGACCTAAAGTGAACTGCCCGCCTCGGCCTCCCAAAGTGCTGGAATTATAGATGTGAGCCACCACACCTGGCCAAATGTGCCAAATTTTTAATATTTCTGAGTGATGGGGGAGATGGTTGTAATTACTTGAAATTTAAGTAATTTAAAATGTTTTATTTTTAAATTAATAAGTTGAGGAATATACGTTTAAATATATCATTTAAAGATATGAAAACAACCACTATTAGATATAAAACCAGACTCGGTTACATATTCTAAGTAACGGGAGGAAAGTACAAGGGAAGTTTGGTGGGTTATGCCTTTCAAGGTAGCATAGGAATTCCTTTAAATCGCTAATGAAAAACTGTTTTTCTTCCAGACAAGATGAACCTTCCAATAGCAACCAAGAAATAAACTCTGATGACAGACGACCCCAATGGAGACGAGAAGACCGAATTCCTTACCAAGACAGAGAGAGTTACAGTCAGCCTGCATGGCATCATCGTGGACCTCCACAGCGGGATTGGAAATGGGAAAAAGATGGCTTTAATAATACTAGGAAAAACAGCTTTCCACATTCTTTGAGGAATGGTGGTGGACCAAGAGGACGTTCCGGGTGGCATAAGGGTGTTGCAGGAGGCTCCTCGACTTGGTTTCACAACCATAGTAATTCTGGAGGTGGTTGGCTTTCAAATAGTGGAGCAGTAGATTGGAATCATAATGGTACAGGAAGGAATTCCAGTTGGCTTTCTGAAGGAACAGGTGGCTTTTCCAGTTGGCATATGAACAACAGTAACGGAAACTGGAAATCCAGTGTACGTAGTACAAATAATTGGAATTACAGTGGCCCTGGAGACAAATTTCAACCAGGCAGAAACAGAAATTCTAACTGTCAAATGGAAGACATGACTATGCTATGGAACAAGAAATCTAATAAGTCAAACAAATACAGTCACGACAGATATAATTGGCAGCGGCAAGAAAATGACAAACTTGGTACAGTTGCCACATATAGAGGTCCTTCTGAAGGATTTACAAGTGATAAATTTCCTTCAGAAGGCTTACTCGACTTCAATTTTGAGCAGCTGGAAAGCCAAACCACTAAACAAGCAGACACTGCTACTTCCAAAGTTAGTGGAAAGAATGGCAGTGCGGCAAGGGAAAAGCCTCGTCGCTGGACGCCTTACCCTTCTCAGAAGACTCTGGATTTACAGTCGGGATTGAAAGACATCACTGGTAACAAGTCAGAAATGATAGAGAAACCTCTCTTTGATTTTAGCTTGATAACTACAGGAATACAGGAGCCCCAAACTGATGAAACACGTAATTCCCCAACACAGAAAACACAAAAAGAAATACATACTGGATCTCTTAATCACAAGGCCTCTTCTGATTCCGCTGCTTCCTTCGAGGTGGTGAGACAGTGCCCCACTGCAGAAAAACCTGAACAAGAGCATACACCAAATAAAATGCCATCATTGAAATCCCCACTCCTTCCATGTCCAGCCACTAAATCATTGTCTCAAAAGCAAGATCCAAAGAATATCTCAAAAAACACCAAAACAAATTTTTTTTCCCCTGGAGAACACTCAAATCCCTCGAACAAGCCCACTGTGGAAGATAACCATGGTCCTTACATATCCAAACTGCGTAGTTCATGTCCTCATGTTTTAAAAGGGAATAAAAGTACATTTGGCTCTCAAAAGCAATCTGGTGATAATTTAAATGATACTTTACGAAAGGCCAAAGAGGTGCTACAGTGTCATGAGTCATTGCAAAATCCACTTCTTAGCACTTCTAAAAGTACCAGGAACTATGCAAAAGCAAGTAGAAATGTAGAAGAATCTGAAAAAGGGTCTTTGAAAATTGAGTTTCAAGTGCACGCACTAGAAGATGAAAGTGATGGAGAGACATCTGACACGGAAAAGCATGGAACAAAAATTGGAACCCTAGGTTCTGCAACTACAGAATTGTTATCTGGCAGCACTCGAACTGCTGATGAGAAAGAGGAGGATGACCGCATCCTGAAGACTTCTAGAGAGCTATCCACTTCCCCATGTAATCCCATAGTTCGCCAGAAAGAATCTGAATTACAAATGACATCTGCAGCCAGTCCACACCCTGGCTTATTGCTAGACTTGAAAACCTCTCTAGAAGATGCACAGGTTGATGACTCTATTAAATCTCATGTATCTTATGAAACAGAAGGCTTTGAGAGTGCTAGCTTGGATGCAGAGCTTCAAAAAAGTGACATCAGTCAGCCCTCGGGCCCTCTCCTGCCTGAACTAAGTAAGCTTGGCTTTCCTGCCTCACTTCAGAGGGATCTAACCCGGCACATTAGTTTGAAGAGCAAAACTGGAGTACACCTTCCTGAGCCAAACCTCAATAGTGCCCGCCGCATTCGCAATATTAGCGGTCACCGAAAGAGTGAGACAGAGAAGGAGTCTGGGCTCAAGCCAACCCTACGGCAGATTCTAAATGCATCTCGGAGAAATGTCAACTGGGAACAGGTCATTCAGCAAGTAACCAAGAAAAAGCAAGAGCTGGGCAAAGGCTTACCCAGGTGTGTGCTGCTTTTCGGTGTCTTTTTTTTCCTCACTTTCTTTTAAAGTAACCCTTTGACCCTGATCAAGAGAATTCTACGTGTTTCATTTAATTAAATGTTTGCCAACAATATCTGTTGTAGATGTCTTGATTTAATATCAAATAGTGACTGATACTCTATGACAGATGGAATAAAGTATTTCCTAGCAGAGAGTGCAGGTTAAAATGGAAGCACACCTACTTGAGAAACAAGGTGGTGACGTAGGAAAAAAGTCATGGCTTTACAGGGGTAAAATCCGTCACTTTATAGGGGTAGAAAATGACAGCATAAAAATGTAGAGCTATAGATCTCTGTCTTTTTCTAGATCTTAATTTTGGAATGCGTGCTATAACTTTTAAATACAACTGTTCTCATTACCTTTTACTTAGAACCTACGAATAGTTAACTTTTCTGTATGTACTCTGGGCATTATCTTTATGACTACAACATGCTTTCTCTTAAGCGCTTGTGTAATATTTTGGCTCTTCATCTTATGTTGAGGTACTAGACTTTTCTGAATGCTAAAACAGTGTTCAACGTAAGTTTGCTACTTGAAAGTCATAACTCTGCTGCATGATGATACAGTTCTCCAGGCTTCAGGGGCATTTCTGTACTTGTTGAAATAATGGGTTTATTTCCCCCCACTTTCCTTTCCCACACCTTGTGAGTAGCATTTGAAATTGTAAGTATAAAGCACTTGTAAGTGCTCAGTAAAAGGGTTTTTTTTTTTGTTTTGGTTTGTTTGCTTTTAAAAATTATATGCTGTATGTATTATTATAGATTTAGCGCTCCATATGAAACAAAACTCAATTTTTACTCCCTCAAATATATTATTATAGCTGTATACAAACCTCTAATCTGGTACTTGTGACAACGTAATATATTTATATCTGTACCACTGACTAGACTGTGAGCCCCTTGAAGGCAAGAGCCACCTTACTTTTTATAACCTCAGTGCTTGAGAGAGCCTGGCACATTAAAAAATAATGCCCCTCCCAACAACCATATCCAATTTATGTTTTCATTTTTTCTTTCTTCCTTAAGGTTTGGCATAGAAATGGTACCCCTTGTTCAAAATGAACAAGAAGCCTTAGATTTGGATGGGGAACCTGATCTGTCCAGTCTAGAAGGATTCCAGTGGGAAGGTGTTTCCATTTCCTCGTCCCCTGGCTTGGCAAGAAAGCGAAGCCTTTCTGAGAGCAGCGTGATCATGGACAGAGCTCCTTCTGTGTATAGCTTCTTCAGTGAGGAAGGTACAGGCAAAGAAAATGAGCCCCAGCAGATGGTTTCACCTAGTAACTCATTGAGGGCTGGACAGAGCCAGAAAGCAACCATGCACCTCAAACAAGAAGTGACACCTCGGGCTGCCTCCCTCCGAACAGGTGAAAGGGCTGAAAATGTTGCTACCCAAAGGCGACATAGTGCACAATTATCCTCTGACCATATAATACCTTTGATGCATTTGGCAAAAGACTTGAACAGCCAGGAGAGGTCTATACCACCGTCAGAGAATCAGAATTCCCAGGAGAGTAATGGAGAGGGAAACTGTCTGTCATCAAGCGCATCCTCAGCCCTTGCGATCTCCAGTTTAGCGGATGCAGCCACAGATAGTAGCTGTACCTCTGGTGCTGAACAAAATGATGGCCAAAGTATTAGAAAGAAACGAAGAGCCACTGGAGTGAGTATAATTCCCTCTGCTTTTTGTAGAACATCGCATGTGGCAAGTTGGTTGCTTATGAAAAAAGGTTCAACTGTTTTTCTTGGGTATCTGGGATTGTGATTCTCTCAACTTCTAGAAGAATTGTGAGGTTCTTACTTTCATCCTACTGGTTTCTTACACTGAGTAATTCTGCTAAATTAAATGTAATCTAATATGAATGTACAGTACCAGGAAAATATGAAGTCATATCTAAAACCAGTGTCCAAGCCAATGATTCTTTGTATCACCTGACCAAGGATAAGTCACATATTCAGCTGTAACCCAATCTGTTTTCATAGATGCGTTCTGCACTGCTACTGAAGAAAGGCGTTCTACTGTTGCACTTGTAGGGCATGGATGATTGCTGGATTCAGGAGTGATAGGCTTAACACTAAGATGGTTTTAATACTATTAGAGTGCATATATATGAGCAGAGTATAGAAATATTTTTAGTCTGTGTAACTCTGTCCTTCGTCCTTCAGTTACCCACCCTGGCCTTTAAGAGTCTTTTATTTCACTGATACCACTTCTGCTCTTCCGGCATTTCTGCCGCTAATATTGGCTTAACCCTCTCAGTATCCCTTTCTGAAAAGAAAGAGTTGCTGGTAGTGATACAGTCTGGGATCTGGCAATGTGAAAAAAAATGGGTTCTTCTCTTCATTATTTATTTATTTATTTTATAATATTTTAAAATTTATATTAGAGATGAGGTCTCACAATGTTGTCCATACTGCTCTGGAACTCCTGAACTCAAGCAGTCCTCCTGCCTCAGCCTCCCAAGTAGCGGGGACTACAAGCATGTGTCACTGTGCTGGGCTTCTCTCATTTAATACTGAGGTGATAAGCATAGTAGTTAAGGTCATGAATTTTAGACTTGCTTCAAATTGCAATTCTGCTCCTTTGAGCTAGATGCTATATGTAGTGGATGTTACTGGATGACTTAAAATACACTTCAAGCTGAGGGATTGTCCTATGACAAAGAGCTTGTCTCATGGACTGTTAAGCTTTTTGTTGTAAAGGTTTTCTTGCTGAAATTTAAAGTAGAAACTATGCCAAGTTATAAATCAGATATATTTATTTTACTGGCTTTGTCTATACTTCTACTTGTGCCTTACTACACCAAGATGAAATGCTTTCCCTGACCTCCATGGGCTTTCCTACCTCTAGGATGCTAGGAGGCACTTCACCCTGGATTCTTTTTTTTTAAATCAGATACGTTTATTCAACTAAAGTTTGCGTTGGTACCACGTGCGTGAGACTTCTACGATCATGTTAGAGATGGTAGCAATAGTGAAGAACAGTGTATGGCTATCTTAGAATTGATTCCTTTTTCTCCTCTTGGATAATGGCTTTTACACATTGGATTTTATTCAGTTTTCTTTATCCTTCCAGGATGGATCTTCTCCTGAACTCCCAAGTCTTGAGAGAAAAAATAAAAGAAGGAAAATTAAAGGAAAAAAAGGTATGGTGCAGAATATTTTGGAAGAAAGAAGTTGGTGTTTTTTGGTTTTTTTTGGGGGGTGCGGGTTTTTGGTAACCTCCAACTCTTGGGCTCAAGCAATCCTCTTCTCTCAGCCTCCCGAGCAGCTAGGACTACTGGTATGTGACACTACATTAATTCTTTTATTTTTTTGTAGAGACAGGGTCTAGCTATATTGCCCAGGCTGGACTCAAACTCCTGGACTCCAGTGATCCTCTCACCTTGGCCTCCCAAAGTGTTAGGATTATAGATGTGAGCCACCGTGCCCAGCCCCAAGAGGTTCTTGTAGCAGTTCAGCGTTTGTGCAGCTTGACACAGAGCATAGCTTGTCATTTATCAAACACTGATTGTCCATTTACTTTTTTTGGACATTTTTGTTGCCTTGCTTAAGAGGAAAGAAAAGTTTGATTTCCTAATACATCCAGTTAACAACTGTAGAAGAAATATATGATGTCACATAGACTTGTAAGCCAAGGTTAGTATACCACTTGGACAATATAAAGCCAGGAAGTTTCCTTGAGCCTTTTCAGTGGGATGAAATGTGTTGGCCCTCTTGGTCATGTATAGCCATTTCTCTCACTTTCAGTTTTTGAGGCATCTTGGTTGCTTCCCCGCTGCCCCACCTCCACACTCCCTTCCTTGGTTGCTTTTCTAAAGTGAATTATGGAAAGAAGTTATTAACATTGCTCCCTCATTGATGTATTTCTGTGATTCTTGCTTTTCCTTGACTCTAACCCAGTTCTAGTATAAGGGCTAGTCCTGGAAGTGATTGGATGAGGCTTGAGTGAGTGGATGTGATGGATAAGGGAGGAGTCAAGGACAACCCACATTTCTGGCTGGGCCAACCAGATGGAGCATATGTAGAGCTAGAAAACTCCATGAGAGGAGCAGATTGAGAATAGAGAAAGATGATGAATTCCCTCAGGGATTCTTTGACTTAAAGGACCTTTGAGATAACCTAGCTAGAAATATCATAGTCAGTAGTTGGATATGTGGGTGTGGAGCTTAAGGGAGAGGTCCTGGCATATTGAATAGGAAACAGACAAACACAATGATGGTAAATACATACACAGAACATTTTATTCAAACTAAGTTAAATGTACTATTTCAAAGCTGTATTTTCTTCAGGAAGTCTTCTCTAATAAAAACAATTTTTAAGTCAACTAACAGACTAAATATGGATTGGAAAGAGAGTGCAAGCAGTCTAGGTCTAGAGTCCAATCTAAGCAAAAGTCCTGTGTGAAGACAGTGGTAGATAAAGGAAGAATGGGAAACGAGTCCTAGAACAGGTGGTTTGCATGGGACAGATTTCACCTGGAAAGGTGGTGGTAGAAGGCGGTGATTAGATGAGACAGAATGATGTGATGGTACACTGGAGCTTATGAGATACCTCCATCTTAGCAGTTCTCACTTTTGGTTCCTAGCTTTGATATCATTGTGCTTGACTAAATGTTTTATGAATTTCCAATGACCTACTGAGGAGAACATAAAGTCTTATCCTAAATAATGGGTATAGTTTAGTCTTCTGAGCTGTGTGATGAGAGGGAAATCTCTCGTATTAACCTGAACCTTATGATTTCTTTTGGCAGAACGTTCTCAGGTTGACCAGCTGCTGAATATTTCTTTAAGGGAGGAAGAACTTAGTAAGTCATTGCAGTGCATGGATAACAATCTTCTGCAAGCCCGTGCAGCCCTTCAGACAGCTTATGTGGAAGTTCAGAGGCTACTTATGCTCAAGCAGCAGGTAACAGCATGTGGAGGATTTAATAAAAATGGATCATCTCCGAAATCTTGTTTTGTGCTGCCAAACCCATGTCTGGAGTCACCCCAAAAGCAATGGCAGGGGAGTTTCCACAAGGGAAGTGCCCCAGACTGTGCCTAATGGGGGACAGTTAGGATTCCAAAGAAAGAAGCACTAAATGCCAGGGTGATGAGTCCAAAGCATTTATTAGGAGAGCTTACTTACAGAGTAGGCTGCAGCAGTCCCCACAAGGGTGTTCTCCCTAGGTATATCCACAGCCAGGGGGCGGGATGTGGAGTTTATATGAGGGTTTAAGGAATTTGGCTCAGGGCCAGGGCCAATTTCTTTCAGTGTTTTGGGCAACAACCTAGATACTTTTATCAGTGCCTGGGAATCTTCAAGGCCCCAGGTAGGGTTCAAGCCTGCTGGAGAAAACCTGCGGCTGGCTGGGTCACAGAGCAGTCAAGACACTCTGATTTTTGGTCAGGACATAGAAGAAAAATGGGGAGACCTAGAGGACCTTACAAGTTGGATTTCAAAATGCTTAATAAAATACTTTATTTTTAGATAACTATGGAGATGAGTGCACTGAGGACCCATAGAATACAGATTCTACAGGGATTACAAGGTATTCAGAGGGCATCTGATGGATTGGGCCCTCTATAGCGTGTTACTTTTTTGTTTTCTCTGCTTTTTTTTTTTTTTTTTTTTTTTTTTGGAGACAGAGTCTTGCTCTATTTCCCAGGCTGGAGTGCAGTGGTGCAATCTCTGCTCACTGCAACCTCTGCCTCCCAGGTTCAAGTGATACTCGTGCCTCAGCATTTGATTAGCTGGAATTACAGGTGCCCACCCCACCCCCAGCTAATTTTTGTATTTTTAGTAGAGACAGGGTTACAGGGTTCGCCATGTTGGCCAGACTGGTCTCGAACTCCTGACCTCAGGTGATCCGCCTGCCTCAGCCTCCCAAAGTTCTGGGATTACAGGCATGAGCCACTGCACCAGGCCTTTTTGTTCTCTTTGAGGGGATGAAAAGTAGTCATGAAAAGGTCATGTTATTTCTCTCCTGTCTCCTTGGTTTCATCCTTTTTTTTTGTTTTTTTGAGACAGGGTCTTGCTCTGTCACTCAGGCTGGAGCGCAGTGGCACGATCATGGCTCACTGCAGCCTTGACCTCCTGGGCTCAAGCAATTTTCCCACCTCACTCCCCCCAGTAGCTGGGACTACAGACGTGTGTCACCATGCCTGGTTATTAAAATTTCTAACTTTTAATTTTATAAAATTATGATTTAAATTGTAAAAATTTAAAGGTTATAAAAAGTTATATAAAATTATAAAAAGTTATAAAAATTAAAAAATGCTTTTATAGAGATGGAATCTCCCAGTGTTTCCCAGGATAGTCCCAAACTCCTGGGCTCAAGCAGTCCTCCTAACTTGACCTCCCAAATGGTTGGGATTACAGGCCTGAACCACCACGCCTGGCCAGTTTCTTCCTTCTATAGAAAGGTCTGTAAACTGTGCATCCCAAAAATGTTTAGCAACAGACAATATGTTATGGAAAGAGTTTTGATTAGGAATCAAAAGGCCTGGGTTCAAATCTTCTCCCTTCCATTAGTAGCCTATATAACTTTGGATAAGTCATTTAAAATTTGAAAAATTGGAATGTTGCTAGGCACAGTGCCTCATGCCTGTAATCCCAGCACTTTGGGAGTCTGAGGCAGGTGGATTCCTTGAGCCCAGAAGTTTGAGACCAGCCTGGGCAATGTGGTGAAACCCTGTCTCTACAAATAAATACAAAAATTATTGATAATTATTATTAGTAATAATAATAATTCCAGCCTGACCAACATGGTGAAACCCCATCTCTACTAAAAATACAAAAATTAGCTGGGCATGGTGGCGTGCTCCTGTAATCCCAGCTACTCAGGACGCTGAGGCAGGAGAATCGCTTGGACCCGGGAGGTGGAGGTTGCAGTGAGCCGAGATTGCGCCACTGCACTCCAGCCTGGGTGACAGAGTGAGACTCTGTCTCAAAAAAATAATAACAATAATAGCTGGGCATAGTGGCATGTGCCTATAATCCCAGCTGCTTGGGAGGCTGAGGCAGGAGAATTGCTTGAGTCCAGGAGGTCAAGGCTGCAGTGAGCAGTGTTTGCACCACTGCACTGCAGCCTGGGTGACAAAGCGAGACCCTATCTCAAAAAAAAAAAAAAAAAAAAGAATGTTGATGCCTATTCTCTCTGTATCCTTGGTGGTTGTAGAGATTATATTCTCCATATTTCGGAGAATTATGAGGGACTATACTAATATACTTATTTATAATTCTTTTCTAATGTTTAAAAATACAAATTAGCTCAGACACAAATGACTTTTCAGATAACATTTTTGCATTTCTATGTATGTATGTTTCCCATTCTAGAAACATATGAACCTTCTGAGCACCCAGACCAGGTTCCCTGTAGCCTCACACGAGAACGAAGGAACAGTAGATCTCAAACATCCATTGATGCCGCACTGCTGCCCACTCCCTTTTTCCCACTTTTTCTGGAGCCTCCATCTTCCCATGTGTCTCCATCACCCACCGGAGCCTCTCTTCAAATAACCACGTCTCCTACTTTCCAAACCCATGGCAGTGTCCCTGCTCCAGACTCATCAGTTCAGATTAAACAAGAGCCCATGTCTCCTGAACAAGATGAGAATGTGAATGCTGTGCCACCAAGCTCTGCCTGCAATGTGTCCAAGGAATTACTGGAAGCTAATAGTATGTAAGCTTTTCTCTGGGTTAAGGGCATCCCAGTAGTGAGACTGGGGCATTTTTATATGAGTGATATAAGCCATACTTGCTCATTAAAACTAAAATGAGCAAGTACAACTAATTTGTCACTGGAATTCTCTTCATATATACAGGAGGATTCTTTTAAAATATTTTAGAGAATGTAATTTAAATATCAGTCATTTTCTTTCATTTCCTCTAATCTAGGGTTAGAGTTGACTTTGTATTAGCACCCACAAGGTTCCATTTATTAGGATAAGTACAAAATTTGTTTCGTGTGAAATAAATGGGGTTGAAGTTAATTCAGCCAATTTTCTGAATAAGGTCTATCCTCTGAATTTCTTTGCACTTACTGTCTATATAATCTCAAATACAAACCAGGATTAATATAAGCGTGAGAGGCAGGTGGCCATGATGGGGTTTGGAATCATCTACTAAGAACTTGCTGTTGAGAAATAGCCAGGGTTTTCACTCTTTTCAAAAAATAACACTTACCTGGTTATCATTTGAGAATACGTCTAAGCTATGTAAAATCCTGTTAGAAGTTTGCATTACCACAGTGGTGCTGTATTTGAAAATTAAGTCCAACAAACTGGCATTGTGTGGTTTCCTGAGCAAAAGCAAAAAGTTTAAAAAATTACTCTAGATTTTACTACCAGTACTATGTTGCAATATTAATCTAGATGTTAGTATCAAATATATAGCTTATTTATTTATTGAGACAGAGTCTCACTCTGACACTCAGGCTGGAGTATGGTGGCATAATCACAGCTCACCACAGGCTTGACCTCCTGGGCTCAGTTGATCCTCCCACCTCATCCTCCAGAGGAGCTAGGACTACAGATGCCTGCCACCATGCCCGGCTAATTTTTTTTTTTTTTTTTTTTAAGTAGAGATGGGGATTCACCATGTTGCCCAGGCTGGTCTTGATCTCCTGGGCTCAAGTGATCCACCCGCCTTGGCCTCCCAAAGTGCTCAGATTACAGGTGTGAGCCACTGCGCGTGACTTAGCATATATATATATATATATATATATATATATATATATATATATATATATATTTTTTTTTTTTTTTTAGACAGAGTTTCGCTTTTTGTTGCCCAGGCTGGTGTGCAATGGCATGCTCTTGGCTCACGGCAACCTCTGCCTCCCAGGTTCAAGTGATTGTCCTGTCTCAGCCTCCCGAATAGCTGGGATTACAGGCGCCCACCACCATGCCCAGCTAATTTATGTATTTTTAATAGAGACAGGCTTTCACCATGTTGGCCAAGCTGGTCTTGAACTCCTGACCTCAAGTGATCCGACCGCCTCAGCCTTCCAAAGTGCTGGGATTACAGACATGAGCCACCTTGCCCAGCCCCTAGCATATTTTTAAAAATTATTTTAAATTTTTGTGGGTACATAGTAGGTGTATATATTTATGGATTACATGAAATATTTTGGTACTATTATTTTTCGTATTACATATTATTTCAATCTTTCTTAAATCATATTTTTGTGTTTACATGTAGAACTTGTACAAAGGAGCAGTCATATATAACCTGACTTTTTCCATTTAATATATAATGATTTTTCTGTTGTAAAAATAATTTATCTAAAGTATTTTATATTACAAGTTGCATAATATTTGAATAGTTGCATAATCTGGCTAAACAATAATTTATGTGGTGAATCTTTTTTGAATATTTAGTTTTCTAACTTTTTTCATATTCTGTGTAACACTGCATTGTATATGTCTTTGAGTACATCTGTGATTATTTCATCACTTTTAATTCCTAGACATGAAGTAACTAAGTCAAAGGAAATTGACATTTCTAAGTCAGCAAATTTTTTTAACTACTAAGCTGTAGCTAAATTGGATGGGTGTGGATAATGAAAACTTCAAAGAAATAAAAGTAAAAGGACTTCAGCTAAGTAGACATTTAAGTGTCTACTAAGAATAAACCACAATGTTAAATGTGTGGACATTTAAAACAAGAAAAAAGATTGATAGAAACAATCCCTCCCCACAAGGAGCTTTTGTAGGGAATAAGACACACAGTGTTTGTGAGATTCACGCAAGGCAGAGGGTAGTAAGTGTTGTCATAGGAGTGTATGTAGGTGATGGGAAACTGAGGGGTGAGATACCAGCTGAAACAGTCATGGTTTTCTGAACATATCATTGAAATATTTGGTAGAGTTTCAGTCAGTGATAAATTGCAGCAAACACAAAAAAGGATGCAATAATTTTTTTCCTCTCAATTCAGGAGAGATCAGTGACAGTTGTCCAGTTTATCCAGTCATCACTGCTAGATTGTCCTTACCAGAGTCAACAGAAAGTTTCCATGAGCCTAGCCAAGAACTGAAGTTTTCTGTGGAGCAAAGAAATACCAGAAACAGAGAAAACTCTCCCTCTTCCCAATCAGCTGGTCTTTCTAGCATAAATAAAGAAGGGGAAGAGCCAACCAAAGGCAATAGTGGGTCTGAAGCCTGTACCAGTTCTTTTCTAAGATTGTCTTTTGCTTCAGAAACCCCTTTGGAGAAGGAACCCCACTCTCCAGCTGACCAGCCTGAACAACAGGCAGAATCCACTTTGACATCAGCTGAGACTAGGGGAAGCAAGAAAAAGAAGAAACTCCGGAAGAAGAAAAGTCTACGGGCTGCCCATGTTCCTGAGAATAGTGACACTGAACAGGATGTTTTGACTGTTAAACCTGTAAGGAAAGTAAAAGCTGGAAAGTTAATTAAAGGGGGGAAAGTAACAACCTCCACTTGGGAAGACAGCAGGACTGGTCGGGAGCAGGAGAGTGTCAGAGATGAGCCAGATAGTGACTCGTCTCTGGAAGTCCTAGAAATTCCTAATCCTCAGTTAGAAGTAGTAGCCATTGATTCTTCAGAATCAGGAGAAGAGAAACCAGACAGCCCATCTAAAAAGGATATTTGGAACTCTACAGAGCAAAACCCACTAGAAACGTCTCGTTCTGGGTGTGATGAAGTTAGCTCTACCAGTGAAATTGGCACTCGCTATAAAGATGGCATCCCTGTAAGGTAAGAATATTGTATTGGTCCAGTCAGAACAACTTTCACCAACTTTATTTTTTTAAATAGAATTTGAAATTATGAATCAGAATTTCTTTAAAAACCAAACTTTATGTGAATGCAGTAGAGATTGTGGATATGGAAAAATTAAAGCTCAGCAGTAGAGATTTTCTGCTTTCTCTTTTGACTGTGTTATAAATATTCACTCTGCTTTTATTTCCCTTCATTAAGAAATTTCAGATGGAAAATCTAATCTCTTATATCATTGCTACTTTGCCCATTGTTTAGAAAAATCCTTTGAGTCAGAAATTTTTACTTTTACTACCTGCCCTGTTCACACAGATGCTGAGAACACTTTTGCTATTATTTTGTAGTGTGGCAGAAACTCAGACTGTGATCTCCTCCATAAAAGGATCAAAGAATTCTTCAGGTATTTGCTGTTCAGTTTTATTTAAGTTAACCACAGAATTAAAAGCCTTGTAAATATTAAAGCCAGGATTTAAACCTACTTAAATATATTTATAGAATAGGAGAATGGGGAGGGGTTTATCACCAAGAGGATTGCCTTGATCAACAGTTCTGATATTCTTAAAACCTCAAATCCTGGTCTTTCAGATTCTTATTCTCATCTATCTGATTGATTGACTGGTTGTAACAGAGTCTTGCTCTGTCACCTGGGCTGGAGTGCAGTGGCGCTATCTCTACTCACTGCAACTTCCACCTCCCAGGTTCAAGCAGTTCTCCTGCCTCAGCCTCCCAAATAGCTGGGACCACAGGTGCGCGCCATCACGCCTGGCAAATTTTTTTTTGTATTTTTAGTAGAGACAGGGTTTCGTCATGTTGGCCAGGCTGGTCTCGAACTCCTGGCCTCAAGTGATCCTCCTGCCTTGTCCTCCCAAAGTGCTGGGACTACAGGCGTGAGCCACCATGCCTGGCCTTTCTCATCTGTCTTATCCGGCTCCCTTATCTGTTCAACTAATTAGTATTAAGGTTTCATTGGCTCTAAGGATATTTGCTTTCAGAAGGAACTGCTTAAGGAATACTACATTACTCAAAGAAATAACTTTTTGGAAGTGTGGGAGAGATTGGATACCTTCCAAGTATCACTCAAAGCTCTTTTTCTTTTTTTTTTTTTTTTTGAGACGGAGTCGTTGTCGCCCAGGCTGGAGTCCAGTGGTGTGATCTTGGCTCACTGCAACCTCTGCCTCTGGGTTCAAGTGATTCTCTTGCCTCAGCCTCCCCAAATAACTGGGACTACAGGCTCACGCTACCACACCTGGCTAATGTTTGTATTTTTAGTAGAGATGGGGTTTCACCATGTTGGCTAGGCTGGTCTCCAACTCCTGACCTCAGGTGATCCGTCCATTTTGGCCTCCCAAAGTGCTGGGATTACAGGTGTGAGTCACCACGCCTGGCCCAAAAGCTCATTATATAATTATCTATCTTTTTCCTAAGTGAAAGGCCTTCTCTGCCTTTGCTTATCATGCAGTCTTCATAGTGAAGATGGGTATTGAAAATTGTAGTAGTCTGATAGGGGAACTAAGATTTAAGGGATCTACTTTTGGTTTAATCTAGGGACTACTGTATTGTATAATAGTTCTGATTTTTGAGTATCTTTTCAGACTCTAGCAGACATGTCTCTGAAACCTATTCTTGTTTTCCAGAAATATCTTCAGAGCCAGGAGATGATGATGAACCCACAGAAGGAAGCTTTGAGGGACACCAAGCTGCCGTAAATGCAATTCAGATATTTGGGAACTTGCTATATACCTGTTCAGCAGATAAAACTGTTCGGGTTTATAATCTGGTGGTAAGTTGATAGAACATGTAGAATGTTTTTGGTTGCAGGTTTTGGAAAATCCAGTTTATACTTTTTTAAACAATAAAGGGAATTTGTTGGCTGTCTGAAGGAAGGGGTGGGCCTGAGATTGACTTTAGATGCATTTAATCCAGAAGCTCAGCAAGGTCACTGGGGACTTAATTTCTTTTTGTCTCCCTACTCTGCCTTCTCTGGTATCACCTCTTCCTGAAAGCTAGTTCCCCTCCTGCTTACAGGGTAAATGTCAGGAGCCACTGGAGTCTCTTTTTCCCTCCCACCAGCACAGAAGGGTCCTGTGTTTTACTCCCTGAACGATCACCTTTGCCTGTGGCAAAGGGGGTTGGGATTACACCAGTGGTCTTGGACTGTTCAGGTCCCAATGCTGGAGTTGGTAATGGGGTCACTTGCATAGCAGCTACATAATAGAGGAGGGATGAAGTGAATATGGGGAAGTACTGGAGGAGGTATTTTCCCTGACAAGTGATTGATTACAGAGTTCAAGTTATTAAGGAGAGCAACACTTTTCCACTGCCTCACACTTAGTATTATCTGATGCTTATTACTCTCAAAAGAATGAACTTTTGAGTTTTGAATTTGAATTTGTTAATAAACTAATTATGTTTATGAACAATGAAAGCTTAAGAAATTTGAAGAACATGATGTCTGAATGAATACCATGAAAATATTTAAAATTGCTAGAGTCAGTGAAAATTAAAAAGTTAGATGATGGACCAGGAAAATGTGTTTGCTATATAGGCAACAGGTGTGTAGATTCCTTTAGCTTAATGATATGAGGATTAACACGAATGACTGAAAAAAGGAAGCAGTGCTACCAGGATGTATAAGTGTAAGATCTAGGGGAACAGGATATCAAAATATGTATGTGTATGTATATATGTACATTCTAAATAGATCTCAGTATGTGCACTGAGATAACATTTGGAATGTACCCATAAGAAACACCACCAGTGGCCGGGCACAGTGGCTCACACCTATAATCCCAGCAGTTTGGGAGGCCAAGGTGGGTGGATCATGAGGTCAGGAGATTGAGACCATCCTGGCTAACATGGTGAAACCCCATCTCTACTAAAAATACAAAAAATTAGCCGGGGGTGGTGGCGGGCACCTGTAGTCCCAGCTACTTGGGAGGCTGAGGCAGGAGAATGGTGTGAACCCAGGAGGCAGAGCTTGCAGTGAGCTGAGATCGCGCCACTGCACTCCAGCCTGGGGGACAGAGCGAGACTCTGTCAAAAAAAAAAAAAAAGAAACAACACCAGAACCACTAGACCTGTGATAGCACCTGACGTTTTTGAATACCATGGTGCATTCTCACAAACTGCTTATCAAATGCTCATCTTTTGTGGGAAATTAGCTGCAGTTTGGATTTGCTAGGTCCTTGGTCCATATGTCAGAAAGCTTTGCCCTAAACGTTAATTAAAATTCTGGCTGTCTTACAGTGTTGCCATAAGTATTTTCTGGTATGGCTCAACTAACATATACTTTCAGATACCTCATTGCCTGTGACTGTTTGCTAGGCACTTGGTGAACATACATTTACTGAGCATCTTTTGTGTACCAGGTGCTGTTTTAGACATGAGGATACAGCAGTGAACTGAATGTTTTAGCATCTTTTTGTTGAGGAAATATATTATCTAATCCTCCTATATCTCATAAGTAATAATCTGGTCTGTGCTTAAACTTTAGAGTCGGAAATGTATTGGTGTCTTTGAGGGTCATACCTCCAAAGTTAACTGCCTCCTGGTTACTCAGACCTCCGGGAAGAATGCTGCCCTTTACACCGGGTCCAGTGACCATACCATCCGCTGCTATAATGTTAAGGTAGGTGGGTCCAGAGAAATCCAAAGTGGTTCATATTGAGTCGCCTTTGTATTTACTGTGTGGAGTGGAGACACTGTGGCAGACGCTTCATTCTACCCACCATCTCCTTTTTGCTTCTAAACAATGTTTAGCACATTGTTGTAGCCCTAGGTAGATATGAGACTTACACATAAACCATATTTTCTGTCTCTCTCCACCAGTATTTTTTCACTTCCTACTATTAATAATATACCTTCCTTGGTCTTTGCCATAAATGTTATGCATATCATATGTCAAAACTAATCCTAGATAGAATAAAGAGAAAAATGTAGGCCGGGCTCAGTGGCTCACGCCTCTAATCCCAGCACTTTGGGAGGCAGAGGCGGGTGGATTCACCTGAGGTTGGGAGTTTGAGACCAGCCTGACCAACATGGAGAAACCCTGTCTCTACTAAAAATACAAAATTAGCCAGGCATGGTGGTGCATGCCTGTAATTGCAGCTACTTGGGAGGCTGAGGCAGGAGAATCACTTGAACCCAGGAGGTGGAGGTTGCAGTGAGCCGAGATTGTGCCACTGCACTCCAGCCTTGGCAACAAGAGCGAAGCTCCGTCTCAGGAAAAAAAAAAAAAAAAAAAGAGCAAAATGTATAAACTTTTTAAATCTGCAGAATTAGAAATGGACATCTCCTCTGAGAGTTTTTTAAACCTAAATGCACTGAAAGACATGAGAAAATTACATTTAAAATTATATACAATATGTTTTTAATTTCTTTAAAAGATGGAGGTATGTGAAGCAGAATTTATGACTATCATTAAGTTTATAACATAGGTGGAATATATGTGATAACAGGAACATAAAGAAGGGGGAGGGAATGGAGCTGTGCTAGGACAAGGATCTTATATTTTACTGGGAATAAGTATTAATTTGAACTAGCTTGTTATAATTTTAAAAATATAATCCCTAGAGGCACTGGCTCACAACTTTAGTGTGCATCACAGTGACCTGGACAGCTTGTTAAAACACATATTACTGGTCCCCACTCCCAGAGGTGTTTTTTTTGTTTGTTTGTTTTTTGTTTTTTAAGGTACAGGGTCTCACCATGTTGCTCAGGCTGGTTTTGAACTCCTGAGGTCAGGCAGTCCTCCCACCTTGGCCTCCCAAAGTGCTGAGATTACAGGCGTGAGCCACCACATGCAGCCCTTGCCAGAGTTTCTGATCCAGTAGGCTTGTGATCAAGCTCCCAAATTTACATTTCTAGGCGAGGTACTATGGTTCATGTCTGTAATCCCAGCACTTTGGGAGGCCAGAGCAGGAGGATTGCTTGAGGCCAGGAGCTCAAGACCAACCTGGGCAACATAGCAAGACCCTGTCTCTATAAAAAATAAAAATCAGCTGGGTGTGGTGATGCACACCTATAGTCCTAGCTGTTTGGGAGGCTGAGGTGGGAGGATCACTTGAGCCCAGGAATTCAAGGTTATAGTGAGCTGTGCTTGTGTCACTTCACTACAGCCTGGGTGACAGAACAAGAACCTGCCTCAAAAAAGCATAAAAATTAACCAAAACAAACAAAAAGAATTTACATTTCTAATAAGTTATTAGGTGATACTGATGCAGATGGTTTGGGGACCGCACTTTGAGAAATACTGCCCTAGAGTAATTACTAAAAGAATAATGCAAAGAGGATCATGAGGTCAGGAGTGTGAGACCAGCCTGGCCAACCTGGTGAAACCCTGTCTCTACTAAAAATATGAAAATTAGTCGGGTGTGGTGACGCACACCTGTAATCCCAGCTACTCGGGAGGCTGAGGCTGGAGAATCACTTGAACCCAGGAGGCAGAGATTTCAGTGAGCCAAGATCATGCCACTGCACTCCAGCCTGGGCGACAGAGCAAGACTCTGTCCAAAAAAAAAAGAAAAGAAAAAAAAAAGAACAATGCAAAGAAATTGAGCTTAGAAAGTCAATTGAGGAATTAAAATGGTGAGCTAAAAATATACTTAAGGCTGGGCGCGGTGGCTCACGCCTGTAATCCCAGCACTTTGGGAGGCCGAGGTGGGCGGATCACGAGGTCAGGAGATCGGGACCACCCTGGCTAACACGGTGAAACCCCGTCTCTACTAAAAATACGAAAAATTAGCCAGGCGTGGTGGCAGGCGCCTGTAGTCCCAGCTACTCGGGAGGCTGAGGCAGGAGAATGGTGTGAAGCCGGGAGGCGGAGCTTGCAGTGAGCCGAGATTGCGCCACTGCACTCCAGCCTGGGCGACAGAGCAAGACTCCGTCTCAAAAAAATAAATAAATAAATAAAAATATACTTAATACAAGAGAAGGTAGAAGGAGAAATAGAGGAATAAAAATGAGACAAATAGAAAGCAAATAGCAAATTGGAGACCTAAATTTACCCATATTTAATAATTATATGAAATGTGAGTGAACTGACACTAAAATCAAAAGACAGAAATTGGCTGGATACAAAAGTAACATCAAAATCTTTGTTGTCTACAAGAGACACACTTTTATTTTTGAGACAAGGTCTTGGCCTGTCACCCTGGCTAGGGTGCAGTGGCGTGATCATAACTCATTGCAGCCTCGAACTCCTGGGCTCAAGTGATCCTTCCGCCTCAGCCTCCCGAGTAAATTGGGATTACAGGCACATGTCACTATGGTTTGCCAATTAAATTTTTTTTTTTTTTTTTTTTTTAGAAATACGGTCTTGCTATGTTGCCTAGGCTATTCTAAAGCTCCTGGGCACAAGCAGTCCTCCTGCTTTGGTCTCCCACAGTGCTGGGATTACAGGCATGCACCACCATGCCCAGGCAAAGAGACATACTTTAAATGTAAAGACAAAATAGGTTGAAAGTAAAAGAATAAGAATGGAAATAGATATACTATGCAAATAGTAACAGAGCTGGAGTGGTTATGTTAATATTGAGCAAGCAGACTTTAAGACACGTGACTGGGCACTGCGGCTCATGCCTGTATCCCACTTTGGGAGGCTGAGGTGGGAGGATCACTTGAGACTGTAAGTTCCAGACCAGCCTCGGTAACATAATGAGATCCCGTCTCCACAAAAAATAAAAAAATGAGGCAAGCGTGGTTATATGTACCTGTAGTCCTAGCTACTTGGGAGGCTGAGGTGGGAGGATCATTTGAGCTGAGGAATTTGAGGTTATAGTGAGCTATGACAATGCCACTGCACTCCAGCCTGGGTGACAGAGTGAGACGCTGTCCCTTTAAAAAATGAAAAAGACAAGGAATACTACTGGAGAAAGGAGGATATCCCATAATGATGAGTCAGCACACCCGAAAGATATAACAATTATAAGTACAGGTACCTAATAACAGAGCTCTAAAATACGTGAAACAATAACTGATAGAACTGAAAGGAGTAGACAAATTCACAGTTATAGTTGGGGACATTAACAACCCTTTCTCAATAATTGATAGACTACTAAATAAAAAACCATGAAGGATATACAAGAACTGTACAACACTGGCCGGGTGTGGTGGCTCATGCCTGTAATCCCAGCACTTTGGGAGGCTGAGGCGGGTGGATCACTTGAGGTCAGGAGTTCGAGACCAGCCTAGCCAACATGGCGAAACCACATCTCTACTAAAAATACAAAAAAATTAGGCTGGCTGTGGTTGGCTTAATGCCTGTAATCCCAGCACTTTGGGAGGCCAAGGTGGGCATATCACCTGAGGTCAGGAGTTTGAGACCAGCCTGAAAAACATGGTGAAACCCATCTCTACTAAAAATACAAAAATTAGCTGGGTGTGGTGCGTCTGAAAAAATAAGTAAACTCCGTCTCAAAAAATAAATAAACAAAAATAAAAATACAAAAAAATTAGCTGGGCCTGGTGGTACGTGCCTGTAATCCCAGCTACTCAGGAAGCTGAGGCAGGAGAATCACTTGAACCTGGGAGGTGGAGGTTGCAGTGAGCTGAGATTTGCACCACTGTACTCCAGCCTGGGCAACAGAGAAAAACTTCATTTCAAGAAAAAAAAAAAAAAAAAAGAACCGTATAACATCATTAACGATCAAGATCCAATTAACATTTATAGGACATTCCACTCAAAATTGCAGAATACACATTTTTTTCAAGAATGTGCACATAGAACATTTACCAGGACCACATGCTGGGCTATTAAATAAATTTCAATCAATTTAAAAGCACCAAAATCATACAAAGTATGTTCTCTAACCACAATGACATTTATTAGAAAGCAGTAACAGAAATCTAAGAAATCCCCAAATATAGGGAGATGAAAATAAGATACTTCTAAATTATTGTGGTTCAAAGAAGGAATCACGAGGGAAATTAGAAAATACCTAACTAAATGAAAATGCAACGTATCATTTGTAGGATGCAGCTAAAGCACTGCTAAAAGGGAAATTCGTGGTTTTAATTGCTTCTATTAGAAAAGAAGAAAGCTTTAAAATCCAAGAAACTAGAAAAAGAGGCTGGGCACAGTGGCTCATGCCTGTAATTCTAGTGCTTTGGGATGTTGAGGTGGGAGGATCATTTGAGGCCAGGAGTTCAAGCCTAGCTAGGCGACTTGTACAAACCTGTAAAAAATTATACAAACTTGTAAAAAAAAATTGTAAGCATATTTTGGTAATAAATAGTCTTACATAAAACCAGGGGGAAAAGCCGTAACTTAAGATAGGACAAACAGGTTTGGTATATGTTGTAAGGGGCTTACACCTTTAAATTCCTATAGCCAGGTGCAGTGGTTCATGCCTATAATCTTAACACTTTAGGAGGCCAAGTTGGGAGGATCGCTTGAGCCCAGGAGTTCAAGAACAGCCTAGGCAACATGGCGAGACCTCATCTCTCCAAAAAAATTTAAAAATTAACTAGGCATGCGCGATGGCCCACGCCTGTAGTTCCAGCTACTCGGGAGGCTGAGGTGGGAGGATTCCTTGAGCCTCGGAGGTCAAGGCTGCAGTGAGCAGTAATCACGTCACTGCACTCTAGCCAGGAGGCAGAGCGAGACCTTGTCTTTCAAAAAACAAATACATAAGTAAATCCCTAAACATACATTGACAAAAAACAAGCAAGTCTCTTAAAAAGAAATAACAAATAACTGAAAAAAATACAATCTTGCAAATAAATGCAAATTAAAACCAAAGTACAAGGAATACCATTTTTACTCACAATATTAGCAAAAACTCTTTTAAAAGGCTTTTCAGTATTAAGGGTTCTAACGTGTAGTCTTTGGCATAGCAGGACCGTACACTAGTGAAAAAGATTTTGTAACCATTTTTTAACATTGAGACATAACTTCATACAGTAAAGCACACAGATTTTAAGTATACAGCTTGATGAATTTTTCTGCAGATATTTGTTTGTATAACTACCACAAAGATCAAAACGTAGACCATTTCATAGCCCTGAAGCTTCCCTCAAATGCCTCCCTGGGCATAACCTTCTTCTAAAGCTAATCACTATTTTGACTCCTGTCATAGATTACTTTTCTCTGTGCTTAGCTGTCATATCAGTATAACTGTACCACATGTGTTCTTTTATGTCTAGCTTTAGCTCACCATAATGTTTGAAAATTCATCTGTATTGGTACATGTGCCAATAGTTTGTTCCTTTTTTATTGCTATGTAATGTTCAATTTCCCCTATAAAGTTACAAAAGATCTCATAGGATTAATGGGAAGCAACATGAATCTTAATATTTAGGCATATTTACTGTCTTTTGCTGTATCTTACAATTTCATATATGGCACTTATGTTTGTGATTTTTTCAGGGGAGAAATTGAATAATTTAAGTGACTGACTCTTTTAGGTATGAAAGAAGGTTGGGAGACGAGACCAATGGATTTGACAAGCCACAGCTTTTCTCATCCTACCCAATTGTAACCATCTTGATTTTAATATCTACAGCCAAGCCCACTTAAAAAGCTACACCTGGGTCTTCAGTATCATTCAACAACAAATTTTTTTTTTTTTAATTGAGACGGGGTCTCGCTGTGTCGCCCAGGCTGGAGTGTGGTGACCTGATCTCTGCTCACTGCAACCTCCGCCTCCGTGGTTCAAGCAGTTCTCCTGCCTCAGCCTCCCAAGTAGCTGGGACTACAAGCACGCACCACCATGCCCAGCTAATTTTTGTAGTTTTAGTAGAAACAGGGTTTCACCGTGTTAGCCAGGATAGTCTCAATCTCCTGACCTCGTGATTCACCCGCCTCGGCTTCCCAACGTGTAGGATTACAGGCATGAGCCACTGTGTCCGGCCTCAACAACAAATTTTGAATTTACTATGTCCTGTCCCAATTCTTGGTTCTAGATAAAGAGATTTGCTAGTACAATCTAGTTGGAGGAAATTGGTAGAAATCGTTTTCTGGCCGGGCACAGTGGCTCATGCATGTAAGGGAGGCCGAGGCGGGCAGATCACGAGGTCAGGAGATCGAGACCATCCTGGCTAATACGATGAAACCCCGTCTCTACTAAAAAAATACAAAAAATTAGCTGGGCGTGGTGGCGGGCGCCTGTGGTCCCAGCTACTCGGGAGGCTGAGGCAGGAGAATGGTGTGAACCGGGGAGGTGGAGCTTGCAGTGAGCCGAGATCGCACCACTGCACTCCAGCCTGGGCGACAGAGCAGGACTCCGTCTCAAAAAGAAATCGTTTTTTGAAGGTCAGATCAAACAGTGGGTATTAAATCTGCATGTGCATCTGAATTACTAGGGAAATTTTTTAAAACACAGATTCTAGAGCCCACTGAATTAAGAGTCTCAGGGATGGGGTTGGAGCTTGGGTTCTATGTATTTTAAAAGCCTCTTGAGTAATTTAGCCCAGCTAACCTGGCACCAGTTTGAAGGAGACATTTGGGAGCTATTGAAATAGAGAATCATGTGCGGAAAACCACATATTTGATTAGTGCATTTATCAAATATATAACTATAATCCTGATTTTCCTCTTTAGATGTCAAAATAGAGCTTTGTCTTTTATATTTGGCCTCTTAATTTAAGAGGCTAAGACCTAACTCATAGTACCCTTTGAAGAATTTCTACATTCTAAGTTAGAAACATGGGTAACATTACTAGAATTTATGTTTATTTTTCATATTACCTACAGCTTGGAAGTCTTAGGCCTCATATTTCAAAGGAGAAACAGATCTAAGATAGTCCCCTACAAAATAGAGGATGTCACACTTTCTTCCGCATAAGAGTCATTTTAAAGTCTGCTTTCTGGAGGAATTGTTTTTGACATCTCATTTGCCAGTACCCTCTGCTGATTAAAGGTTGTGTGCTTTTATCAGAGCCGAGAGTGTGTGGAGCAGTTACAGCTGGAAGACCGGGTCCTCTGCCTCCACAGTAGATGGCGAATCCTCTATGCGGGACTGGCAAATGGCACTGTGGTCACCTTCAACATAAAGGTTAGTGGTTGGAGGAGAAAAGGCTTACTTCCCATGCACTTGAAAACAGTGTGAGCATGTGTGGGAAGAAGTAGCAGGCAGGGATTTTCCTATTTTCTTCTGTGAGGAAGCAGCAGAATTAGCCACTACTCAAACACAGTTATCTTCTGATGTAAGTGAAACAAGATCCTCCATTCTCTCTGCTTCTACTCAAATGTTCCAGGACCAAAATGTAACTCCACTAAATTAAACCAAGTCTGAAGATTTGGGGCCAAATAATGAGTCATGTATTAAACTAGTCTGTCTCAATTTAAGAATGACATCATAAAAAATGAACTTAAGTGCTCACTTTGACAGCACATACACTAAAATTGGAATGATACAGAGAAGATTAGCATGGTCCCTGCACAAGGATGACACGCAAATTCATGAAGCATTACATATTTTAAAAAAAATGAAGAAAAATGAACTTAAATTCCGTTGAGTATGACATTGGTGTGGTTTGGCACTGGTTTAGGGTTTCATGAGGGCGGCCCATCTGTGAGGTGAACTAAGAGGTTTGCTGTAATGCCCATATGGCTTCATTCTTTCCTAAACCAGAGATAAATTCATTTGTTGACCTAGCCTTTATTGAGCATCTGTTATGTGCTAGGCCCCAGGATAAGGTTTAGTTTTTGATGGCCCTGTGTGCTTTGTTAAGGTAGTTGGACTTCATCTTACAGGCTGTAAAGTATGAGAGACATGATCCCATTATATTTTAGAAAAAGTCACTGGAGTTGATAAGATTGGGAAAGATTGGTATTAGCAAAGGCAGGGAGACCATTTAGGAGGTTTTGTAGTGGAAGCTGACATGAAAAAGGTTAAACAGGATGAAGAGAAGGGAATGGAGGAAATATATAATCCAAGAGGTAGAATCGATAGGTTTGATTGCTAATTAGTTGTGGCACCATATCCTCTGGTCATCTTGTAACCATGTGTTAGAATGGTACTATTACAGTGTCATTCATAGGCTGCATGCTAGCTGGAACTAACAGAAGGTGTGCATTGAAATATGTCATGGTTTCTGCCTACAGGAAACTTAAGATCAAGTGAGAAGAATTTAGCACGTATATAATCAAGTGCCAAGTGATTTGGTCTGTTCGATATGATACATCACAGAAGGGCAATTAGTGAAGATTTTTGCATTTTAGATGCAGACAAGTTCTAAGTCTGATTAAATTGGATTAGGGCAATAGAAATGGAGAGGAAAGTAAATTTAAAATATTTTAAAGGCTAAAACGTGATAATTGCCTAATTACCTTCTCTTTCGTGAGATTATCAGAAGTAGACAGAAGTGGATGGGTATGGTGGCTCATGCCTATAATCCCAGCACTTTGGGAGACTGAGGTAGGAGGATTGCTTGAGCCCAGAAGTTCGAGACCAGCCTGGGCAACAAAGCAAGACCTCTGTTTCTCAAAAAAAAAAAAAAAAAAAAAGCTAAGTATGGTAGCACACGCCTGGAGTCCCAGCTACTCAGGAAGCTGAGGCAGGTGGATTGCTTGGGGCCAGGACTTCAAGGCTGCAGTGAGCTATAATCACACCATTGTACTCAAGACTGGCTGACAGAGTGAGACCCTGTCTCTCTCTCTTTTTTTTTTTTTTAAGTAGTAGACAGAAGTAAGGAGCAAGACAATCTTGAGGCAAAATGATGAGATGATGACAAGAAATTCAAATGGAAAAGTTCTTTAAAGGATTGAAAAGCCCTGGAGAAGATGGTCCTAGAGACAGACATTTGAGAATCTCTGCATAGATGTGAATTTTGAAGATGAGGGCTGGGCTTTTTCCTAGGTTGCCCATACTCTTAGAATGTAGTGCTTCTGGAGTCACAACAGAGAGCCAGGACTGTTTACCAGGGCCGGTCCACCTTTGGGTCCTGACCTCCTTTCAGTCTGTCTCCCTAGCACTTCAACACTGTTGAAATCATTGCTCAGCAATGTAGGCTCCCAGCTGTCGCTTTCTGCTTAGTTTTAGGAGCCTTACTCCAGGCATGCACCTAAAAAACTTCTGTGGAAGTGGGAGGCTTAATGAACAGGGTTGGCTGGGGGATGAAGGAAAGAAGTCTAAAATCTGAGATAAAAGAATGTTTTGGGATTCAGGATGTGACCCTACCACTCTGATATAATTAGGCTTCTATAGTCTACTAAATGATGTTGTGAGAGATGACATGGAACCAGGTGCCAGAAGAACATCATAATAAGGTGGAGAATTTAGGCCAGGTGTGGTGGCTCACGCCTGTAATGGGAGGCTGAGGCAGGCAGATCACCTGAGGTTAGGAGTTCAAGACCATCCTGGCCAACATGGTGAAACCCTGTCTTTACAAAAATACAAAAATTAGCCAGGTGTGATGGCGGGCGCCTGTAATCCCAGCTACTCAGGAGGCTGCGGCAGGAGACTCACTTGAACCCAGGAAGCGGAGGTTGGAGTGAGCTGAGATGGCGCCATTGCACTCCAGCCTGGGCGACAGAGCGAGACTCCGTCTCAAAAAAAAAAAGTGGAGAATTTGAGACTTACTGAAATTACCTAGGAAGGTAATTCTAAATAGAGATTTTTGGAAACAGCATGACACATAGATTGCCTAAATTTTGGATGACAGAAATAGTTCCTGGGTCGGTGTCAGGGAATATGCACTAGAGTTTGAAAAAAAAAGGTTCACCCTTCATTATTATTAACTTACAGGTGGTGAAAGAAAGCATAAAAAGAGAACCAGTTTCTAATTAGGATGGAGATGGTGTGGGTTGAAGTTATAAATGAGTTTATAATGTAAGCGTTTGCCCTCCTCAGATCAGGGGATGGGGGAGGTTCAGTAAAAAGGGTTGGAGTGGGAAATAGCGGAGATGGATAAGTTAAGGCTGCAGAGTGGGTATGAAAATTTGAGTACAGGTGACAGAAATGAGTTTGTACCAAGGTAATGATGTTGGTTAGTTGAATTTTCCAGCTAAGTTGGTTTTAGCTGTAATCTTGGCTTATTTTCCAGAACAACAAACGACTTGAGATCTTTGAATGCCATGGCCCTCGGGCAGTCAGCTGTCTTGCTACAGCTCAGGAAGGTGCCCGAAAACTGCTGGTCGTGGGGTCTTATGACTGCACAATTAGTGTACGCGATGCCCGGAATGGACTGCTCCTCAGAACTCTGGAGGGCCATAGCAAAACCATTCTTTGCATGAAGGCAAGTACAGTGCAAGAGAATCGGAGTTGTCTGGCACAAATAGAAGGGTTTTGAGGCCAGGCGAGGTGGCTCACGTCTGTAGTCCCAGCACTTTGGGAGGGTGAGGCAGGGGGATCGCTTGAGCTCAGAAGTTCGAGACCAGCCAGGGCAACATGGCAAAACTCGATCTCTACAAAAAAATACAAAAATTAGCGGGATGTTGTGGTGTGCACCTGTACTACTTATGAGGCTGAGGTGGGAGAATCACTTGAGCACCAAAGATCGAGGCTGCAGTGAGCCATGATTGTGCCACTGTACTCTAGCATGGGCAACAGAGTGAGACCTTGACTCAAGCAAAGCAAAACAAAACAAAGAAGGGTTTTAAATGGCATTTCCCGTGTTGTCTCATGCATCATTTAGAAGCACCACCTTGGAAAGAGCAAGGAGATTGCAAACCTTTTCTTTACACCAACATCACCAAGTGATGCACTTTCATTTGAGAAACAATGAGTGTATTTTGTTATACTGTGGGTATACTCGAATGCCCTTCTAGGCTGCTTCATAATCATTCTGGAAAGGTAACAAACGTAATAATACATTGTCAGTTCATTAGCATGCTTGGTAGGGGGGTGTAAGTTTCAGCTGAGAAAATTCATCTGAGAAACTTTTATACCTAGTTCATCGTGCTCATCTCAAAATAGGATGGAAATTAGAATTTGCCAATGTGTATTACAAGTTATAGAGAAAATTAAGAACCGTATACAGAATCTGACTTGTTTAATTTTTTCTTTAAGGTGGTGAATGATCTCGTGTTCAGTGGCTCCAGTGATCAGTCAGTCCATGCTCACAACATTCACGTAAGCTGTGTTGGTGTTGTGTAAAGAAACTGTGAATAAAATAATGGTTAAAGCTTGATGGTTTTCTTAAACCTCTTGCAATTTAAATTAAGCCCTTTATCCACCGAAGGGATTCGTAATCATCCCTGTGCATATGCTCTTGGATAATATTGTGTAATTTAGAAATTCTACCTCATCAAAGTTTTTAATGGTGGACAGACAGGCTTTATGTAAGGTTTAGTTTGAATGCCTCATTTAAACTTGAAATAAACTGAGCAGCTGAGGCTTCCAGAAAGTGGATATGATATGTAGTTAAAATAGAACTAGTAAAAACAGCTGAGAGCTGGGCCCAATGGCTGTCACCTGTAATGCCAGCTACTCAGAAGGCTGAGGTGGGAAGATCACTTGAGGCCAGGAGTTTGAGACCAGCCTAGGCAAAATAGTGGCCCCATCTCTTAAAAAAAATTTTTTTTTAATTAGCTGGGCATGGCAGTGCGTCCTGTAATTCCAGCTACTCAGGAGGCTGAGGTGGGAGGATTATTTGGCCCCAGGAGTTCAAGGCTGCAGTGAGCTGTGATTGCACCACTGCACTCCACCCTGGGTGACCAAGTGAGACCCCATTTCTTTCTTTCTTTCTTTTTTTTTTTTGAGATAGGGGTCTCACTTTGTCCCCCAGGCTGGAGTGCAGTAGTGCGATCTTGACTCACTGCAGCCTCAACCTCCTAGGCTCAAGGGATCCTCCCACCTCAGCCCCCCAAGTAGCTGGGACTAATGGCGTGAGCCTCCATGCCTGGCTAATTTTTTTATATTTTTTGTAGAGATGGAGTCTTGCCATGTTGCCCAGGCTGGTCTTGAACTCCTGAGCTCAAGTAATCTGCCCAGCTCGGCCTCCCAAAGTTTTGGAATTATAGGTGTGAGCCACTGTGCCCGGCCTGTGAGACCCCATCTCTTAAAAAAATGAACAACAGAAACAGCTGAGAGACTGTTCTCAGGTCATAGAGGCAGCTTTTTGAAGCTCAGTTCCTGGTTCATAACCTCAGAATAATTCCCACCTGATAGACTTGTGGTCTAGATCCAGTGAAATGAAAAAAGTGAAAGTACTTGGAAAGCTATAAATACAGATAGAGTTTTGGCCGCTTTCTTTCCATGACTAATATTAGAGTCTTTCCATCAGGATACAATCCATATATTTTGTATATGTAATAAATGATTGTGGGATACTTCTGCTATTAAAGTTAATACAGTTGTATTAACTGTATTTGTACAGTTAATACAATTAATTGTATTAATTATATGTGTACAGTATCCTCAGAATTATGCCTCTTAGAATTATAGAATTATAACCAGGAAGGAGTCTCGAAAGTCAGTCTGGTGACTCTTACTTCTCTTCTGACATAGACTGGTGAGCTCGTGCGGATCTATAAAGGTCACAATCATGCAGTGACTGTGGTGAATATCCTAGGAAAAGTGATGGTGACTGCTTGCCTGGATAAATTTGTTCGTGTCTATGAATTACAGGTAGAATTTAGATTCAGTATTTTGCTTGAATGATTTGGGGAGATTGTCTATTTGGGTTTAGTGTTGATTTTTGATACAGTAAGGTGGGATGGAACCCAGGAATCTGTATTTTCACAAGCATTCTAGATAATTATGAAACAGCTGGCCTGTGGACTGCAGCTTTCAGAAACCACTCTAAGATACTTGATCTGGGTCATGGGTGTCAAAACTTAATTTCTGGAGAGCAACTCCAGTCTCTTAAAACCTGTCTAGTTCTCCTTGTGTGCAGTTTCAAGTTTGAAACTCTGATTCTAACAAAATTGATTTTATTACTTCTAATTACCAGCTCCCTCCTTGAGTAGTAGAATGTAAAAGAAAAATTGCCATTAGATTATATTTCTGTTAGAATGCTACTGGTGCTTCCACTTGGCGCCTCAGGTGTGGTTTTAAACCTGCCAAAGGCCTTTAGGGACTGTACTTATTAAACGCAAGGTATAAATAACTTCAATTCTCTTTTTTTTTTTCTGCCTAAGTCTCATGATCGATTACAAGTTTATGGAGGACACAAAGACATGATTATGTGTATGACCATCCATAAAAGCATGGTGAGTGTTATTTGTCATGTAAGATATTTGCTTTTGAATGTGTTTGCTAAAAAATTCTTGTCACTTCCAAAAGTGACATCTGCTTCTGATATGCCTCATTGTTAAGTACCTTCCCATCTCTTGGCATAATAGGGAAGTAACCAGGGGACAGTGTTGAATATTCCATTGTCTATTAATAGCCAAAATTATTACAATAAAAATGGTAGTATCAACTACAGTTTAATAGAAGGTAAATTTAAGATGCTTCAAAAAATTGAGTGGTGCCTTTTCCAGAGACATGATCTGAATGGAACACTGGAATGGAGTCAGGAGATTTGGCCAGTGTGGCATGGTTACAGCAGACCTAAAAGTAGAAACCAACTCACGTAACCCTGCTAAGCCTTGTTTTTTTTATTTTTAAGTTATGGAGTTGAACCAGAATGGATGTTTTTCAGACTCTGAGTAGTAGAATCCTTTCTTTTCCAGGGAAATACAGGTGCCTAACATAGAGCACCCGATAGAAACCAGGGCTACCCCAGTTAAAGTATAAAGGACAAGTGGGTGCCTCTGAGCCCTGCCACTCCTCTCTGCCCTGGTCCCAAGTGGCTTTCTAAGGAGCACAGCTGCAAAATACCTAGACTAGAAGATCTGGAAAATACTTTCCCATTCTCCTGCTCTGGAGCTGGTTTTGATTTAGGTGTTTGTTTTCTTGTAGCTGCTGCAAGGAGCTTGTGACTCTTGTTTTGAGGGTGTTTTGTAGTTTGTATGTATTTTGGTCTGATATTATAAACCTCTCTTTCTCCAGATTTACACTGGCTGTTATGATGGCAGTATTCAGGCCGTGAGGCTTAATCTGATGCAGAATTACCGCTGTTGGGTAAGGAGTGAAACTCTTCCTGTCACTGGACTTCTATAGGTTGCTTCACCCTAGGCTAATTGATAGATCTTCATTATCATCAGTGTAGCATTTTTATATTTTAGCATCTACTTTATGCCTTACACTGTAGATCACAGGTTGTCTCCTCGGTGGTGGTTTTGTTTTATTATAAAATCAATACATGCTTAGAAAACAACAGTACAGAAATATATGAAATAAAAAGCGGAAGTGCTTATTTTGGTAATGGCACTGCCCCCTCTACTCCCGCTCATCAGAGATTACTAGTGTTAATGGTTTGGTTTGTGTCCTCATTGGTTTTTGAGGAATAGGCAAATAAAAAAAATTTAAGGTCTTGTAAGTTCTAAACCTTAGTTCATCAGGCTGAATTGTGTGGTTTTTATTTTGGGGTTAGGACTGATGATTAACCCTTAAAATTTTCACACTATTTCTTATAAGCCTTAATTTTTTTTTCGTCAGTTCTAACAATGGTAGCTTTTCCCTAAAACCCTAAGATCCTTTTCAGCATTGATGGCGTGAACTTGACACTCTCCATTTTAAAATTCGACTTTACGCTTGCCCACAGCTTAGTGACTTTTTAGCTCTTTACATATTACTATCTTTGCTTTTTAATTTTCTCAGTGAAGGCAAGCAGAATCTAGTGCAGTTCCTCTTTATCCAAGGGGGATATGGTCTATGTTTTTTTGATGTAATAATCAAGAGGGCTAAGTGACTAACAGGCGGTAGCGAATATAATGTAGATATGTTGGACAGAGGGACAGTTCACATCTGGGCAAGATGGAGTGGGATGGCAGGAGATTTCATCACACTGCTCAGAATAATGTGCAATTTAAAACTCAAGAATTGTTTATTTTGGGAATTTTCCAATTAATATTTTTGAAGATCAGTTAACCACAGGTAACTAAAACCTCAGAAAGTGAAACCATGGATAAGGAGGCACTACTGAACGACAGGATCCAGAGTACACAAATAGAGTTAATCTATAGAGAGAAATGGGGAAGATACCTCTGGCTTTATAGAGAGAAGGATGGAGTAGTACTGACAGAGGAAAAACTTAACTTTGCATTACTTTTTTTGTTTTGTTTTGTTTTTTGAGACAGAATCTCACTCTGTTGCCCAGGCTGGAGTGCAGTGGTGCAATCTCGGCTCACTGCAACCTCCGACTCCCTGGTTCAAGCGATTCTCCTGCCTCAGCCTCCCTAGTAGCTGGGAACACAGGCGCCCGCCACCACACCTGGCTAATTTTTGTATTTTTAGTAGAGACAGGGTTTCACCATGTTGGCCAGGCTGGTCTTGAACTCCTGACCTTGTGAACCACCTGCCTCGGCCTCCCAAAGTGCTGGGATGACAGGCGTGAGCCACAGTGCCCGGCCTGCATTACTTTTAAGAAATAAACATGTGTTCGAATTAGAATCACAAGACTTTACCAACAAGCCTGTAGGGAAAAGCCAAGACAGAGAGTCTTTGTGCTTCCTTGTTTTTCTTTTCTTTTTTTTTTTGAGACAGGGTCTTGTTATGTTACTCAGGCGGGAGTGCAGCGGTGTGGTCACAACAGTCACTGCAGCTTCAGCCTCCCAGGCTCCAGCAATCACCCTACCTCGGCCTCCCTGGTAGCTGGGACTGTAGGCATGTGCCACTATGCCCAGCTAATTTTTGTATTATTTTTATTATTTATTTTTTTTCTGAGACAGAGTCTCGCTCTGTCACCCAGGCTGGAGTGCGATCTTGGCTCACTGCAGCCTCCACTTCCCAAGTTCCAGCGATTCTCCTGCCTCAGCCTCCTGGATAGCTGAGATTACAGGCACATGCCACACGCCTGGCTGATTTTTGTATTTTCAGTAGAGTCAGGTTTCACTATGTTGGCCAGGCTGGTCTTGAACTCCTGACCTCAGGTGATCCGCCTGCCTCAGCATCCCAAAGTGCTAGGATTACAGGTGTGAGCCACCACGCCCGGCCTGTATTTTTTTTTTTTTTTTTTTGGTAGAGAAAGGGTCTCACTATGTTGCCCAGGCTGGTCTCGAGCTCCTGGGCTGAAGTGAACCACCCACCTCGGCCTCCCAAAGTGCTGGGATTACAGGGTGTAATCCCACTGAGCCACCACTTAGGAAGCATAAGACACTAGCTTATGCTTTCTAATACATGAAATTAAGCCACGTTTATAAGTAAAATTATAGCTTAAAAAAATAAGTAGGTATTCATAAGATTGAGATTCAAGTGACAAAGGTTGTGAGTAAAGTCAGGCTTCCATGGCAAACACAGTATTCTACAATAAATATTTCCACAAATGTAGTTTTCTTTATCAGACATTTTTATTTTCACATTTACATTCAACAGTTCTTAGAATTGTTAAAAATAGCCCTTTCGGGCGGGGTGCGGTGGCTCACGCCTGTAATCCCAGCACTTTGGGAGGCCAAGATGGGCGGATCACTTGAGGTTGGGAGTTTGAGACCAGCCTGACCAACATGGTGAAACCCTGTCTTTACTAAAAAAAAAAAAAAAAAAAAAAAAAATTAACTGGCCGTGGTGGTGCACGCCTGTAATCCCAACTATTTGGGAGGCCGAGGCAGCAGAACTGCTTGAACCCAGGGGGCAGGGGGCAGAGGTTGCAGTGAGCCGAGATCGTGCCACTGCACTCCAGCCTGGGCAACAGGAGTGAAACTCCATCTCAAAAAAAAAAAAAAAAAAGCCCTTTCGATATTATAGGAAAGGTATTTGCCTTTTGTATTGAATAAACTAAGATAGAAACTCAATTTTATGATGGCAACATCAAAAAATACAGTTTAAACAGAATTTCATGGTAATTTACCCATAAACATTTGCTGGCCTTTTCCTGATTTAAGAAGTTGTAATTGCTACGTTAGTGCTGTGCCCTCTCAAAATATCAAAAGATTTTTCCAGTATTTTCAAGGTTCCTCATTATACTGATATTTTGGTTGCCTTGGCTTTGTTGTCTTTTCTAGCCAAGAATAAATTTGAAATAAGGGGCTGGCTTTTTGCTTCCATAGTGCTTATGGGATCCAGCTGGGGGCTGTTCTGATTCACGTTCACTGCACCCTTTTTCACCGAGTCTCCTCATTTTCTTTCTCTCCAGTGGCATGGTTGCTCTCTGATATTTGGCGTTGTAGATCATTTAAAACAACACTTGCTGACCGACCACACTAATCCCAACTTCCAGACTCTGAAATGTCGCTGGAAGAACTGCGATGCTTTTTTCACTGCTAGGAAAGGATCCAAACAGGTACATTAGTGGGACTTGAGGTTTGCCTGGGATTCAGTAGACTGCTCAGAGCAGGGGCTAGCAAACCTTTTTTATTATTGAGAATTGCCATATATAGGGAGGGCCTAGGGTTTTTTATTTTTATGATTCAGAGATTTGGGGGGTAGCTTAATGAAGTTGCAAATGAAGAATTAGGTCATTTTTGAGAAAGGGCCTAAAGAGAATGTTTTCAGATGTTTCAAATCCAGTAACTGAACCTGGAGATTTATTACAGTGCTCTTGTGCTGAGACAACAGCTCACCTTTAAGTACATGGTTTCACGTAAGTTAGCAAAGTGCTGGCTCCTAACTGCCTTTCCTGTCTGGATCCTAGGTGGAATGGACCCACATGGCTTTCCTTGGCTTTGACTTTCTCCTGTCTTACTATCGACTTCTCTCTCATGGGCCCTTTTCCCTTCATTCCTAGGATGCTGCAGGACATATTGAACGACATGCTGAAGATGACAGCAAAATTGATTCATGAAGTTTTTTGCCTCCCACGTTGGGAAGTCATTAGTTGAACTATTTTCACATTGGCCCCCCACACAGGCCACTCTCTTCCCTTTCTTGGTGAAGTAAGGAAGGAGAAAGTGGTTACTAGCCAGGCATACCCCTAGCATAAGTCTGGGCAGCTCTATGGGATGATAAATTACACTTTTAAGTTCTTGCTGGAGGTTTTAAATAGATTTAGACAAATGTTAAGGAACCATACTTCTCTGGGACAGCATGGCATATAGTGATATATGCTATTTGCGTTCTCCAGATGTTTATTGAAGATACAGATCCTAATTGGTTACCCAGTTTGACCCTAATCATATGTATATTTTATTGATTTCAGTTTGCAATTTTTAATTTATGTTCTTATGATGGTTTAAACCTATAGTCAGGCTTTTAAGTACAAGTTTGTTTAAGTGCCAGACTTTGAGGATCAGTTTTAATTTCTCCATTTGTAATAGCTGGGTATTTAAACTGGAAGCAAATAGTTTTCTTTCTTAACAATTATGTGCAGTGTGTGTCACTGTTTTCTTGCTTTATAGATAGAGCTGGCTTTAAGTGCTAAAGGACACAGTAGATTTTTGACAAACAGTGGCTGCTCTGCTGACTATCTTTTAGGAATTCAGGAAGCAAATCACATAGTGACAAGTCCTTACAGACACCACTTCTAGTAAATCTCTGTAAATGTGGATAGAAAGCTCAGTGTGAGGCAGTGCGTAGACCTAACGTCTACCTTTACATCTGCTGTTGAACCTGGGCACTACCTGTTACAGATCCTGTCAGGCTGTTGAACTGGAGGTGTACCTTTATCTTCCTTTCTAGTGTCTGACCCTGCAAGCCTAATGTTGGTTTGAACCCTTTTGGTTTGTTCAGTTGCCAGCCTCCATCTCTCCCACTGTATGGCCGTGCCTAGACCGATGGCAGCCATCGAATATTCCTCTGGGCTCACGGGGTGTTTTCCACCCCCCTGCAGCAACTAAGATGGTGGGGGAGAGGGGGTTAGAATAAAGCATCTGAATACAGTTTTCAGGACCTCAAGCAGACTTCCTAGAGACTTGTTTCTGAGACAGTTCTTTGCCTTCACTTCCCTGCTAGCTGGGAAAGAAGAGTGGAGCAGAGACTCTGCCTGGCCACTGAGAACAGCCAAATTCACAAACCCTCAGTGGGGCTTTGTTTTTGGATTTTCTCCGGACTCATCAGTAAACCTGTAGAAGTGTCGCTTTCCAGCCTTTTGTTTCTGGATCCTCAAAACTCAGAACGTGGCCGGGCGTGGTGGCTCACGCCTGTAATCCCAGCACTTTGGGAGGCTGAGGCAGGCAGATCACCTGAGGCTAGGAGTTGCAGACCAGCCTGGCCAACATGGCAAAACCCCGTCTCTACTAAAAATACAAAAAGCCGGGCGTGGTGGGCGCCTGTAATCCCAGCTGCTCAGGAGGCTGAGGCAGGAGAATCGCTTGAACCCGGGAGGCAGAGATTGCAGTAAGCTGAGATCGTGCCACTGCACTCCAGCCTGGTGACAGAGTGAGACTCCGTCTCAAAAAAAAAAAAAAAAACTCAGCTTCTTCAGAGAGATAAAATTGGGGGAGGAGCCCAGGGCCACATACCAAGCTTTGGGACATGGTGCCTCATGCTCTCTGGGATTGCAGACCATCCAGGTCTGTCTTCGCCCCTGTTAGTGCACATATATCCACTCACATGTCTTCCCTCAGGCTATCGGGCAGGGGGACTTCACCAGGGGGTTTATGGATAGGCTTCAAGAGGGTCTGTGAGCCCCCAGAAATTGTGTGTGAGACTGAGTATGTGTTCTTTTTTCCAGGAAAGGCTCCAGTGGTTCTTACTTGATCCAAAAAATGTCAAGAATTAATCTAGGAGGCCGGGCCTGGTGGCTCACACCTGTAATCCCAGCTCTTTGGGAGGCCGAGGCGGGTGGATCACTCAAGGTCAGGCATTTGAGACCAGCCTGGCCAACATAGTGAAACCCCGTCTCTATTAAAAATACAAAAATTAGCTGGGTGTGGTGGTATGTGCCTGTAGTCTCAGCTACTCAGGAGGCTGAGACAGGAGAATCACTTGAACCCTGGAGGTAGAAGTTGCAGTGAGCCAAGATCATACTACTGCACTCCAGCCTGGGCGACAAGAGTGAAACTCCACCTCAAAAAAAAAAAAAAAAGAGTTAATCTAGGAGATAATGAATGGCCTAGTACTAGATAATATATGGCCCCACAAGCTCTTGACTTCTGTCCTTGGGGAAAGCCATTTTGTTAACCACACTAGTGAGATTTACATGATGCTTAATGGAGAACAGAGAAGATCTTGTTGCAAAAGGTGTATTAAATATTTGTGCTGTTTCTGTATGAGATTGAGAAGCTTTTCCCACCTCTCACCCCTATTTCCTATAAGGATATCCAGAGAAGCCAAACTGTTCTGTGGGTTTGGGAATGGTCATTTCCCGGGAAAATGCATCTGGATCGATGACTAAACCTGGCCCTTTTCTCTGGGCTGTAGTGAAGCCGCATTTTCACGCTGGCTGGCAGTGTGCTGAGAGCCTCGAATGCTCTGCGGCGTAGTGCCCTTCTGCCCTGCCTGACGATGTATCGAAAAGATGAGAGTGAAGGAGACTTTGTGCAGCAGGAAACGGGTAGGTGAGGTGTTGGGCAGTTGTGGGAACTTCTGAGAGTATTACAGAGTGGTAGAATCGGTAAGAACTCTGATTTGGACTTCGCTTTGGTGGAACTGTGTGCCTATACCTGCCTGTGTGTGTGCAAGTGTGCAGGTTCCTTTGTATGTATGTGTACGTGTGGGAACCTGTGTTTGTCATATTTTTCTTCATTTCACAAAGGCTTTTTTTGAAGCAGTGGCAGTATGCCTTTGTTTCAAGAACACATGAAATTCTTTTAACACCAGATTAGTGTGTTACCCCAAATGAACGGTTCTAGCCCTCTATTAAGAAATAAAGGGACCATAAGCATTTTGGCTGCTTATGGCTGTGTGTTACTACTTACAAGAGTCTTGAAAATTATACAGAACTTTGCCTTCTTTTTTTAATGTCTTCCACAATGTTGTGACTGATTATAACCCTGTTTCCCCTCAGAGAAGAGCTATGGCTCAGGGATCTGTGTTGACTCTGGCATTTAGTGGCTTTGTGAAGGAAAGAAACCATTAAATGACCTGACAAAAACTGACTCATGTCTTTAAAGTAGTTGAAGCCACTTTTAGAATGTTACTCTCGGTTGCTTTTGTCTAATTCTAATGGCTTAAAGCCAAGAAAACCATAGTATAAATCTTTTTGTGTACCTATGCTAGTGTTTAAATGGCAGTTCGTTGTGATAAAGTATCAGTCACTTCAAGTTTTCTGTGAAAGTTTTTAATTAGGTTAAAAATAATTTTGGCATACGTCTCTACTCAGTTTATAAAGCAGTTCCACACCATGCAAACAAAACTCTAACAGCAAAGGTTATCTTGACCTGATGTTACTTGAATCTGAGAGAAAGTCATTACTTACTACTGCACTCCTGCTTTTGTGGGAAAAATTTTCTTCTTCCCCAGAAGAGTTAACAGTTGAGTGTTCAGCTCCTGACTTACCTTTAATTTAGAGGCAATATTATTACTGTTTAAGTGATTATTTGCTTAACACAGGTTTTATTTTGTCTTTTTGCTGGTAGATTATACAAGGGACAACTTTAGTGATGAGGCATGTGGATGATTTGGTGGGAGTAGGTATATACTTAGTGGAATGGTTTATTTTATGGAAGAGAATTCATTGGAGGTGAGATTGAAGTATATTGTGAAGTGGGATTTGAACAGCACATATGCTCTGGTTTGCTCAAATAACTGCAGTTTATGCTTACATCTAAATTTTGTTTCTGTTACCTAAACGGGAGCTTCTAGAATTACGAAGGCCATACCTGCCACATTTATAAAATAATGGTTTTATCCCTGCCCCCAAATCATCAGGTTCCTCGGGTTTAAGAGAAGTGGTCTAATAGACAGGAATAGAAGTTGTGGTGGAGGTGATTTGGGATAGACTAGGTTTCCTTATGCAAGTGGATATGAGCTCCTCATAGAAACCAGACCTACTGTATTAGACAGTAACCTCTAACCTCACCTCCAAGCCCAAGTATATGGCCCTGCTGGGTTACCTGGTGACTACATTTCCCAGATTCACTCTAAATTCAAGGTAGTGACCCAAATAAATTGGGAAAGGAGGGGGTCAAGGAGGAAAAGCTGTTGAAAATCTTTCTCCTATTTAAGAGAAATATATGCCCTAGAGCTGCTCCAGCACCCTTGGTTTCTGATTTTTTTAATATTGAATATGGATTAGAAGAATGAAATCAGATGACACCTGACTGCAAAAATGTTTATAAGCAAATAGCCTTCTTACATTTTGGTATAAAGCTGTGAACTTCGTAACTTTGTAAAGCAAGATATAAAGCAAATACAAGAGGAAAATAAAGTACTTTTACTAATTGACGGTTTACTTTCGTTACCTTGTCTGCATATTCACGGCCAGCCCTTTCCACGTTGGCTTAGCGAGGAAGAAGGAAACTGGGTGGAAAACACAGGATGCCTATAGATATGCCGCAGGCCATGGTCCAGAGAAGTTTAGCAAACAAACAGCTGCGTTCAGGGTTTTGTCCACGGTCATGCGACAGGTCAGTTAGTGAGCAGAGGAGCTAGGATAGCTCAATCTCCACTCCATTATTCAGGTAACCGGCCCCTCCCGTTGTACATGACCCATTTATTCTTGATGTCTTTTACAGCAACAACTATTCCTCTGCCTTCCTTTTATGTCTTGGAAAGTATCTGAGCCATTCTTATGCTCAAGAAATAGCAATAGGCATGATTACAAAATTCAAGATTTTGTTTTTGTGTGTGTTTTTCATTGTTCTCTTGTAGGTGATAGGTGAGTATATGATTGGAAGCCATTCAGTCATGCATGGCTGATATCTAAATGTGAGACAACAAAACACAAGGGGACCAGCCATACACATGCCTTTATTTAGATCAGCTTTTTTCAAAATGCAGCCAAACTTATGAGTTGGACAGCCCAAAGTAACCAGCCCTATTCCACTGAGTTAGTTTACCCCACAGCAGTAGAACCCAGTGCTGGTTTGGTTCCTGGCCCATGGTGGGACAGCGTGAAGGTGATGGAGGGCTCTAGCACAAGGAGGTGCTGAGTGCCACCGGCAGGTGCTTCTGCAGACAGCCTAGAGCAAGGTAAGCAGGAGCACTCGCTTCAGAACCGAGGCGGCTCGGACCAGAGGCAGGCACTTTCCTCCACATGGCAAAGGGACAAGGGTTTGTTCTTCCTACCTCATTGCTTTACTAAAGGGTCAGGCTAGGCATGACCGATCAAGGATGGGTAGGGGGTAAAATGGAGGAGGAGCATGACTGATGAGGTGCCTGGAAGCCTGTAGGGGTGTAGCTGCTGGGTCCTTTGAGGTAAATGGCTTTGGAAATAGAGGGTGAAACTGAAATCCTGAGTGATCCTGCATGGCTTTGGATGAGGCCAGCCTGGTTCAGGCATACATGGTGAGCTGCAGCCACTGAAAGAAGTCCCAAGATCAGAATGTAGATCAGAAAAGAGTGACCCCCCCCCCCCCCGCCCTAGGAATCTTACGGGGCAAGAGGAAAGGGAACAGTCCCAGCAGGTCAGACCCCCAGAAGATTTTCCAAGAAGCAGTGGCTTACTGTTTCCTTTCTCCTAGATCTTCCCTAAGAAGGTGCATGTTTTCCCGCATCAAGTGACTGGGGGAGCAGAGGTCCTTTTGGGCCTCAAGTGCATGTGTCCTGGGAGCCTGCTGAGCCTCCCTCCATGTTCTGTTCCTATCCCTTCCCTCCACCACTGTGTGGAAATGAGGAGCACACCCTGGGTCCAGTCCGCCCCGTTGACCCCTCCACCTTGAGTTTTAATGTGTAGGGGGAATGTGCTGTGCCTATGCTTTACCTCCAGAACGTTGAGCTTGATGATACCATCTCCATCCTTGTCAAATGCATGAAAAGCTCCTGTGAAAGAATGCACAGGCCAGAGGCCAGTTACAGGCGCACTCCGCCTCTACTACTGTAACTTCCCCTCAGAGGACCATGTGCCCAGTGCTGTCCCTCATCAGCACAAAGATGTGCAGGCAGAGAATCACCAGTAACCCTCCCTTTGCCATCCCATTCTGGGCCTAAAGAGGTCATTGGCCCTTGTTCAGCCTGGATGGAGCAGACTGGAGATTATCAGGTGAGATGCCTGTTGCCACAACTGCCCCTGCAAGAGAGCAGAGGGCAGCCCCCCTCTCCCACTTACTGAACATGCCCTCCAGCCTAACGAAGCAGCAGATGAAACTGTCAAAGTCGATGTTCATGTGTTTGTCTGCGTACCGCATGGTAATGATGTCATAGAGCTGGTTGTTGAGGTGGAATCCTGTGGAGGGGACCATGTTAGAGGTGGACGTGGAGCTGGAGGCCTTGGGCCTGCCTTCTATTTTCCCTGCCTCTCGGCCACTCTGTGACCTGGGAAGGGAAAGTGAGAAGCCCTTTCCCTCTCCTTTCTCTAGTGGGGCCCTAGTAGCCTAGTCCCCTCCCATTCCTGCTCCCACCGTCTCGGGTCCACATCCCTGCCACCCCTTCCTTCTCAGCACCTGCGTCGTTGACTGCATTTCGCATCTCGTAGCTGTTGATGGTGCCGGACTGGTCTGTGTCATAGTGTTTGAAAATTTTCTGGCAATAGAAAATTTGAGGATGGAGGTCACACACTGAATCTCCAAATCAACCCCATTCTTGACTCCCACGCTTCATTTTCTCTTCCCACCTGCCAGGCCTTAATCTTGTTCCAGAGGTGGTGGAACTCCTGCAGGTTGAGCTTTCCAGAGCCATCTGTCTGGAGGAGGGAGGTCAGGGCTACACAGCACACAGCAAAATCCCCCTGGATTTGGAGGGAGGGTCTAGGAGACTCCGGGCTGTCCTACCCACTGCCCTGTTGTACTATTTAACCCTCCCCTCCACTCCACCACCAGTCAGAGATTGCGCCTACTCTGTAACCCAGGAGCCGCTCTCCTAAGGACCACTTTTGCTTGGGCAGGATCCCAGGCCTGAGAGAAGCACAGGGGTTAGGGCAGTTACAACCCAACATCCTCCCCTTCCGCCTCTAACAACCCCTTTCAGACGAGTATCCAAGATGTTCTGAATCAGGGTCTCCTTAAGTTTCCCTGGGCACAAATTAGGGCCCTTTGCCTGACTGGGCACCCTGTATGTTGCCTTGGCCCCCGTGGGCTGATGACAGAGGGTCGGGAAGGGGCGGCAGGAAGGATACATCCATGAGCGCAATCATGCTACGGCAGGACTCCAGTGTGAACCCGTGTGTCTTCAGGTCCTTGTCTGGGGGGATGGAGAAGAGTGAGGAGCTGCTTTGAGACAACGGGACTCCCCACCCACCCCACCCCCATTTGGTTTGAGCAACTCACGTTTGTTCACGACTGTGTTAAGGACCTTCTTGAGCTCATCTGCACAGATCTCCATGTCCTGAGGAGGAAGGGAGAGGAGGGTCATGGTTCAGGAGTACAGCAGCTCCTGGCGCGGACACTTTGCAAAACAAATTCCACCTGGCTGTGTTTGTAAAATCCCTGTCGGTGCTATTATGTCATGGGAAGCTGGGGCTTTTCTGAGGAAGACAGGGGGCCAGATACTGCACCTCAGCTATCAGGACCACCGTGGGCAGCTCAGAGCAAAAAGGCCTCTGAGCCCCCCAGCAGACGTGGCAGTCCAAAACTCAAGGGCTTGTGGATTTGTGTGCTACGCACACATCCCCTGGCTCCACCAAAGTCCAAAGTGACCTCTACCAAACAATAATGAAATAATTGGTAATCTGAGCAGTTAATCCAGGAGAGAAGGAAGCACCTGTGGGCGTCCTGGGCTTGGAGGTACTCACATCTCCTGCTATCTGCTTGAAAATGTTCCGGAATTGTTGCTGTTCCTCACTTTCCTGATCAGAGCTGCCAGGCTGTGGCTGTGGAGGCACAAAGGAAAACTGGTTCACAGGGGTCAGAGGTGCACAGGCCTGTGAGGCAAGCTCCTCTGGGCCAAGGGAGCCAAGTGCCTAAAACGGCCGGAGGTGGCAGCAGGAGCTGGGGACGGGCAAATGCAGACCTGGTGAGCTGGAGTGAGATGCATCGAGGCCTCAGGGACTCTTCACACCTCTCCAGCCCTGACGCCCCCAGCCAAAGGAGATATGGCGGCCATACAGCCTCCTCCCCGCCACCCCAGTCCCCACCTGCAAGAGCCCCCTCCACCATCCCAGGCCTGACCATTCCAACTAAAGGTGCCCGCAGGTCAAAGAAGGTCTGACCGTTCTGATTCCTCCAGCCACCCTGTCATCAAGGCCAAGTCCTCAGAGAACCTCCCCTAGGCCCCACTGCATGAGGCCCCAGATAGAAGAGGGGCTCCCAGACAGAAGAGGGGCCCTGGATAGAAGAGGGGCCCCCGGATAGAAGAGGGGCCCTGGATTGGTCTGGAGACTTTTGCCTCTAAGGCTCACCTCCACTAAGCTCCCACTCCAATCTAACACCCTCCCGTGAGCTCTAGAGGACCCCATTTCTGAAGTCAGCCCCACTTTTCTGCTCCTATCCTTTATCCCCCTATTGTGAAATGCTCAAGGCCACCAGGAGACAAGAGTTGCGCCTCCGCTCTCAAGCTGGTTCTGTCTCAGCCTTTGCCTCCCCTTCTCTGTATCCTGGCTGGATCAGCTCCATGGGAGGCTCAGCCTGCCAGTCCACTCCTAGAATGGAACCCCCATCCTGGGATATTCACCCAAGCAGCAGCCCAAATTTCAGGGGAACTTGCTGAAAGAAAAGGTCAGTGGGACAAATTCAAACCTCCAGATGTTCAAGACAAACTCCTGGGAAGCCTCCAGCCCCTGTGTATCCCAAGCGCATAGGAAGCCCCTGTAGCGTGCTGGCCACCCCACCCATGCCACATGCCCAGACACCTGTGGGGACTGCTTTTGCTTATCAGGGCTTGTTTTGCCTTTGCCCTCCTCTGACTCCTGGTCCACACCCAGCTCCTTGTTGCTGTTTGCTCTGTCCGAAACGAAGATGATGGGCTGGAGAGAGGAGGGAGGAGGCAGGAAGGAAGGGAGGATTACAGTCTGAACAGGCACACTGAGGCAGCACCTCTCTTGGAGCAGCTTTATCCAGTGAGAAGAGGAAAGGAATAGGCGGGAGCTCTTCAACCTCGGTTCAAGCTCTATCTCTGCCACTGACAAGCCGTGTGACTTCAGTTCTTTATCTTTTCATACCCACTCCATCCCTCCTCATGGTAGAGTATTGAGAGCTCAGCACGTGAAATGCTAAGAATGCTAAAAGCAGCATGATCTAGTGCAGTGATTGTCAAGTATTTTGTAGACTTTTTTTTTTCCAGATGGAAACACTGTTCAAATTAAATTTCCTGCAGAAACATGGTGTATATAAAAACACAAGCTTCTCTGATTAATGAGAACAGAGCTCTTTGCCCTCAGCACCCCACATCACCATGGCAGCTACTGAGGCACCTCAAAGGAACCTCTACAACCCTGCAAAGTATAGATTGAAAAAGGACACGGATTAGTGGCATGGTCAGTGGGTGAGCCATCAGAACACTGGGCTGGAATCCCAGCCCTGCCCCTCATATAAGAAATATCCTCTCTGGCCGGGCACGGTGGCTCACGCCTGTAATCCCAGCACTTTAGGAGGCCGAAGCAGGCAGATCACAAGGTCAGGAGATCAAGACCATCCTGGCTAACTGGGTGAAACCCCATCTCTACTAAAGATACAAAAAAATTAGCTGGGTGTGGTGGTGGGTGCCTGTAGTCCCAGCTACTTGGGAGGCTGAGGCAGGAAAATGGTGTGAACATGGGAGGTGGAGCTTGCAGTGAGCCAAGATCAAGCCACTGCACTCCAGGCTGGGTGACAGAGTGAGACTGTCTCAAAAAAAACCAAAAATATCCTCTCTGGCCTCAGTTTACTCATCCTTTAATGGTAAAATCTGCTTTCCCTCCTCATAGGGCTCTTGTGGGGATCAAATGAGATACTGAATGCAAAATCATACTGCAAAAACATTTAAGATGCTACACAAACAAGGGATATTTTCAAGACATGCTCGTGCAAGTGACAAGGATATGAAAAGGACGGAGAGCGGCTGCTGCATGGTGCCAACACTGTGGATGCGGTGCACCTGTAGGGAAAGCCGGGGGAAGGCAAGGCTGTGGGGATTGAGGCTGCAATGCAGAGAACAACTGGGCAGGCAGAGCCTCTCGGAGCAGAAAAGCAGCCCGCCTGGACTCATGCACCACTGCCCTTCCATGCTGCTCATCTAGGACAGCTCAAGCAGATAGACCCGTGGAAACGGCTCCCCAGCTTTGGCTCCCAGCAGGCCCCAGAGGCCTTGGCTTGCTCTGCCTTCTAAGCAGTGTCTTGCTCAAGCAGCTGAAGCTTGTGGGGATCCCAGAGCAAATGGAGGTCACAGTCTGAGGGGGGATGTGTAGGATGGATATGGTGTGGCCATGGAGCATCCCTGCCAGGCACACACTGGCAGGCCCGAGTGTGGGTCTGGACAACACAGGCCTTGAAGTGTAGGGGGCTGGCATCAGAGAAAGAGGGCAAGAAACACAGGTTTTGGAGTAAACAGACATGGTTTCCAGTTCCATTTTCCCCACTCATTAGTTCTGTTCCTTGGGCAAGTTCACTTCTTTGAGTCTATCTCACCTGTGAAAGGGGAAAAATAACAGCACCTACTTTGTAGATACTGTTATAATTGGGGGGGAAAAAAAAGAGAGGGACTGACCCCAAGCACAGTGCCTGGAATGTGGTAGTGCCTGAGGAGTGTCAGCTCTGGTCTGGGCCAGCACCAGTACCTGGAGGACCCCTGTGATGGATCCATCACCACCAGGCACCACCAGAAATGCTAGCACCAAATCTGATGGTGTATGATGGCCTCTTGTGGTTCAGGACACGGACTCTGGACCCAGACTGCCTGGCTCTAAGTACTGGCTCTGCCCCTCTCTGGCTGTGTGGCCTTGGGCAAGTTAGTCAAGTCTGTACCTTTTCTCCCTCTGAAAATGGGGATAGTTATAGTACTAATCTCATAGGGCTGTTGTGAGGAAGGAATTAATCATGGAAAGCACCTAAAAGAGTGCTTGGCACGTAGCCTTCCCCCAGCAAATCGTAGTTGTCATTACTGCACGCTCGGCCCCAGCAGAAGCTCAGGAAGGAGGGGGAGGAAGAGGCAAGTCTGGTGCATGGATGCATATGAGCTCACACATGCACACTTCACATGCATGCACATACATATGCATGAGTACACACACTTCATGCTCTCTACCCACACACCTACCTTGGTTTTTTTCTTTTTCTGCATAAGAAAAGGAAACAGTAAATGCAGAATAAGTGAAAAGTAAGTTCTCAGAACCGCCAGTGGCTTTTGGCTTCCCTGTATCCTGGTCTTTAGCTTGGGGTGGGGCTCCAGGGTCCAGAAATCTGAATCACATGGAGCCAAAAAGGGGCATGGAGGGTGAAGGGAGAAGAGAATTCTTCTTTCTCCTCCATGCCCAGACACCAGTGACTGCTCTGACTTTGTTTTTATAATCTACTCTTACTGCATATGGCAAGGAAAAAGATCTTCTGGCTAAGGTTTTCTTTCTTCCTTTTTTAAAAAATGAAATTGGTGGCCGGGCGTGCTGGCTCATGCCTGTAATCCCAGCACTTTGGGAGGCTGAGGTGGGCGGATTATCTGAGGTCAGTAGTTCAGGACTATCCTGGCCAACATGGTGAAACCCCATCTCGACTAAAAAATACAAAAATTATCCAGGCGTGATGGTGGGCACCTGTAATCTCAGCTACTCAGGAGGCTGAGGCAGGAGAATTGCTTGAACCCGGGAGGCGGAGGTTGCAGTGAGCTGAGATCATGCCATTGCACTCCAGCCTGGGTGACAAGAGTGAAACTCCGTCTCAAAAATAAACAAATAAATAAATAATAAAAAAATGAAATTGGTTACTAAAACACCAAAAACATGGCTCTCTCAAACTGACCTAACAATGGATTTTGACTTACAGAATATTTTTTAAAAATTTTTGAGCAAGCATTTAACATAGGGAGATTTTCTTTGGTAAAAGCCCCAGCTGTGGCAGGCTGCCCTGGGCCTGTAATCCCTGCGGCAACTATCAGCTGAGCCAAGGGCCCTGCTCCCTGTGTCTTCCAGATTGCCCCACGCCCCAACATTCCTGTTGACCCTCGACACTGGAGCGAAATGTCAATTGAGAACTGCAGACAACTGTGTCAGTGCAGGGACATCAAAACCCCTGCACCTGCCTGCTCTACTCACGTGACGTGCCAGCTCCCATAAGCTTTTGGGTTTGCAGGTCCTGATCAATACTGCACACCGATGACCAGCATCCAGATGACCAGAACAGATCCCCACACACCTACCACTAAAACCAATCGCCTGTGGTCATTCAGAAGGCACTTGGAGACCTGGCACTGGCTCAGGGTCAGGATTATGACCATGACTGTCACTGCCCAGAAGACAGTTCAGAGGGGCATTTGTCCTCCCATTGGCCTACGTCATCCCCACAGAGCACAAAGGACTGTCAGCTGACTACAGCCCAAAGCCCCAAGGCAGTCACAAGACTCCTCAACACACAGAGCCCAACACACAGCACTCTGTGCTTCGGACTTTGGGCTTCTCACTGCCTGGGGCTGGCCTCAGCGTGGAGGTGCGGAAAAACCTAAGTCTGGAGTCAGAGAGTCTGAATGTGAGTTCCAACCCTGCCACTTACTGAGCTCTGTGAACTCAGAGAAGTCATTCAACCCCATTGAGCCTCTGCTTCCTTTCTTGAACACCAGGGATTATAACCCCATCTACCTCTCAGCAACCTTGCAAGTATCGCGATGACACATGTGAAAAGTACCTTGTAAGGTGTAAAGTGTGAAAAAGCACCTCTGTTTGAGTGCCCATGCTGTGCCAGACACTTCACATACATCACCTCATTGATGAAGCCTCACAAAAGCCTTGCAAGGCACATTATCATCCCCGTTTTACTGAGTAGGAAACTGAGTGAGAGGGATTACAGAAATTGTCCAGGTCACCCCGCTGGTAAGTGGAGGATCCAAGTGTCAACACCAGGTCCGGCACCAGCTTACTTTCTTTTCTCTATGTGTGAAATCCAATGTTATCCAGTCTCAGAATCCAGTGTTCGCTGCGGCTCTTGTCATCCCTTCCTGTGGCCTTGTTCCCTCCGATTGTTCAAATTGCTTCTCCTTTCCAGGACCCTCTTCCATATTTCCCAGCCCCTGAACTGCCTCAATGGCCCCCGGTGCTTAAGGCCGATTACTTCTGGCCATGCCAAAGTAGGATTTGCAGTGCCAAGGAGGGACTGCTCAGCACAGCCCAGACTCCCATTCCCTCTGCCAGTGCCCATTCTCCCCTGCACCATCTGTCCCCTGCATGGTCAGGGAAGGGGACCCTCTGGACTTTTCGCACAGAAGATCTAAACCACTCACCACTGGCCGATCCACGGAGATGGTATTTTCAACTTCCCTGTGAGGAATACAGACATGTGGGGTCTCAGTGTCACCAGAAGCAAGCAGGAGGCCCGTGGACGGTTTGCTCTGGTGCACGGCTTCCTGGCAGCCAAGCCAGAACCAGCCTCTAGAGAACCCCTGGAACACCCCAACCCCAGGAACCAGCCCCATGTCAGCACCATCCCCGACAGCCAAGCCCAGGCACGCAGGTTCTTGTTAGTATTGCTCAGAGCCCCCCAAAGGCATGACCCAGCCACCTACCCATGGACCTGGTGCATCTTCCAAGGACAGAGATCAGAGTGGCAGGGGCTATGAGCTCATCTGTGGTGGCCAGGGACAGGATGTGGCTTTCCTGGCCATGCTAACCTAAAATTTCAAGCATCCCCAACACCTCCTATCCCTCTTCCCTACTTTATTTTTGCTCCATATCACCTCTCCAAATCTAACATGCTACATATGTTTTTCCTATCCATTATTGTCTCATGTTAGAATATTAAGCTCCATGAAGGCAGGGATTTCTTTCTGTTTACTTCACTACTCTATCCTTAGTGCCTAGGACAGTGCCTGGAACATAGTAGGTGCTCAATAAATATCACAGAATGGATGAATGAATGAATGGGGGTAATGTGGCCAGTGGCTCAGGAGCAGCAGAAGGACCCTGGAGGAGACGTGTCTAGCTGCCTCATGCCTTCAACCTCTGGAGTGGGCCATGTGAGCTTTTAGAAACACGTGGGAAAGCTGGGCCAGCACTCACTCAGAGAGGTTCCTCTTTTCAGAGAAGACCCGGAGGATGAATTCCCCCTCCTGGTGGGGCTCGTAGGTGGAGGGCACGATGACGTACTCGCTGGGAGGCAGGCGGAAGCGCTGGGACACCTCCCGCATGTTGATGTAGGTTTTGCTCCTGGCCTTGGAGGCGTTGTACAGGAAGAAGTCCTTCTGCAGGTGCTGCTTGTTCCCGTGCATCTGAGAGATGGGGAGAGCCCAGGGCACATGAGCCCCTCGGGAGGAACATCCTGTCCTGCCACAGCCACCTCCAAGGGTCCCTTCCCAACTCCCTGGTCACCCATGTCACAGTTTCAACCTCCCTACTTCCGACTCCCAAGGCTTAAATAGCCTCCCTACCTCACTTCCTCTTCCTTTTCTGTTGTGATTCAGAGTGAATGGCAAATGTGTCATCCCCACACTCAGGGACACTTACCAGAACAGCTGCTCCTCAGCTCCGAAGCCCCTCAGGCTGGAAGGACCCCCAAGGAGGCCTAGAGGACTTGGCTGGGTTCTGAGGGAAGTGATTCCTCCATCCCAAGCGGGCAGCCACCCTCAGAACGCGTCTGTGTGACTGTGTGTGTGGCTGTAAGCGTGGAGGAGGGTGAGTGTGCAAAGGCATGTGTGTGACGTGCAGTGTCTGGTGCGAGGGAGAAAGTGCACATCCTGGGGGTGGTAGTCATGGGTCATGCAATGCCCTGAGGCACCTGCTCTGCAGTGGAAATAACACAGGCAAGGCCCTCTCCTATCACAGTCCTGCCCACAAACCCCACCAGGAAGCTTCTCGACGAGCCACAGACAGACTCGGGGCCCCCTGGGTAGTGCTGCACACAACTGCTGGCCGCTGCTGCTGCTATACCTCTTTGGGAACCTTGAGAAGAAACAGAAAGGAAGATGCTTCAGATGTGAATGAGGATGAGGAGCCTGCGGAAGGCAATGCCAGCAACTGCAGCCCGCATGCGGAAGCCTGACCCCCAGGCACCTGTTCTGCCAGGCCCGCTCCACTGCCTCTCTAATGCCCCCCCTGGTATTTTTTGCTTGTTACAAACACAAGTGGTCCTGATACCAGGAGCTCTGTGGGTCACTGGGTATTGAGGAAGCCAGAGGGCCCCTCTAGAAGCCCCTGGAAGCGTCCTCCCTGGGAAAGTATGTTTCCTGGGCTGGAGCCAATCAGGACTGCACACCTCGTAGATGGCGAAGCCAATGGTGAAGAGACTGGCCCCTAGCTTCCGGTCCTTCCGCCGGTTCTTCTGCATCAGGGCCACCAGGAAGCTGCAAATCACCTCCGAGTCATCAGGGTCATCGTCCTCCTCCAGGAGCTTCAGACGGTACTGAGGGTTGGTCCAGAAAGTATCTGCACCCCCAGAAAGGAAGCACGCATTCACAGCTGCCTCTCAGAGGGCAGGAAGGGGATGAGACAGAGGGAGCCATTTATTTCTATTCCCTACATCTAGGTGCTTAGGAAATATCAACAGAAAACACGATTCAGGCATTTCTCTAATGATTTGGGGGGGGGGGGGGCGCTACCTTTATTCAGATGGAGCTGTACTGATTGTATGTGTGGCTTTTCCTTCCTCTCTGGGCTTTCATTCTCAGTCTTTGCTGATGGTTTTGTTTTCCTTACCTGCCCCTTAAACGCTGTTGGTGACTAGAATCTGGTCCTGGGCCTCTTCTCCTCTCACCTCACCCTTCCTGCCTCCCTAGGCAATCTTTCTTACTTCTGCTTTTTAACTGCCCCCTACACGCGCATGATGCCTGAGCCATATATCCCAGCCTCAATCTCTCTCACTTTTTTTTTTTTGAGACGGAGTCTGGCTCTGTTGCCCAGGCTAGAGTGCAGTGGCGCGATCTCGGCTCACTGCAGCCTCCGCCTCCTGGGTTCAAGCGATTCTTCTGACTGAGCCTCCCAAGTAGCTGGGATTACAGGCACCCACCATCATCCCCGGTTAATTTTTGTATCTTTAGTAGAGATGGGTTTTCACCATGTTAGCCAAGCTGGTCTCGAACTCCTGACCACAAGTGATCCGCCTGCCTCAGCCTCCCAAAGTGCTGGGATTACAGGCATAAGCCACCACGTCTGGCCTCTTCTTTCCTTTATTCCTCAAATATTTTTTGAGTTCTTATCATATCACCAAGTGCCATCTAATATGCGCATCCGATGCTCTATTACAAATCTTCACTGGGACACTCTACAGGAACCTCAAACTTTCCATGTCCCAAGCTAAATTCCTTTCCCTAGAACCCCACAATTAACTCCACCAAAAACAAACAACACGCTGATATTTTTCTCTTGTGTGTCTTTTTTTTTTGAGGCAGGGTCTCACTCTGTCACCCAGGCAGGAGTGCAGTGGCATGATCACAGTTTATTGTAGCCTCAACCTCCCGAGCTCAAGCAATCCTCCCACCTCATTTTTTTTTTTATTTTTTGTAACGATGAGGTGTCACTATGTTGCCTGTGCTGGTCTTGAACTCCTGGGCTCAAGTGATCCTCCTGGCTCTGCCTCCCAAAGTGCTGGGATTATAGGCATGAGCCACCCACCCGATCTTCTTGTGTGTCTTATGTTGCAATGTTGTCAGGTCCCCAACTGGGAATCTTGACATCATTCTTCTTCCTTCCCTACATCACCCAATATGCTCTCCCTAAATCTGCTGTCTCCCCTCCATCTCTGCTGCTACTGACTTGGTCTAGGTTTTCATCATCTCTGACTTGAACTATTGCAGCAGCTGCTAACTTGGTTCTCCAATAGTGCCCTTACTGTTACTGACACAGTACTCACAGTCCCTGACTTAGGATGGTTCGGCTACAATTTTTTAACTTTACAATGTGAAAGAGATGCACATTCAGTAGAAACTGGATTTCGAGTACCCGTACAACCATTCTGTTTTTCACTTTTAGTACAGTATTAAGTAAGTTACATGAGATATTCAACACTTTCTTGTAAAATAGGCTTTGAGTTAGATGATTTTGCCCAACTTTAGGCTAAGGTCAGTGTTCCGAGCATGTTTAAGGTAGGCCAGGCTAAGCTATGATGTTTGGTGGGTTAGGCATATTGAATGCACTTTTCACTTAGGGTATTTTCAAAGATGGATGGGCTTATCTGGACATAACCTCATCGTAAGTCAAGCAGCATCTGCATTGTTCCCACAGTTTCCTGCTTCAAAGTTGCTACCAGCTCCCTATTGCAAACTTCTCAGCATGGTGGTTTCCTTCTCAGTAAAACAGGGAAGGTTTAATAAGATAGTGGACGTCTGGAACAGAGAGACTTAATAAGCACTAGTTAGGCTTCTTCTGCCTGGAACTTTTTCGGCTTAGACCCTCCCCCCATCAAGAGCATCTCCCACCTGGGAAGTTGCGGCAGCCTCCGGCAGAGCAACCCCGTACCCAGCGGCCCTCGTTCACAGACACTGTCCAGGTCTGAAGCTTGTCAGACTGCAGAGCATCGGCCGTGAGGTTGCAGATCTCCAACTTTGTGAAATGGTAGATGAAATCCTCATAGGACATCCTGAGAGGTTGGAAGAAGAGAGAGAGCCATATGGGAGCAGGTGAGGAGGGCTGGGAACGGAAGACCCCAGGACTAACACAGCACAATAATAAAATAGTTCACAGGAACTTGGTCAGGGTCCCAGAGGAGCCTGTCTTTCCTTTTTAGGGCAAACGCTGTCACTTCTGATGTATCTACTCCAAACCATCATCTTTTCTAACAATGATTCAAAAATGTGCCAGGGCCAGAAAGATAAATGTCGCATGCTCTCACTCATATGTGAGAGCTAAAACAAAGCATATGTCATGGAAGTAGAGAGCAGACAGTGGTTACCAGAGGCTGGGAAGGGAAGGAGAGGGGAGGATGAAAAGAGGGTGGCTAATGGATACAAAAATACAGTTAGATAGAAGAAATAAGCTCTAGTGCTCACCAGGGTGCTGTGGCTCATGCCTGTAATCCCAGCACTTTGGGAGGCTGAGGCAGGTGGATCACCTGAGGCTAGGAGTTTGAGACCAGCTTGGCCAACATGGTGAAACCCCATCTCTACTGAAAATACAAAAATTAGCTGAGCATTATGGCGGGCACTTGTAATCCTAGTTACTTGGGAGGCTGAGGCAGGAGAATCACTTGAACCCAGGAGGCGGAGGTTGCAGTGAGCCGATATTGCGCCATTGTATGCCAGCCTGGGCGACAAAGTGAGACTCTGTCTCAAAAAAAAAAAAAAAAAAAAAAGCTCTAATGCTCAATAGCACAGTAAGACAAACATAGCTAAACAAGAATTTATAGTATAGTGTGTGTGTGTATATATACACACACACATATATATACAGACGTGTGTGTGTGTATATGTGTGTGTATATATATGTGTGTATATATATGTGTGTGTGTGTGTGTGTGTGTGTGTGTGTGTGTGTGTGTGTGTATTTTTTGAGACAGAGTCTCGCTCTGTTGCCCAGGCTAGAGTGCAGTGGCATGATCTTGGCTCACTGCAACCTCCACCTCCTGAGGTCAAGGGATTCTCCTGCCTCAGCCAGCTGAGCAGCTGGGATTACAGGTGCACACCACCACACCTGGCTAATTTTTGTATTTTTGTAGAGATGGGGTTTCACCATGTTGACCAGGCTAGTCTTGAACTTCTGACCTCAAGTGATCTGCCCGCCTCAGCCTCCCAAGGTGCTGGGATTACAGGCATAAGCCACCACGCCCAGCCTATATATCTTTCAAAATAACTAGAGGAAAAGAATTGTAATGTTCCCAACACAAAGAAAAGATACATATTTGAGATGATGGTATCTCAATTACCCTAATTTGATCATTACACATTGTATATGTGTATCAAAATATCATATGTACCCCCAAAATATGGGTACATATGTACCCCCAAAATATGGGTACATATGTACCCCAAAAATATATATAGCTATGATATATCCATAAAAAATAGAAGGCCAGGTGTGGTGGCTTACATCTGTAATCCCAGCACTTTTTTTTTAAGACAGTGTCTTGCTCTGTTGCCCAGGATGGACTGCAGTGGTACAATCATAGTTCACTGCAGCCTCAACCTCCTGGGCTCAAGTGACCCCCTGCTTCAGCCTCCCAAGTAGCTGGGACTACAGGCACACGCCACCACATCTGGCTAATTTTAAAATTTTTTGTAGAGTTGGGGTCCCATATGTTGACCAGGCCCACATGCCAGCATTTTGGGAGGCCAAGGTGGGAGGACCGCTTGAGCCCAGGAGTTTGAGACCAGCCCGAGAAATATAGCGAGGCCCGTCTCTATTATAGTTTTTAAATAAAAAATAAAGTAATAAAAACACAAAAAACCTTTCCCTTGACATTATACTAAGACAACATTTTTTTTTTTTTTTCCAAGACAGAGTCTCTCTTGTCGCCCAGGCTGGAGTGCAGTGGCGCAATCTGGGCTCACTGTAACCTCTGCCTCCCAGGTTCAAGTGATTCTCCTGCCTCAGCCTCCCCAGCAGCTAGGACTACAGGCGCACGCTGCCACGCCCGGCTACTTTTTTTGTGTATTTTTAGTACAGACAGGGTTTCACCGTGTTAGCCAAGATGTTCTCGATCTCCTGACCTCGTGATCCGTTCACCTCGGCCTCCCAAAGTGCTGGGATTACAGGCGTGAGCCACCGCGCCCGGCTTAAGCAAACAATTTTAAGGGTGATGAGCATCATAAATTAATCCCAGTCCTCGGGGAACTTAGGGGGCTCTCCTTAAGCTGAGACTTGAAAATTCTCCTTAAGCTGAGACTTGAAGCCTGAATAGAAACAACCTGAGAGAGGGTGAGGTTGACGTTGGAAGATCAGGGTAAGTGGAGCTTCCTAGGCTCAGAAAAGAATTGTGCTAAGGCCAGGGTGCCTGTGGCTGGAATAGAGTGTGTGGCGGAGGGGCACACAGGAGGCAAGAGCCATGTCATGTTGGCCTGGTCCTGGGCTCAGTTGTCCCTGTGGCCTGGAAGGCTCCTCTCAGAACCTCATCCTTGCTGGGCCTTGGGCTGGAGGAGAACACAGCCCAGATCTCCCAAGGGCTGGAATCTGATAACCTTAGCTGGGGACTGAGGTCTGAGATTTCCCCTCTCTTCCCCACCCTTACCCTTCTGGGTCTTCCTGGGTTCTGGACTCACCAGAACTCTCCATCCTCAGTGACCTGGTGCTGCAGACGGGCCTTCTCATCTTTGTCCACAAAGCTCCAGTCCTTCCATCTGGTGGGAAAATGGAGGAATTAAGGAAGCAGGAAGAAGGGAAGGCCTGATGTAGGTTGGGACAGGAGGTATCAGAGAAATACAAAGAGTTGCAGCTGCTGTGAACTACCAAAATGCTGACTTCACCTGTTAACCTCAGTGTGAAACCCAATAGCAATGACTTCTCACATCCTCAAGACTGAGCCTAAACTCCTTAAATGGGCTGGTGAGGGCTTGATCCTTCTTTTCATCATACTTTAAAGGTTAAGAATTGAGTTCTGGGCTGCTCGCAATGGCTCACACCTGTAATCCCAGCACTTTGGGAGGCCGAGGTGGGCGGATCACAAGGTCAGGATTTCGAGACCAGCCTGGCCAATATGGTGAAACCCCGTCCTAATAAAAATACAAAAATTAGCTGGGCGTGGTGGCGGGCACCTATAGTCTCAGCTACTCAGGAGGCTAAGGCAGAAGAATCACTTGAACCCGGGAGGCGGAGGTTGCAGTGAGCCAAGATCGCGCCATTGCACTCCAGCCTGGGTGGCAGAGTGAGACTCCGTCTCAAAAAAAAAAAAAAAAAAATGGGTTCTGGACATAGACAAACTGGGAGTTCCGTTTAATAATAGGGCTAGCTATGCAACCTTGGGCAGGTCACTTAACCTCTGTCAGACTCTGCTTCCTCAATTGCAAAAGGAAAATGATTATGTCACCTGTTCACAGGGCTGGGATGGGCAGATGCAATAATGCATGCAAAGCTGTTAGCATAGTGTCTGTCATATAATAAGAAACTCTGATTTACTAAGGAAAAAGGCCAAGTCTGTAAACATCTCCTTTCCTGTGCTGGGAAATAATCAAGCATTGTGCTTCTAAAGGCTGGGCAGTTTTCACACTCTCTCTCCTCACTATGGTGGCAATAAAGTGCATGTGTGTTTCAGGCTCACAGAGGAGAATTCAACTAAACTGGGTGCTCCCTGGAAAGGTAAGGGGTGGAGGAAGCGCTTGGAGTCAGTCAGAGAACACTGCAGGGGACATGGAGATTCCTGAGACCAGGAGGAGGGATGCAGCAAAGGGAATCTCCTTGAGTGAACAGCGTTGGGTCCACTTGTCTCCAGCCCCTGTGATGGCAGCATCATGGTAAGCAGGGCAGGGCTGCACACCAAGCTCTGAGGCTGGAGAACACAGCAAGCGTCCCTGCAGGTGACTTGGGCCAGTGAAGTAGACAACTGAGGAGTCACTGAGGGCCTTCCCAGAGCACAGAGCACAGTTCCAATGTCACTCCCTCCAGGTAACCTTTCTCTACGCCTCCCCTCCCACCCAAACTAGGTGCAGAGGCCCCCTCTTTGTGATCCTTACTGTGGCACTCATCTCAATTATTAGTGTGTGCTTGCCTGTCCTTCCCCGGACCTTAAACCCACAGGCACAGGGCCCACGTGTCTGTGTTCATTTCTACATTTCTACATCCCCAGGTGGGTAGCCTAGGGCCTGGCAGAAGTCAGCACTGAGGAAGTAAGGATAGGTGTAGCGTGCATAGGTGAAGGAAGGCATGAGAATGTCTGCAGGAGGCAGTCAGGACATGAGGATCAGCCCCTAATCACAGTGTATCAAGGGAGGCTATGGGTTCACAGAATATCCCCAGTGCCTTGACCTGTGCCTCCTATGTAGTAGGTGCCCAAGAAACATTTGCTAAACGAATGACTGAACGAACCAGTAATTACATGCTGGGCTAAGAAGTACCCAGCAGTATATAAGTACAGGAGCCGAGGGGCCCAGGCTGCCTGGGTGCGGTCCTTCTCCTCTACTGAGTCCTGCCATCCCCCTCTCGAAATAAGAGGCGCTTATGGCTCATTCAGTAATGAATTGCCTCTCATTCAGTGGAGGTAATCAGGAACCAGTAGGACCATGGAGGTTTTGCAAATGTGCTGGAGCCTTCATAATAACTTCGCATGTTTGTTATTTTTGTTGCCCCCAGTCTATTCCTTTCAATGATAAGCAGTAAAATTCTTTCAAAGGGCCCTTGTGCCTTTATACAGGGACAGCACGGGTAAGGGAATCTTAGCAATGGCTCAGCACTTGCCAAAAACAGTCCCATTTACTCCTCATATCAGCCCACAAGGTAAGTGCTAATAATACTGTTCCCATTTCACAGGAAAGGCAACACAAGACCCCAAGAAGGGAAGTCACTTCTCTAGCCCAGAACCCTGCATTCATACGCTTTTCCTGCCTGGACCTTCCCCACGCTTTCTGGAATCCTTCCTTTCCAGCCAATGGTTGTCAGCAACCTCTCTGGGTCCCCAGCACCCCGCTTCCACTCCTGGCCCTTCCCTGGAGCCAACACCTGTGCCCCTCTTCTCTGCGGATCATTGGTTTTGAGGGTGATTTTATACCAAGCATCTTCAATACTCTCATGGCTCAGTTCCCAACACAGCCTTGTCCCGGACCCTGTTCCCCGCCACCGCCAATCCCGTGGGGTCCCCTCACCTACCTATCACTCCAAGAACCGTTCCACTCCACCTGGCCCCACGGATTCCGCAGCCGCACCAGCTTCACTTTCTCACCTTTGAACGGGACCTTAAGCACACAGAAAGAGCTCTCATGCTCTGCAGCCTCTCTGGAAAGGGAATCTTCTGTCTTGCTGAGGGCTGGGACGGGGCTGGGGGGCAAATCTCTTACGCGAGGGTGTTCTGCCTGGCTCTGGCCAAGGAGATTAATCACAAGTGTGCTGGGGAATGGCAGGGGGTGGGTCAGACCTTTCCTCCTGAGTCTGCCTAACTTAGGGCTTGGCCATCTCCTCTCTATCTTCTAAGAGGCAATTTTCTCAGGAACATCCTGCCGTTATGAGCTTCGGGGGAGGAGGTGAGGCATAAACAGTAGGGCCCTGCTAACACATATAAATTAGGTGTCTTCATATAAATTAGAAAAAAGGCCCCTGCTGGCCAGGCGTGGTGGCTCACGCCTGTAATCCCAGCACTTTGAGAGGCCGAGGTGGGCGGATCACGAGGTCAGGAGTTCGAGACCAGCCTGATCAACATGGAGAAACCCCCATCTCTACTAAAAATACAAAAATTAGCTGGGCATGGTGACACGCGCCTGTAATCCCAGCTACTCAGGAGGCTGAGGCAGGAAAATCGCTTGAATCCAGGAGGCGGACATTGCAGTGAGCCGAGACTGTGCCACTACACTCCAGCCTGGGCAACAGAGTGAGACTCCGTCTCAAAAAAAAAAAAAAAAGAAAGAAAGAAAGACAAAAGGCCCCTGCTGACTGAGGAACTACAAACAAGCAGACTCCCTCCAGTCTGCTGCAATGGGTGATGCAGGCAACTGCCCCTCTCAGCCCATCCCTCTGTACAGGGCACAACCTGCCCAACTGTGTGCAACAGGTCTTACAACGTTCCTGTCTCAGACATGGTCCAGGAAAACCCAGAAGTCCCAGAAGGAGCAAAACAGAACAGTCAGCCTCTCGTATCCATGGCTTTGGCATATAACCAATTGTGGATCAAAAATATTCAAAAAAAGAAAAAATAATAATACAACAACAGAAAATAATACCAAAAAAACCCAATGCAGTGCAATAACTATTTACATAGCATTTCCATTGTGTTAGGTATCGTAAGTAATCCAGAGATGACTTAAAGTATATGGGAGGATGTGCATAGGTTATATGCAAATACTACTCCATTTTACAGAAGGGACTTGAGCATCTGCAGATTTTGTTACTGTTGGGGCTTCTGGAACCAGTCCCCGTGGCTACCCAGAGACAACTGTAGCTATCTGAACACGAGAGAACAGGAAGCTCAAGAACACATGAAACCAACTTTGTAAAAGCAAAGTTAAGTGATATTTCAATTTGTTCATTGGAAATGTTGGAAAAATTGCCATCTTTAGCACGAAAAGCAAAGATAAACTGTGCACCAACTGTGGCAGGATCCACCTCTACCAGTTTCACAGGCCCCTCTGCTCCCAGGCGTGGCTTGGACCTTGAACTGAATGTCCTGATTGGAGGCAAGCTCTGCAGACAGGGAAGGGGCCCCAACAGCTAAGTCCTGACTTCATGAGGTTAACCCAGGAGGGTGCCCTTGCCCCACCAAGCCCCACCAGGCTTACCTCATCCAGCCCCGTGACAGAGTAGGCGTGACCTCTGACCAGCCCGCAGGCCATTCTTGTCTCATACTGAACCGGAATGATTGTCTGTAGAGCAGTAACCAGAGAACCCATTAGGGGCGGGGGAACAGAAGTTCTGCTGCTTGGAGGCAAAGTTCATACTAGTTCATTTTCCGGGCTCTGTGAAGACACAGACCACTCTGCTCCCTGAAAGTGTGCCTCACGACCACGAACGGACCTTCAGTGGCCCTTTAAGAGTGCCAAGAGACACAGCTCCAGACAGGCTGGTCTCCCTGAGAAGGCTCTGTCCTGACCATCAGAGAGCAATGTGGATGCTGGGATGTGGGGTGGGTAACAGTGTCCTGCCCCTCCTTTCTGGACCCCTTAGTATCCTTCAAAGGAGGAAGGGGTAGAGTTGGAGGCTGCCCTGGGCTTCAGGATCCCCCTTCCCCTGAAGCCATCCAGGGTTGACTATTCCTGGAAGAGAAAGAGGTTGAGAAAAGGGGTTAAGTGACACATGTAAGTCTAGCTTTTTCTTTTTTTCTTTCTTTTTTGTTTTTTGAGACAGAGTCTTGCTGTGTCGCCCAGGCTGGAGTGCAGTGGCGCGATCTCGGCTCACTGCAACCTCTGCCTCCCGTGTTCCAGCGATTCTCCTGCCTCAGCCTCCCGAGTAGCTGGGATTACAGGCACGTGCCACCATGCTCAGCTAATTTTTTGTATTTTTAGTAGAAACGGGGTTTCACCATGTTAGCCAGGCTGGTCTCGAACTCCTGACCTCAGGTGATCCACCCGCCTCAGCCTCCCAAAGTGCTGGGATTACAGGCATGAGCCACTGCGCCTGGCCAAGTCTAGCCTTCTTTACATCCCCTCACCTCCTCCACACCCACCTGGAACATAATATTCAAGAAATCAAGAGTCCCAGTGCCCAGGGAGAGAATTCTAAGAAAGCCCGAGGAGATCCCTGCTCAGACATGACCGTGCCTAAGGAGTAGCTCTTCCATTTGCAGAAATTTCCAAGTTGCAGCCATGGGGGATCCTTGGCAGAAGGGCAGGATCACTAAAGTCCCATGAGCCCTGGATAGGCTCTCTATGGCTTCCATGTGCCTACTAACGTAACAGCTTTAAAAGGAGCTTCCCGGAGCCTTGCTAGGCCGCGGAATTCCTAGAGCTGTTTTCAGGGCGAGGGGTATGGGTGGAGCCAGGGCTTTTGGTATCTCAGCCTCTCCCAGATCTCAGTCTCTTCCAGATCTCAGTCCTCATGATCCAGATCATGCTGAATAGACTGGGAGGGGGCGGGAGACTCATTAATCCTTAGTTCTAGACCTAGGAAGCTGCTTGAAATGACTCTTCTGTCATTACCTAAGCATATCATTCAACCCAGCAATTCTACTGCTGGGAATCTGTCCTATGGAAGTCACCATGGATGTATACAAAGATGTATCTATTGGGATGTTCGTTATAGCATTTTAGAATAGTAGCAAAACAAAACAAAACAAAGAAAAAAAAGAACTCAACTTTCCAATAATAGGGTATTGGGTAAATAAATTATAACATATCTGTGTGTTTGAATATTGTGTAGCTATTAAAAAATGTTACAGGAGAATACTTTGGGCACATTAAGAATATCAAACTAGGCCGGGTGTGGTGGCTTACACCTGTAATCCCAGCACTTTGGGAGGCTGAGGCAGGTGGATCACTTGAGGTCAGGAGTTCAAGACCATTCCAGCCAACATGGTGAAACCCCGTCTCTACTAAAAAATACAAAAATTAGCCATGTGTGGTGGTGTGTGCCTGTAATCCCAGCTATGTCGGGAGGCTGAGGCAGGAGAATTAGTTTAACTTTGGAGGCAGAGGTTGCAGTGAGCCGAGATGGCACCACTGTGCTCCAGCCTAGGGAATAGAGCAAGACTTGGTTTCCAAAAAAAAAAAAAAAAACAAAAAAACAAAAAAAACTAACTGAAAAAAGCAGGCTGCAAAGAGGTACATACAATATGATAACATTTTAAAAATAAAAATACAGATTCAGTGTGTGCATAGAAAAATCCTGGAAGAACATATACTAGATGTTAAGAGTGGTTATCTTTACATGGGGAAAAATATAAGTGAAATTTTCCTCTGTGTTTTTCTGTATGGCTCAGTATTCTCCAGTGAGCAGGTATAACTTATGAAAATACTAGAATATAAACTCTACAAGAGGGAGACCTTGCTTTTTCCACAAATATTGAAAAAGAGGAGAGAATTTGCTTTGTTTGCTAGAGGAGTGCCTGGAACATAGTAGGAGCTCAAAAATAAGTGTTGAATGAATAAATGAATACATTAGAAGAGGAAAAATATTTCAAAATAAATGAAGTATCTTTACAAGTATTTCTGTCTGATAGTTCGTTATGAGAGGAACTGCCTGGACCATGGAATATGCAGAAACTCCAGCAGAGATTCCCTCCAAAATCCTGGTTCTTGCACCCTCTTCAGGAGCCTTGGCTGAGCAAGTTATTTCAACCCAGACCCTTGGGAGGTGCCAGGTGGGGGTGTGTGGGTAAGGCCCTGGCTGCTGAGGGGAGTCTGACACTAATAGGGCGGGGTCATGTGGGTTGGAGGGATGGTCAGTTCTGATAATCGGAGGTGTACACACCCGGGTCGGTCTTTCATCTGAGCCTCTGGGGTCGAGGTCTGAGTCCTGGAGCAGTGAGTTATCCATATTCCTTACCATCCGTGCAATCAACTCCCCCATGTTCAGACCAGAAGGAGAGGTTCCATAGGTCATGTTCGTGCCATCCTGAGGCCCGATGGAGAATGTAGGGAACAACACAGGGGAGGGAGAGAACAAACACAGAAGGGTGGAAAGGGAAGGAGAGAGGAGAAAGAGATGGGACAGACAAAGGGAGAGAGGAGAGATCAACAGAGCACGAATGGAGGAAAGACGGAGAAAAGTGATACAGAAAAAAAGTTCATCCATGGTGTTGTGTGCTAACTGACCTTCCAAGCTGTCCATTGGGCGTGTTGGGAGAAGAAGGGGCAGGAATTCAGCTTCAGCCCCATCCTCCCCAATGGAAACCACTAAGATTATCATATCAATATACTGAGCAGCCCTCAGGGAAGGCATGCCCCCTGAAGGAGGCCTGGCCATGGGCGGCCATCTCCCTACCCTTGGCTCCTGTCTCAGTTCACAGCATTTCTTTGCACTGAAAGGTGCTGCAGGCTTAGCTTCTCCCAGGTAACAACACAAAGCCCACGTCTCAAGCGGGGAGGTGTGGTGAAAGCCCAGTGACTGGGAGGCTTTCTTAGGGAAATGGTGGGCTCAGGTCCACAGCCAAGTACGTGGCCAGCTTAATGGGAGCGTGCTGAGACTGAGGAGCACCAGCAAGGGAGGCCTCCACTGACACAGGCCTCTGGACTGATTTCCACTGACATTCCAGGGCTTGAAATGTCCTTGACCAGTGTCTTTATTGAAAATCCGGAAGAACTGTTCTCCCTTGAGAAATTCCCAGTCCTCAAAGTTGAGAGCCAGTTCCTGCTTCCTCAAACAAAACATTCGCTCTGTCCCACACAAAAGCTCTATGCTGCCCTTCATTGGGTAAAAGGCTTCCTGACACTTGGAGCTCCCCACCCTGTGCCCCACACCCCAGACTTACATCAATGGAGCAGCCCATGAGGGAGCCTCTCTCGATGGCTTTCTTCATGATCTTGTACATGTCACTAGGAGCATCCCTGATCTCAAAAAACTCTGCCACCCCTCCTGTGAAGTCCTCCATGGCCTCTGTGGTGTTCCCACCTTTCAGAGCTTCGTAGGAACCATGGAGCCTTAGAGAGAGGATGAAGACCAATTTGGGGTCACAGAGTTCCAGGGAACAAAACCCAGGTACCACTGCCACCAGAACTTTACCTCTTGGATGCTGTGATGTTCTTTCATCAATTCCACATTAACCCTATGAGCTCATGGGATGGAAACAATGATTCCCTTTCTTCATAATGAAGAAACTGAGCTCAAGAGGCTAAGTGACCCACCCAAGACCACAGAGAGCCAGAAGCACTGGGATTGAAACCCAGCTATCCCCACTTCCTGAGAGCTCTTTCCACTACATCCTGAACGTTGAGGAAGGGCTGCATTAAAGCCATTAGCAGCTGCCGGTGTGGTGGCTCACACCGGCAATCCCAGCGCTTCGGGAGGCCAAGGCTGGTGGATTGCATGAGCCCAAGAGTTCGAGACCAGTCTGGGCAACATGGCAAAACCCCGTCTCTACAAAAAAATACAAAAATTAACTGGGCATGGTGATGCCCGCATGTAGTCCCAGCTACTTGGGAGGCTGAGGTGGGAGGAGCACCTTGAACCCAGGAGGTCAATGCTGCAGTGAGCCGTGACTGCACCACTGCACTCCAGCCTGCATTACAGAGTGAGACCTTGTTTCAAAAAAATTTAAAAAATCCATTATTAGCATCTGGGGTGGAGCTTTTAAGTTGAGAGACAACATGGCTTTATAAATCTGCTATAAGCACATGAGGTTGAGCCAAGCGAGACCCTGGGATCTGAGCTCCAGAGATACAATGCTCTGATCCAAGACTTGCAATGCCACCATGGAGGTGCAATGAAAGAACTCGCTATGGTAAGCTAAAGCTAAAGGTCTTCTATGCAAATCTTCATTTCTACTCTTAAATTTAATGTTTTTAGTTAGAGCTGTTGTTGCCTGGAACTGATCTCTAACTTTGGGTCACAGTTGGACTTGCATGCCCACACATATGCACGTATAGAGGCACATGCCTCTTCCTGTGAGTGAGGTCTCGGCTGGATTTTGCAACCCACTTTCTCACCTCTAGCCCCACCTCACATTCTAAAGTGTTGCTTACTTAGCATAAGCCTTCTCCAGCAGAGCACTCCAGAACTCATTGCGGTGGTTGGACTTGGTGAAAACCAGTTGATTGTTGTACGTTGGCAGGCAGTCATCTATAACCACGTCCACCCACTCTCCATAGCGCCAGAACTGCACAGAAGCGTCACGCACAGAGTCACATACTCAAATTACTGTTAGGAAATGTGTCCTTCCTCCACATTCCTCAGGGGGTTCTTGAATCCCAAAGCAGCATCATTTCCTGGACTCTGCATCTGGGTGCCTGTTCATCCTATTTTGTGTTTGGGGTGTGTAAATCTGTCTCTAACTGGACTGGGTGCTTTTTGAGAGCTGGAAGTGAGTTACATATACTTCATGTCTTCCACAGAGTCCAGCCCAGTAATGGGTAGAGTAGGTGCTCCATGAGTGTCTTAGGATGTAAGATTTTCATTCTCCTGCTCAGCAGGTCTGGGGCAGGGCCTGGGTGTCAGCACTCTCAGGTGCCCCCAGCTGATTCAATGTGGCCAGGATTGGGAACTATGCAGTGAAGGCACTGTGCTGATTTAGGTATTTCTTGATGCCAAACTGAAGAACAAGGATTGAAACGGAGGAACAAAGTGACCCAGAATCTATTCTAGCTGTAGCAGGAACATTGTTCAATCATTTCAAGTTTGGATGTCGCTCTTTTTTGAATGAATCAGTTTGAACTGAAAAGGGCCAAATGTGGTTTAGTCTCCTTTTCAATGGCACTTTCTCCCTCATTGAAATGAGAACAGAAATCTATCTGATATTTGTATGTAAGGCCCTTTAGATCTGAGACCCTTTAAATATGCCATGTTCCCAAGGCGGCAGGAGGGGGAGTCTGAGCCTGGAGACAGACCTTTTCTGAGGCCTTCCGTGCTGAGGTGCAAGACCCGGGGAGCAAGAACTGATAATGTGGGTCATCCTGGGACATGAGGGAGCCTTTGAAGCTGGAGACAGGCTGACTCCCCAGCATCCCGGAAGCTACGAGACCCTCACAGGTAGAATTCAGTTTGGTTCTGCTCTAGCACCAGCTCTATGCCAAGGTGACTGGGACCCAGAAAATTTCCAGTAGCTGGATGGATTCTAGAACCATCAGATTCAGTTCTAGGGCAAACAAGAAGCCTGATCCCCAGGTTAAGCAGACTCTTCTTCCAGGGCTTGGAAGAGAGGAGTGATAGCCTTGGTACCGCCATGCCTTAGAGAGGAAGAAGTATACAGGAGCCCTGGACAGGGGTTCCTGTACAACCTGAAGGGTCCTGTGGTGTCACAGTGCTAATATCTTAGGGACCTACTTGAGAAGGGCTGCAGGCAATAAAAGCAGCCAGACAGCTGCAAAGACAAAAATAGACCCACAGTAAACAGGATGTCTTCCTGTCTTTCTGGGACATAGTGGAAGGTGGTGGGGGAGGGATTAGGGAGCCAGAGATAAGCAACTGCTTCCTCCCAGGCTTGAAGCCTTAAGGGGGTCCATGCCGACTGTTGCCGCTGCGGGTAGATGGGTGGGAAGTTTCCTCCAGCTTCTGGGAAGTCAAGGCCAGGAGACCAGCGGTGGGTGGCCTGCCGCTGGCCCTCTTAACTACACTCTCATTACCTCACCTGGAAGTGGAAGATCCCTGCGTAGTTTTCGATGAAACTTTGATCATGGGGTATGACTCGGAAAAGAAGGTGCTGGTTCAGGGTCAGGCAGGCAATGGCTGCGAGAAACCAGCAGTCCCCTGCAGGCAGACACAGGGCACAGATCGTGAGCACTCCTGCTCCTCCTGGGAAGAAAAAGCCCCAATCCCAGCCAGCCACTCCACTTCCCTGAACGGGGACTCCCTTGGTGCCCACTCTCCTACTTCCAGATCTGACCTTACAGAGGTGTCAACCCAGGGAAGGAGAATTGGACAGGAATTCCTTGACAATATGATCAACAGGTAACTTACTCCCTTGTGACTAGACATTTTCCTCAAGGCTGCAGGCAGTTCCTCCAACTGCAGTATAAACTCACTTCCTTTTTAGGCCTCAATGGAGACAGAGCAGTAGGTGATCATAACTGGGTTGTTCTTCCTAACACCTGTAGGAAATCTGCCCTGCCCTGTGCCTTTGCAATGTGAGTCCAATTCCTCTTCTGACTTCAGCGAAGACTGAGCCTCAGAGAACCATCCACCAAGATGATTTGTATTGGAAGGAAGGCCAGGTAGGCAGCTGCCCTGGAACCCGTCTATAGGGGGCAGTAAGACATTGCTGGCAACGGAATGAGCTCGGGACGTTTTCTTATTCTCTGAACCTCTTTTCTGACAGAGTACTGTATGTAGTTGGAGGTAACACTTTGCTCTCTTTCTCTCTCTCTCTCTCTCTCTCTCTCTCTGTGTGTGTATATATATATATAATAGGGGGTGTACCTGGTCACAGAGCTGCCTTCTAAGGAGGATGGGTTAAGTGAAATGCAACTGAGAGTGTGCAGGGGAGACTGAGAGCTGCCTGCAGCCACTCTCCCCTACCCTCCTTGGAAGCAGCCAGTCTTTCCTTGGAAAGAGGTTATTGGTTTGAAGGTCCCAGATTATTATGCCCAGGGCTCTGCAGGAAGCCTTCCCTCAGGTGCAGGAACCCAGATATTCATCTGATTTATTCTCAGCCTCCCCTTCTGGAATGAAATAAGCCAAATTCCTTTGGTCTTAGGTGCCCCCTTTTCCTCAAATTTAAATTGTTTCTGTTGGTGTTCTCTCCAATTTTACTTCACAGAGCTTGCTTATAGTCCACACCAAAGACAATACTTTCTGAACAAGAGGTCGAGAGAGAGGAAGATCAGATGGAGCAGTCAAGCTAACCAATCAAAGAGAAAATTGGATGCTCATCCACATGGCGGATGCCATCTTTGTGGAAAGACTCTTTTAAGATGGAGCTATGCTGGGGCAATTTAAACAAGGGTTCCAGTTACAAGTGCTTTCCTTGGCGATGCCTTTTGTGTGTGTATCTAGAATCTCCATGCCCAAGGGGCATGCTTGGTGCACAGTCACAGAGCTGTCTTCCAAGAAAGACGATACAGTGAAAAGCAGGGCTTTTGTCATGCTGAGTGGGGTATGTAAGTGTCCTTGAGATACTGGAGAGGAGGCCACAGGATGCAGATACCCCCTGTGATGCATGGCAGAGTGCTAAAGAGGCATGTAGGAGGAAATGAAGCAATCGCCAGCATGTAGATAAACGACCATAAAGCAACTGTTATAAAAAATCTTCCAAAAAGTTACTGGAAGCAAGCACAGATTGTCCCTTTACCTCCTGGAAGGGGATCACACCTTGTAATCACCCCTTGATCATCTGGCAGGATCTGACCTGAGGCACTTTCCTACCTAGCTCTCCTTGACAGATGTCAGTTCTGTTGGCTCCATCAATGATAAATCGGGGATTCTCGCAAATTTCCTGTGAAACAAAAAGGAAATGACCAGGTAAGAATAACAGTAGATAGACAGATAGATAGATAGGTATTTTTTTGAGACGGAGTCTCACTCTGTCGCCAGGCTGCAGTGCACTGGTGCAATCTTGGCTCACTGAAACCTCTGCCTCCGGGGTTCAAGTGATTCTCCTGCCTCAGCCTCTCGAGTAGCTGGGACTATAGGCATGCGCCACCATGCCCAGCTAATTTTTGTATCTTTAGTAGAGATACGGTTTCACCATGTTGGCCAGGATGGTCTCCATCTCTTGACCTTGTGATCCACCCGCCTCGGCCTCCCAAAGTGCTGGGATTACAGATGTGAGCCACCGCGCCCGGCCGCAGTAGCTATTATTTATTGAGTTCCATTATGTAGTGTTCCTGATAGTATTCCATTTGGCCCTGTGAAGGGAATACTATCATTGTTATTTTTCAGATAAGGAAACTGAGGCCCAGAGAGGTTAAGAAACTCGTGCAAAGACACACAGCTAGTAAGTAGCAGAAGCCAGAAACATGCCTCCTTTTTACATTGTCCCATGCTGCTTCCCACACTGTCATACTATTCGAGTAAGGATGCAACTTGAGAGTTAGGGCAGTGTCGGCTGGGCGTGGTGGCTCACACCTGTAATCTCAGCACTTTGGGAGGCCAAGGCGGGTGGATCACTTGAGGTCAGGAGTTCAAGACCAGCCTGGCCAACATAGTGAAACCCTGTCTCTACTAAAAATACAAAAATTAGCCAGGCGTGGTGACAGGTAATCTCAGCTACTTGGGAGGCTGAGACAGGAGAATCAAAATAATAATAATAATAATAAATTAATAAAAATAAATAAAATATAGATTCAGTGTTTTGTATTGTTTTTGAGACAGAGTCTCACTGTGTCGCCAGGCTGGAGTGCAGTGGGCGACACAGGCTGGAGTACAGTGGCGCGATCTCGGCTCACTGCAAACTCTGCCTCCCAGGTTCAAGCAATTTTCCTGTCTCAGCCTCCCGAGTAGCTGGGACTACAGATGTGTGCCACCATGGGTGGTTTCCATATTCTTAGTAGAGAGAGATGAGGTTTCGCCATGTTGGCCAGGCTGGTCTCGAACTCCTGACCTCAAGTGATCTGCCAGCCTTGGCCTCCCAAAGTGCTGGGATTACAGGCGTGAGCCACCGCGCCAGGCTAGTGATCTGGTTTTAGCCCCATTCTTCTCAGCTTCATGGAGTCTTGGCATTCCTGTGACACAGTTCAAACAGGGTCTCTCTCTCCACCTTCCCCCAACCCCCATCACAACAACCCAATATACCCAAGTGAGCTGAAGCTCCTGCACTCAGGGGTGTATACTCCTAGTAGATGGAAAGTCTTGCTTATGCTACACCCCACAGCATGCGTCCCATCTGCAACTCTGAGTGGAATGGAAGGATAAACCAAAACAATCGTTTTCAAAAACGTTTACCTATATGGGGAGGGAAGGAATAAGGTGGTAGAAATAGGGATGGAAGTAGAACTCTGAATATAACTGTTTAAAAATAGTTTTGACTTAGGAATCATGTAAAGTTTTAAATAATTAAGAGCCAAAATTAAAGAAAAAATTATTTTAAAAAGCCATCTGTAAAAGCTGAAAGCAAACCGAAGCAAAGGGACCTAACTGCATAACCATTCACAGAAAAATAATTACTTCAAGTCACTTAAAATGTAACATTTTGGCTGTCTATCCCTTTTGGAATATATCCTAAGGACAAAAACCAAAACCATAAAGAAATATGAACCTTGAATGTTATGAAGATACTAAGAAATATGAACCATAAGAAATAATAATATTGTCCAGGTGTGGTGGCCTACACCTGTAATCCCAGCACTTTGAGAGGCCAAGGTGGGAGGATCATTTGAGGCCAGGAGTTCGAGACCAGTCTGGGCAACATAGTGAGACCCCGTCTCTACAAAGATTAAAAGGATTAGTTGGACATGGTGGCGCATGCCTATAGTCCCAGCTACTTGGGAGGCTGAGGTGAGAGAATCGCTTGAACCTGGGAGGCAGAGATTGCCGTGAGCCAAGATTGCACCACTGCATTCCAGCCTGGGCGACAGAGTGAGGCTCTGTCTCAAAAAAACAAAAACAAAAACAAAAAACCCCACTATAATTTGAAAATATTTTTCCTTAAATAAAAACACATATTTAATACTACATATTGATTGAAAGGGCAAATTGAATATTGACCCAGAATGACCAACATGAATATACATTCTAGAAAATTACTGGGATTCAAAGAAAAAAAAAAACATTGTTTGGACATCTAGGGAGAAAGAACAAGTGACTTTTAAGGGGAAAACATTAGATTATTATCAGACTTTCCAGTAGCAAGGCCTTTTTATGCCAGAAGAAATTGGAGCAGTATATTTAAGATGCTCAAGGAAAGAAAATGTGAACCAAGGATGTATATACAATATGACTTCCTTTATTCATTTCAAGAATAAGGGATGTGGGCAAACTTTTCTAATACATAAGAATTCAGGGAATATTGTTCCCACGAGCTCTTCCTGAGGAATATACTAGAGAATAACCTTCAGACAACCAGGTATAGAAGGACACTAACATAAGGACTGAGAATAAGTAGTCAGTATTTCGTTATTTGTAGATTTAAAATTACATGATGGCCGGGTGCAATGACTCACACCTGTAATCACAGCATTTTGGGAGGCTGAGGTGGGCGGATCACGAGGCCAGGAGTTCGAGACCAGCCTGGCCAACATGACGAAACCTCGTCTCTACTAAAAATACAAAAATTAGCCAGGCATGGTGGCTCATGCCTGTAGTCCCAGCTACTCGGGAGGCTGAGGCAGGAGAATTGCTTGAGCCTGAAGGCAGAGGTTGCAGTGAGCCAAGATCGCACCACTGCACTCCAGCTTGGGCGACAGAGTGAGACTCTGTCTCAGAAAAAACAAAAACCCAACAAAGTACCTGATGATTAAAGGGAGGATGTAAAGTATGTAATATATTGCCTATAGTGTTCGGGCAATGAACAACTATTTAAAACCATTTTAAATCAAAGGAGAAAGAAGAAAGCCTATGGAAAGACTGTAAACTGTTTTCAGGAATTATTTTGGTAGTGATATTATTAATATTGTTATTCTGCAGCTTAATCAGACAAACAAAAGTAGAGGAAATTCATTGCCAGCAGACCTGCCATGCAAGAAATGTTAAAAGAAGTTCTTTAGGGAGAAGAAAAATGATACAGGTCAGGAACTTGGACCCACATAAAGAAAGGAAGAGCACTGGAGAGGAAATAAATAAATGAAGATAAAATAAAATCTTGATTTTAAATTCTTAATCTAAAGGGTAACTTAGTTAAATCATAATAAAAACAATGTATTGGGCAATTATAGCATACAGATAAGAGAAACAAATGACAGTAATGTCATAAGCAAAGAAAGGAAGGAAATGGTAATACTTTGTTCTCTGTTATAAAGTACCTAGAGTACAAACTAAATGGTATAGTGTTATTTGAGGGTGGACTTGGTTGAAAACGTATACTGGAAACTCTAGCATGACCACTAGAATTGAAAAAATAAATATAATTGATACACCAAGAGAGGAGATAAGGCCGGGTGCCGTGGTTCACACCTGTAATCCCAGCACTTTGGGAGGCCAAGGTGGGCAGACTGCTTAAGCTCAGGAGTTTGAGGCCAGCCTGGGCAACATGGCAAAACCCCATCTTTACAAAAAAAAAAAAAAAAAAAATATATATATATATATATATATATGGGGAAGGTGGGGGGAGAGACCCCGTTTGAACTGTGTCACAGGAATGCCAAGACTCCATGAAGCTGAGAAGAATGGGGCCATATATATATATATACACACACATATACATACATATATATATACACATACATATATATACATACACACATACACACACACCCACACACACATACAAACATATTAGTTTGGCATTGTGGCATGCACCTGTAGTCCCAGCTACTCAGGAGGCTGAGATAGGAGGATTGCTTGAGCTCAAGAGGCAGAGGTTGCAGTGAGCCAAGATCATACCACTGCACTCCAGCCTGGGTGACAGAAGCCAGACCCTGTCTCAAAAAAAAAAAAAAAAAAAAAAAAAAAAAGACAAAAAAGAAGAGGTAAAAGGATAAAATAGGATAAAATATAAAACTTTCAGTTAAATCAGAGAAGCCAGAAAAAGGGGCAGGGACAAGAACAAATGCAATAAATGGAAATCAGTTATAAACATGTAGGTAGTAATCTAACTATATTATAATCACTTACATGTGAATGATCAAAATACACCAATTAAAAGACAAAGGCTGTGAAAGTGGATAAAAACAAGACTCGACTATATGTTGTCTGCAAGAAACCCACTTTATTTATTTTTTTGAGACAGAGTTTCGCTCTTGTCGCCCAGGCTGGAATGCAATGGCACAGTCTCCGCCTCTCGGTTTCAAGCAATTCTCCCATCTCAGCATCCTGAGTAGCTGCGATTACAAGCATGCACCATCATGCTCGGCTAATTTTGTATTTTTAGTAGAGATGGGGTTTCACCATGTTGGCCAGGCTGGTCTCAAACTCCTGACCTCAGGTGATGTGCTCGCCTTGGCCTCCCAAAGTGCTGGGATTACAGGCGTGAGCCACCATGCCTGGCCAAGAAACCCACTTTAAATATAAAAACTCATAGATAAAGAAGGATATATCATGCTAACAATAATCAAAAGAAAGTTGGAGTTGTATTAATTTCAGAAACTGCAGACTTCAGAACAAGGACAATTATCAGAGATAAGGAGAGGCATTACATATAGATGAAAAGGTCAATTGGTCAATTTTCCAAGAAGACATACAATCTTAAATGTGTGTGCACCTAACAACAGTGTCAAAATACATGAGGCAAAGAGTGATAGAACTGAAAGGAGAAATAGACAAATCCAGTATTATAGTTGGTGATGTCAACACTCTCTTTCAGTAATTATAGATCAAGCAGGCAGGCAGAAAAGCAATAAGGATATTGTTGACCTGAACAACACTATCAACCAACTGGATCAAATTGACATTAATAGAATTCTACATCCAACAATAGCAGAACAAACCATTTTCTCAAATTCATAGGTAACAAGTCAGTAAGACAGAACACATTCTGAGCCATAAAACACACCTTAACCAATTTTTTTTTTTTGAGACAGAGTCCCTCTCTGTCACCCAGGCTGGAGTGCAGTGGTGCGATCTTGGCTCACTGCAACCTCTACCTCCCGGTTCAAGCGATTTTCCTGCCTCAGCCTCCTGAGTAGCTGGGATTACAGATGCATGCCACCATGCCTGGCTAATTTTTGTATTTTTAGTAGAGACGGAGTTTCATCATGTTGGTCAGGCTGGTCTCGAACTCCTGACCTCATGATCCACCTGCTTCAGCTTCCCAAAGTGCTAGGATTATAGGGGTGCGCCACTGCGTCCGGCAACCAATTTAAAAGAATAGAAAGCCTACAGTGTCTTCACAGACCACAGTGGAATGATACTCGAAATCAATAACAAAAAGATAGTTGAAAAATCCCAAATTATTTGGAAACCAAACAACACAGTTCTAAATAACACAAGGGTCAAAGAAGAAATTTCAAAAGAACTTACAAAATGTTTTTAACTAAGTGAAAATAAAAATATAACATCAAAATTTGTGGGATGCAACAAAAGCAGTGTTTAAAGGGAAAGTTATAGCATTAAATGCATAAGTTAGAAAAGAAAGAAAAGAAAAATCAATAAGCAATATTCCATCTTAGTACACTATAGAAGAGATACTTAAGCCTAAAGCAAGCAGAAGAAAAGAAACAATAAAAAATCAGAGCAGAAATGAATGAAATAAAAAACAAGAAAACAATAGAAAGTCAATGAAAACAAAAATGGTTCTTTGGAAAGATCAATAGAATTGATAAACCTTTAGCCATGCTAAACAAGAAAAATGAAAACACAAATTACTAATATTAAAAATGAAGGAGAGGTTATCACTTTTGGGAGTTCAGTCAGGCTGGTGGCAAAAATTTTAAGATGAATTTATAGGATATAAACACAAACCCTCTTGGAAGGCCTAGAGGTTTGCATAAAGTGTTTGGCTGAAGGCAGCCGAATCCACTTAATAGCTTAGGGCACAGATACATAGGAATGTAGAGGAGTTTATCTAAAGAGCTTGTTTACTCATGTGGTCCTAAAACTAACTTTTGATCACTCACGGCAGGATAGCTCCCCCCGGGGTGGGGGCAACCAGATTAATTACCCACAGGTGTGTTGACTCAAAGCCTTTGTCATTAAAACTGTGCTAAATAAATGCCCACAGGGCTAGCTAGTCAGGGCCGTGGCTGCTGACTCTTCACAGCACCTTCCTTAGTATCTGTGAGCGGCTTGGACCCCTAGCTGCTCTTTCACTAAATATTGGTGTCTTGGTATGTTATTCATCCGTCGCACGAGCTGGGGTCTGCAGGACAGACTCCTGCAATCACTACTGAACTTTTGGACATTAAAGGGATAATAAGGGAATATATGGACAGCTCCATGCTCACAAATTTGATAACAGGTGAAACTGACAAATTTCTTGAATGACAAAAGCTACCAAAATTCATTCGAGGATTAGATAATCTGAATAGCACTATACCTATCAAGAATATTGAGTCAATAATTAATAACCCTCCAAAAAAGAAGGCACCAGAACCAGATGGTTTCACTAATGAATTCTACCAAATATTCAAGGAAGAAATAATATGAATTTTCCACAATATCTTCCATAAAATAGAAGCAGAGGGAACACTTCCTAACTCATTCTATCAGGCCAGCATTATCCTAATATGCAAGCCAGTAAAAGATACTCTAATAAAGGAAAACTACAGACCAATATCTGTTATGAACATAGAAGCAAAATCCTCAACAAAATATGAGCAACTCAAATACAACAATGTATAAACAGACACCATGACCAAGTGGGATTTATTTGAGGTACAAGGTTTGTTCAACATTCAAAAATCAATTAATGTAATTTACCACATCAACAGGCTAAGAAAAGCAATTATATAACCATATTAATTGATGGAGAAAATGCCCTTGACAAAATCTGACACCCATTCATGATTTAAAAAAACCTCTCAGCTAACTAGGAAGAGAGGAGAATGTCCTCAACTTGGTAACGATCATCCACTTTCAAAAATAATAACAGCTAACTTCATACTTAAGGGTGAGAAACTAGATGCTTTCCCCTTAAGACTAGGAACAAAGCAAGATGTCCTCCTGTACCACTCCTATTCAGTGTCCTACTGGAAGTCCTAGCTAATGCAACAAGATAAGAAAAAGAAATGAAAGATATAAATATTGGAAACAAAAAAAAAACTATCTTTATTTACAGATGACACAATTGTCTATGTAGAAAATTCCAAACAAATGACCCAAAAAAATCCACTGGGAACTAATAAGTGAGTATAGCTCAGTTGCAAGATTCCAAGTTAGTATATAAACACCAATTAGTTTTCTATATACCAGCAATGAACAACTGGAATTCGAAATTTAAAAATATTCCTTTTATATTAACACACTAAGCCAAGAAATATTTAGTTATGTCAGTGTGAACTCATGTTTAGCTTAGTATAGATACAAATGGCTTTATATAGAAATATTTACAGATATGTGAGATGGTTATACATAGAAATATTATAGATATGTGTATACAGCTGGCTTAGTACACACACATATCTCCTTTCTCTACAAGCTGAGAGGAACAGAAGCAATCACACTCCGGTAGCAATGAGCAGACTTAGCAACCAGATCTTGATATCTAATACCTTTTTCAATAAAAGAAACCAGTGCTCCTTGGAGAAATGACTGATTCTAGGATTGGGGCAGGAGATACACATTATGAGCTGGTAGTGCCAGAAAGTAAGAAAGTGCTCAAGGAAAAAAAAAAAAACCCACAAACAATTAGGGTATGTTAAATAGACACAGGAGCCAACTGAGAGCTCCCAGTGAAGAAAGCTGGGACAACCTAAGCAACAAAATAAAGCAGTATTGGATTACGACTTAAAATAAAAATCAAGATCCATGAGTCCATATTGATATAAACAAGTGACTGAATAAATAAACAAATGGGGAGAATAGACAAAGCTCCCATGCAGAATGATTCCCAATAATTGATGCAGATTCTCTGCCCTCAAGAGGGCAGAGCACAATTCCCCCTTGCTTAAGTATGGGCTTATGCTTAGTGTCTTGCTTCCAGAGTATAGTATGAAAAGAGGGGAAGAAGTAACTTCACAGTAAAGAAACCTGACAAGCACTACTTCAGCCACATGACCAAGGTCAACACCACAATGAGAAGGCATGTTTATTGCCCGCATCCTTGATATATAATGTGACAAAAACGGCACTTTACCCTGTGGTCTTCCTCCCCCAAACCCTTAAGCCCATAAGGAGAAAAACCGCAGACAAATGCCAATTGAGGGTCATTATGTTACAGAATACCTGACGAGTACTCTTTAAAAAACTGTGAAGGTCATAAAACACCAGAGAAGGCAGAGATACTGTCACAGCCAAGAGAAGGCTAAGGAGACGTTACTACTAAATGTAATGTCATATCTTGGGTGGGATCTTGGAACAGAAAAAGGACATCAGACAAAAAACTAAGGAAAAGTATGGACTTCAGCTAATAATAATATATTAACACTGGCTAATTTAATTGTAGCAAATGTACTGTACTAATGCAAGATGTTGGTAATAGGAAGAAATGGCTGCAAGGTATATGAGAACTCTGTACCATCTTCACAATTTTTTCCTGTAAATCTAAAACCATTCTGAAATTTACAGTTTATTTAAAAAATAGATATAAATACTTCTAATAGTTTTTTCATCCACTCCAATGGATCATCTTGCAGATCTACTGGGCTGTATATGCCCTCCTCAGAGCCTACTGGTCTAGAGAGTTTCTTGCCTGCTCTAAATGCAGTGAACCCTTTTTGGAGCTCTGAGCCTCTCCAAGCAGGAAGAAGGGCCTTGTGCTACACACTCCCAAGCACTTTCACCCACTCAAGTTGACACAAGGGGCTTCTCGGTTGCGCCATAAGGTAGCCTGACACAAACTGCTTCATCCCGTAAGGAGTCTGGCTGCTCAGCACGGACCTTTCTGTTTAAACAGAAGCGACAGCACATGAATGAACAAGCCTTAGGTGAAAGATTAAGAAGGCAGGTCTCCATCCTTCCATTTCTTTACTGTTCACCACCTTCCACAGAACTCTCCCGGAAACTGTGAGCCTTAGTACTTCTAACCACTCTACTCTCCCACCCCAAAACACCTGCTCTGAAAAAGACACATGAGACCAGGTGAAATGGATCTTGCCTGTAGTCCCAGCACTTTGGGAGGCCTAGGCAAGAGGATTGCTTGAGCCGAGGGGTTTGAGACCAGCCTGGGCAACATAGTGAGGCCCCATCTCTATAAATAAATAAATAAATAAATAAATAAATAAATAAATAAATAAATAAATTTTTATTTAAACAAATAAAAATGTGGTGGCACATGCCTGGGGTCCCAGCTACTTGGAAGGCTGAGGTGTGAAGTGGGATCACTGTTTGGGCCTGGGGGGTTGAGGCTGCAGTGAGCTATAATCAAGCCACTGCACTCCAGCCTGGGTGACAGAGCAAGTCTCTCTCTCAAAAAAAAAAAAAAAAAAAAAAAAGAGACATGATATTCGATTACAATGCATTAGCTCCCTAAAAATATTTACGATTTCAGGGACCCATAAAGTATTATAATAATCTCTAGCTCAGGAATAGAAAATAACATCTCCAGTTTCAGGAAGGAGCAGAAAGGTATTTTGGATAAAGAGACCCTTGATAAGTCAATTGCCCAGAGGAGGGATCCATGGCCTCAGGCTCTGGATCACTTGGCTTCTTGTTCCCCAAGAGCTGGCTCCTGAAGTCCCATCCCCTCCATCCCTACCTTTGGCCTTTTCCATGTGATGGCCTAAATCTTGGTTTTGTGGCTCAGCTCATGGGAGGCCAGGGCCTGAACACCTGCTAGGAACACACAATCTTCAAAGAGGCACTTCTGGGCCAGACATCTTTGAGAACGACAAAATCCTGCCCCTCAAACTTGAGGGGCTGTGCGATGGTGCCCTCTCCATTTCTCCTGTCCCTCTCTTGGATCACACAGTCACAGAAGAATCCTGACAGCAGGTAGGGCATGGCGAATGCTCTGGGAGTAGAGCTGGGCCTTCCCTGCTGCCTCTTTCCCACTGCACCCTCAGTCCACGCCTAATCCTCTTGTGAATGGCCTGGAGCCTAATATAGCTCTTCCACCCTCAGCAGCACCATGCATGGTCAGAGTCAGCAGCTTTGACTGGAGGCCCCTGAGCCCGTGGTCTAGGGGCAACTCTGTGAGAGGGAGCCAGGGAGGGGAGAGAGAGTTCCAAGGACAGCCTCAGGACAGACCGCAGTGGTCTGAGGACCTTTAGGGAACCTTCATCACCCTTTGCTGGGATTCTTCCTCTAAAAAGAAAATATTACTATAGTTACAGAGAGGCTTACTTTGTCTCAGCAAAAGATGTTCATGCCTTTGACACTGGTGATCAAAGGGCTATAGCATGGGGCCTTCTGATATACTAATCCTATACAGGCTACTGAATGCATAGGAGGAATCTGCTCCATGCCATTGTTTGGGGGTAATGACGCCTTCACACTCCTGATGTCCCTGGCCCACCCCTCAAAGACCTTGACCAGTCATTTAGGGACTCTCATCTGTGAAAATGATGCAGAGGGTAGGTAACTTGACTGCAGATGGAAGTCCCTGTTAGAGTAGGTCCCAGTGGCAGTGAGCAGATATCCACTGTTGCAAATTCAGGACCTTTAGGGCAGAGAATGTGGTGGATGGGGAAAGCAGATGAATGTGTGTCATGTGGGAATTATATTCATAAGAAAGCCCAGCCTTTTCAACTTTCACTGTGCTTAAATAGGCAGCTCTAATGTAAGAGCAGGGAGCTGACATGGGAGGAAACTCAGGCCTGGCAGCTTGCCCGCTAGGAGGACACCCAGTCTCCCTGTCTGCTCATGAATGCCTGATGGCCTTTGTCTACTCTGTGCTTCTCAAAGTGTGATCTTTGAACTTCATGCATCAGAATCATCTGGTCTGCCAGTTGAAAATACAGATTCCCAGGGCCCATCCCAGACCTGAGGATTTGGTAGGGGTCTGGGACTCTGCATTTTGAATAGGCTCACCAGGAGAGTCTTATGTCCACTAAAGTTGAAAACCAATGACTTTACTTATTTATTTATTTATTTTTGAGATAGGGTCTTGCTCTGTCACCCAGGCTGGAGTGCGGTGGCATGATCTCGGCTCACTGCAACCTCCACCTCCTGGGTTCAAGCAATTCTCCCGCCTCAGCCTCCCAAATATCTGGGATTACAGGCACCCAGACACCACCATGCCTGGCTAATTTTTGTATTTTTAATAGAGATTGGGTTTCACCATATTGGCTAGGCTGGTCTTGAACTCCTGACCTCAGGTGATCTGCCCGTTTCAGCCTCCCAAAGTGCTGGGATTGCAGGTGTGAGCCACCGTGGCTGGTCGAAACCATGACTTTGGCATTACAGGGTAAATAATAGCTTAAAATAATTTTTTTGTTGTTGAGATGGAGTGTCCCTCTGTCACCCAAGCTGGAGTGCAGTGGCACGATCTCGGCTCACTGCAACCTCCGCCTCCTGGGTTCAACTGATTCTCCTGCCTCAGCCTCCCAAGTAGCTGGGATTACAGGCACCCACCATCACGCCTGGCTAATTTTTGTATTTTTAGTAGAGACGAGGTTTCACCATGTTGGCCAGGCTAGTCTTGAAGTCCTGACTTCAGGTAATCCGCCTGCTTCGGCCTCCCAAAGTGTTGGGATTACACGTGTGAGCCACCGCCTGGGTGAAAGAATGAGACCTTGACTCAAAAAAAACAACAAAAAAAGTGACTTTTGTTTAACCATTTTTGTTAAAAGATGCCTAGGAATAAATCTGACAAAAGATGTTCAAGGCAGGCTGGGCGCAGTGGTTCACACCTGTGATCCCAGCACTTTGGGAGGCCAAGGGTAGGGGGTCACCTGAGGTCAAGAGTTTGAGACTAGCCTGACCAACATGGTGAAATTCTGTCTTTACTAAAAATACAAAATTAGCCAGGCATTATGGTGCATGCCTATAATCCCAGCTACTTGGGAGGCTGAGGCAGGAGAATTGCTTGAACCTGGGAGGTGATGTTTGCAGTGAGCCGAGATTGCACCATTGTACTCCAGCCTGGGCAACAAGAACGAAACTCCATCTCAAAGAAAAAAAAATGTTAAAGATGTCACTGAGAAAATTATAAAACTTTTATTAAAAGACACCTATTTAAATGGAGAAACATCCCTGCTTCATGGATAGGAAGACTCAATATTGTCAAGATGTGTATTCTTCCCATATTGATTCAATGTAACTGCAATAAAAGTCCCAACAGCCTTTTTTTTTTTAATTTTTAAGATTTTTTTTTAATTTTTTTAAGATGGAGTCTTGCTCTGTCACCCAGGCTAGAGTGCAGTACTAGGATTTTGGCTCATTGCAACCTCTGTCTCCTGGGTTCAAGCGATTCTCCTGCCTCAGCCTCCCGAGTAGTTGGGATTACAGGCTCCCGCCACTATGTCCAGCTAATTTTTGTATTTTTAGTAGAGATGTGGTTTCAGCATATTGGCCGGGCTGGTCTCGAACTCCTGACCTCAGGTGATCTGCCCATCTCGGCCTCCCAAAGTGCTGGGATTACAGGTATGAGCCACCACGCCCAGCCTAAAAAAGTATTCTTGAGAGAGTGAAGAGGCAAGTCACAAGGTGGGAGAAGGTATCTGTAACACATCTAACCAAGAAAGGATTAGTATCCAGGATATATAAAGAATGCCTACAATTCAAATTGAAAAAGACAACTCAGTAGAAAAATCAGCAAAAGGCATTAGCAGGTGTTTCATGTACAGTGAAATACAGATGATCAAGGAACAGACAAGTGTACAAAAAAGATGCTTTGCCTTATTTATAATTAGGAAAATGCATCTTTTCTTGTATTTCTTGGCCATTTCTGTCCCAGCCCCTCTCATTGTCAGCATTAAACTGCTGAGTCACTTTAATTTGTTCACCATGATGTCTACAGCTCTGTCCCCATCATGACCCCCAGGAGGAGCTGCTGTCTTGTAGAATATAATAGAAGTTGCTCCTAAAAGTTACTTATATAATTGTCACTTTCACTGAAACATATGCACCTTCCCCATCCCCCCTACCCCCGTGATGACACTATCATGATTCTCTGCTGAGTAGACAGAAGGCTGGCTCTCAAATGGGTACCTCGTTTTGTCTTTCAGTTACTATCATCATTATTTATTGACTCATTGTATTATGTTATGTATAGAATCTCATTTAATCCTTACAACAACTCTATGAAAGTAGGAATTTTCATTTTCTTCTCACAGATGCAGAAACTGAGACCTCGGAATGGTCAATAATTTGCCTGAGGTCACATCGTTAATCGGTGGAGCTGGGATTTGAATGAAGTTTGCCTGACTTCAGAGCCTGTGCTCTGATGTTATGTGCTCTGATGTTATGAAGTCATAACATCATTGTGTTATGCTCCTACCCTTTGCTGCCTATGCTAATAGTAATTGCTACCTTACCTTGCACACCTACTAGGACGCTGAATGCCACTCAAAACAGCCCTATGATGGGAATATCCTTATCCTCATTACAGAAGAGAAAAGCGAAACTTAAAAAATGTGACTTACTTATGTGACTTGCTAGTGGCCGAGTCAGTGTTCAGACCGGGTCTGTTTGGTTCTAACTCTAGCTGTTTTATCCACTCTGCACAATGCCCCCAGTTCTTCCTCTCTGTGGCTAGGACAGTGACCTCACTTCTCTGTAAACTGTCTGACAGAAGGTAACACTCTTAAAGCAGATCACAAGCAGACCACTCGCTGAGCCAGCTTCATTGGAAAGATATATAATTTTCCTGGGAGAAGAAACAACTGGGTCGTAGGCACTAGGAGCAGAGAGCTTCCTGCCACAGCCTAGGTTTTTCTGTGATTCAGCCCCCTCCCTCTCTTCTCATGCTGGCATGGAGTAACTTTTTTTTGTGTGCCAACCTAGGATTTCTTCTTTTCAGAACTGAGTAACACAGGTCAAATGACTCCTGGCTGAGAAGATACACAGGAGTCAGTATTAATTTTAGAGGCAGTGGGGCACATGGAAGAGGTCATTAGAGCAAGAGACCGTCTGGTATGGACAGAAAGCTTCCAACTTGAAAGTGCTGATGTGAGACCAGGCGCAGTGACTCACGCCTGTAATCTCAGCACCTTGGGAGGCTGAGGCAGGTGGATCACCTGAGGTCAGGAGTTCGAGACCAGCCTGGCCAACATGGTGAAACCCCATCTCTACTAAAAATACAAAAATTAGCCAAGCGTGGTGCCGGGCACCTGTAATCTCAGCTACTTGGGAGGCTGAGGCAGGAGAATGAATTGAACCCAGGAGATGTATGTTGCAGTAAGCCAAGATCGCGCTATTGCACTCCAGCCTGGGCAACGAGAGTAAAGACTCTGTCTCAAAAAAAAAAAAAAAAAAGAAAGAAAGAAAGAAAGTGCTGATGCGATGGCCAAGTGCTGGGGAAGTTGGTGGCCATCTGTCCTCTCAATCTTATGCCCTTTCTTTCCCTCCCTTTCAGACCAAAGGAACTGGGTTTCTTGAAGAAATGATTCATTCCAGTTGTGGGGCAACAAATGTACAAGATGGGCGTGGCACATTTTGTTGTGGCCAGAAAACAAGAAAGGGATAAAAGATTAATGGAGCAACGTGAAATGATACAGGCAACATACAGGGGCTCCTACTGTCCAAAGATGGAACAATTTGAACATGAAAAAGAAGAATGACTGCAATGGATTAAAACATGCTGCAATACTTCATACTGATCACATTCTTTTTTTTTTCTTCTTTTTGAGATGGTCTTACTGTGTCACTCAGGCTGGAATGCAGTGGCGCAATTTTGGCTCACTGCAGCCCCAACCTCCGTAGCTCAAGTGATCCTCCCACCTCAGCCTCCCAAGTAGCTAGTGACAGAGCAGGAGCATCACCATCTTGGACAAGCACCACCATTTTAAAGTGCCCCTTGATCAAAAACTGCCTAAATCCAACCCAAAGGGCATCAGCCTAATGGCTAATGTCAGTATGACCATAAACCACAAATGACATCTCCAACCAGAAACATTCCAACCGTAAGATAAACTCTCTCCCTGACCAGAGACAAGCCAGCCCCAAGATAACCTCCCCTCCAACCAGAGACATTCCAAACCCACAATGAACTTCTCCTCCACACAGAAACATTCCAAGCCTGTGATAGGCTCTCTCACCCTGAACCCTTAAATACACTTAGTCTGTAAGAGAGAGTACTCCTGACAGAAATCAGCCAGAAGCCCCTCTCAGGTTTATTCTCCAAAATAAACCTGTCTTTATTGAGCCATTTTTCATGTTTCTTTCCTCTTTCTTTTTAACTCTTACAGCTAGGACTATAGGCACAAACCACCATACCTGGCTAATCTTTGTATTTTTGGTAGAGATAGGGTTTCACCATGGTGCCCAAGCTGGTCTTGAACTCCTGGGCTCAAGTGATCCACCCGCCTTGGCCTCCCAAAATGCTGGGACTGCAGGTGTGAGCCACCACGCCCAGCCCACATTCTTAATAGAGCATTGTTTCAAGCTGTAATATTTAAGAATACAGAGAAAATGAAGTATAGTCAATACTCATTATTCTTGGTAGTTATGTTTTATAATAACGCTGAGAACACTGTATTAGTAAATACTGAACCATTGCTCCTAGGGGAACTACAGAGTTAGAGTCCTATGAGTCTCTGGTCACATTTTCATCAACCAATCAATACAGAGCCTTATTTTATGATGTTTCTGCTTAAAGACACCTTATTTAATATTGATTCATTAAATTATTGTTTATTGATTGATGATTCAATAACATTGAACTCACAGCCAACTGACTATAACTTGTGTGTGAACAAAGCTTATCTGACACACGTATTTCCTCCATGAGGCACACCACAGCCTCCTAGAATGCTAGACAGCATTTCAGCACTATGCTTGGAGGTCACCAATAAAAAGCACAGAAATGAGAAAAACATGGCACTAAAGACGTCATGAAAAGGACATTCTTTACAGTATCAAAGCTGAAACAAGAAGGCTGAGTGTTGCCTTGTTTGACCTGAGCTGGGAACAGGCATGTGGGGTGACTCAGATTTTTCACAGCTCTGTGTATGCCCACAAATGACTGCAAAAACACCTCAAGTACTAATTTTGAGGAGACAAACCTTAGCGAGTAGGTGAATTTGCAAATATGGCATCTGCAAATAACAAGGATTGGCTGTGTAAGGTTTATAGCACTGACGTCCTCCATGTTGGAAAAGCCATGCCTATGGCATAAAGTTGGAACACTTTTGTGACTGATCTGAATTAACTAAAAGAGGGATGACATGATTCAAAAACAGGATATGCCTGTAGTCCCAGCTACTCAGAGTCTGAGGCAGGAGGATCACTTAAACCCAGGAGTTCAAGTCCAGTGTGGACAACATAGTGAGACTCCTATCTCTGTTTAAAAAAAAGAGAGAAAAAAATAGGGAGGGTTACCATACAGGGAAAATCAGCTGACT